>NC_000002.12:235974466-236277496 GCF_000001405.40 Homo sapiens | reverse complement strand
TAATTAATCAATTATTGTGTTCTACTTTAAAAATTGTTCCTTACCTAAAGTGATGAAGATGCTCATTTATCACCTAGAATCTTCTTTTTCCTTTTTCTTTTCTTTTGCTTCTCATTACAAGCCACCTGAAGGTAAAAAAATTGTTTATGTAGAGTTTGAGATATAGGTCAAATTTATTTGTTTGTTTGCCTTCTCCACTCTGCAATGGTACCAGGTATGTTTAAGTCTAGTTTGGGCCCACTAGTCTATTCATTGTTTTCATGTTTGTTTTTATTCCAATGCCACATGGTCATAATGACCATAGTTTTATAGTAAACCTTAATTTCCACTAGAGCTAATTCTCTCACCTTAGTTTGTAGGAAGTGTGGCTTTGCTATTCTTGAAAGATTTATGACAATTCTATGCAGTCAATGTGGTCAATGTGTGTGCAGCTCCTCCCGGCAGTAGCCCCTGGGTGGGTTCTGGCCAGGCCTGGCTCCTTTCCATCCTGCCCATCCACTCACCTCACTTGGAGGCTGCTGGCTTCCTCGGCCAGGCAGATAACTGAGTGCACCTGCTTCTTCTCTACCTTCTGAGCTCCACTACTTCTCTCTGCAATTCCCTTCTTCTCAGGTGGTACAAGGGCAGAATAGCAAGTATATAGTGAAAAAGGCTCACAACCAGGGAGCAAATGTCAGTCCCTACTTCCTGCAAGTCCCCATAATCTTTGCATGATTCCTTGAAAACCCTCACTTGGCTTTAGGACTCTGCAGTCACACATCCACTTCCATCCTCTATAGGAAGAAAAAGGGATACTCTTTCTCCTTTAACTTGAAACTCCACAAAAAATCAACTTCCTCTCTCCTCTCAAGGGACAGTGTATTAGTCCATTCTAGTATTGCTATAAAGAAATACCTGAGACTGGGTAATTTATAAAGAAAACAGGTTTAATTGGCTCATGATTCTGCAGGCTGCACAGGAAGCATGGTAGCATTAGCTTCTGGGGAGGCCTCAGGAAACTTAAAAATCATGGCAGAAGGCAAAGGGGAAGCCAGCACTTCACATGATCAGAGCAAGAGGAAGAGCAAGAGGGAGGTGCTGCACACTTTTAAAAAACCAGAACTCGAGAGAACTCACTCACTGTACGGTACCACGGAGGGACGGTGCTGAACCATTCACGAGAAACCGCCTTCATGATCCAATCACCTCCCACCAGACCCCACCTCCAACACTGGGGATTACGATTTGACATGAGATTTGGTGGGGACACAGATCCAAACCATATCAGACAGGGTCTTAGGGCCAGCTGGGGCAGCCCTCAGTCCTCATTGCCAAGAAGAACATGACTCCCAACTGCGGGCAGCTCTCTGAACTTGGAATGTGGGGTGCTAGGTACTTTCATACTCAGTTTGGGCCTTAGATGCATTAGGCCACTTCCTGTTTCCCTGTACTGTTTATTGTTTCCCAACTTTTATTTTTTCCAGCTGCCTTAGTCCACTCCTGCTGCTGTAACAAAATACTACAGACTGGGTAATTCATGAACAACAAGGATTTATTTCCTCACAGACCTGAAGACTGCAGAGTCCAAGATCAAGGCAATGGCAGATTTGTTGTTCTGGTGTCTGGTGAGGGCCTCCCTCTGCTTCCAAGATGCACCTTGAACACTGTGTCCTGACATGGCAGAAGGTGAAGATCAAAAGACCCTGGCTAGCTTCCCCCACACTTTAACAAGTTCACTAGTTCTATTTCTGCAGGAGGGGTCCTCGTGACTCAATCATCCCCTTAAGCCCCTACTATTTTAGTACTATCATATCGGTAAGTCAGTTTCAACATATGGATTTTGAGGAATACATTCAGACCTTACACCAACATTTCTTTAAACCACATCTCAAGTCTTGAGGTTTTTTTTGTTTTGTTTCTTTGTTTGTTCAAGACGGAGTCTTGCTCTGTTGCCCAGGTTGGAGTGCAGTGGCGCGATCTCGGTTCACTGCAAACTACACCTCCTGGATTCAAGCGATTCTCCTGCCTGAGCCTCCTGAGTAGCTGGGACTACAGGCACCCACCATCGCGCCTGGCTAAATTTTTGTATCTTTAGTGGAGATGTGGTTTCCCTGTGTTAGCCAGGCTTGTCTCAAACTCCTGACCTCAAGTGTTCCACCTGCCTCGGCCTCCCAAAATGCTGGGATTACAGGTTTGAGTCACCATGCCCAGCCAAGTCTTGAGTTCTTAATTTCAACTTTTTTCAAACAACTAAAAATAATTACTGAAATCATTTTTTCAAAACATGATGTGTTTGAAATATTTTCTGCATCCTTGCATGTCTGAGAATTTCTTTCCAATACACATGAACATTAGATAGGCTGAGAATGGAGTTCTTGGGTTACAATATTTTCCCCTCCATACCTTGTAGCCATTTCTCAGTTGCTTTGTGCCACTTTGTCATATGAAGAAACCTAACACCAATTAATTAATCTGGTTTTTTGATTGTAAAAATTAGGAGATGTTTCTTTATCCCTGAAATACCAAAATGTCATCAGAATATGTTCAGGTGTGTTTCTATATTTTCACAAAATATCCTGAAAGATACTTTTAATTTAAAGGCCAGTCTTACTTTTTAAGGGTGCTTGAAGGGGGTTTTAATTTGGAGAGAAGACATTCTACTCATCAGCTCAGGGAACTTGTCTTAGTCTTCCTGGGCTGCTTAGTTGTTCTGGAGGCTGCAGAGTCCAAGATCAGGTGCCAGCAAGGCAGATTTCCTGCTCAGGCCTCTTCTCTTGGCTTGGAGGCAGCTGCCATCTTGCCCTCTGTGTACTCACATGACCCCTTCCTCGTGTATCCATGGAGAGAGGGAGAGCTCTAGTATCTCTTCCTCTTCTATAGGGACCCCAGTTCTATAGGATCAGGACTCTATCCTTATGACCTCACTTAACTTTATTTACCTCCTGATATGGTTTTGATCTGTGTCCCCACCCAAATCTCTGTTGAATTGTAATCCCCAGTGTTGGAGGTGGGACGTGGTGGAAGATGATTGGATCATGAGGGTGGAGTTCTCATGAATGGTTTAGCACCGTCCCCTCGGTGCTGTTCTTGTGATAGTGAGTGAGTGAGTTCTCATAAGATCTGGTTGTTTTAAAAGTGTGTGGCACCTCCCCTGTCTCTCTCTCTTGCTCCTACTCCGGCCATGTAAGATATCCCTGCTTCCGCTTCACCTTCCACCATGATTGAAAGTTTGCCAAGGCCTCCCCAGCCATGATTTCTGTACAGCCTGTGGAACCATGAGCCAACTGAACCTCTTTTCTTTATAAATTACCCAGTCTCAGGTATTTCTTTATAGCAATGCAAGAACAGACTAATACACCTCCCTAAAGACCATGTCTCCAATAAAATCGCATGGGGGTTAGGGCTTTGGCATATGAACTGGAGGCAGGAGGCACAATTCAGTCCATAGCAAAAGGTATCTTGTATTACTTCTTTACTTATTATATTCTCTCTACTCTTATTTCTCCTAAGATATATACATTTCCTGAATCTGTCTTTTGTGTTACTTTTCTTTATGTGCACCATTTTGTTTCTTTTATACTCTGAGTTTGAGAGGATTTCTGTGTCTGGCCTTTTAAATCACTAGCTTGGTTTTCCGCAGTATCAACCACTGTATAAATTTCATTTTAAAACTTGAAATATGGTTTTCAACCCAGAGGACTCTTCCTTGGCCCTCTCTCATTCCTCTTTCAGCCAATGTTTATCTAGATTATCAGTGATAGTATGAATTTGGAATTTTCACAAATTTTCTCACTTCTCGCAGCAACTCTTGTTTCATAAAAAGACATTTACCCTGGGACTCAAAAATCATCCATTCTTTCGCACTGTTGAATCAGAGTTCATGCTTTGCTTATCCTTGAGTGGGGAAGGAGAGAATGAGAAAGGGAAGGATAAAGTCTGTGGCCTTCTTCAAATGCTAGTTAAGGTGGTATATTAATTATCTATTGCTGCATAGCAAATTACCCCAAAAATCTAATGGCTTAAAGCAGCAAACATTCATAATTTTATAGTTTCTGCAGGCCAGGAAACTGAATATGGCTTTTGGTGGGTGGTTCTGTCTCTCAGGAGGCTGTCATCACCCTCAGGCCCCACTAGGGCTGAAGGTTTTCCTGCCATGCCCCTTCACAGGACTGTTTGCAGCCCCAGCACATCCTCTTTCCAGTTCCTTCCCCAGCCCCACTTCTGGGGCTGACTCACCACAAGGCAGCTAGCTTCCCCCAAGGTGAGCCACTCAGGAGGAAGCTAAAGAGAGCACCCAACACAGAAGCCACGGTGTCTTTATAATTTCTAACCTAATCGCAAAAGCGGCCACCCATCACTTCTGCTTCAGTGGCACCATATCTGTGAGAAGCAAGTCACAAAGCCTGGCTCAGCCCACGGGAGAGCAGGTTACACAAGGGCACGAATATGAGGAAAATAACAGGAAGTGTATTAGTCTGTTGTTGCACTGCTACAAATAAATACCTGAAACTGGGTAATTTATAAAGAAAAGAGGCTTAATTGGCTCTTGGTTCCATGGGCTGTACAGGAAGCATGGCCGGGGAGGCTTCAGGGAACTTATAATCATGGCCAAAGGTGAAGGGGAAGCAGGCACATCTTACATGGCAGGAGCAGGTGGAAGACATAGAAGGGGGAAGTGCTACACACTTTTAAACAACCAGATCTCATGAGAACTCAGTAGCACTAGAACAGCAAGGGGAAAATCTGCCCCCATGATCCAATCATCTGCCCCCAGGCCTCTCCTCCAACATTGGAGATTACAATTCAATGTGAGGTTTCGGCAGGGACACAGATCCAAACCATATCATTTCACCCCAGCCCTTCCCAGATCTCATGTCCTTCTCATTGCAAAATACAATCATTCCTCCTCAACAGTCCCCCAAGTCTTAATTCATTTCATCATTAACTCAAAAGTCCACAGTCCAAAGTCTCATCTGAGACACTTCTGCTTCAGTGGCACCATATCTGTGAAAAGCAAGTCACAAAGCCTGGCCCAGCCCACGGGAGAGCAGGTTACACAAGGGCACGAATATGAGGGCCATCTCCAAGGCTGTCCACCACAGATGGGTTGGATCATGATTATGTGTGTCTGTGGTCAAATATTTTCAGGCCCAAAGAGAAGAGGACAGACTTTAACCGTATGGAAATTGTATTTTTCTGTAACAGAGGCATGGAAATTGAAAAAAACTAGCAAGAGTGATGGCCAAGGAGCTTCACCGCTGGGGCAGGGTATTCCGTTCCTGTTTCTTGTGTGTTTCATTTTTTAATCTATACCATCCTGAATGGCAGGCACTGTGCGCCTTTCTGAAGCATGCATGACTGCCCCCCATGTGCCCACCACAGCCCTCCTCACAGTGCTCACTGCCACCAGCAGCCGAGCGTGACATGAGATGCTGAGGTTCTGGGCACACTGTGGGGCTCAGGGGCCCTTTCTGAACCTGCCAATGAGGCAAGATCTGCCCCACCCTCACCCCAGGGCCCCAGCCTGCATTTCTGTCTACTCACACCCGTGGCCACCTGGTCTACCCTTCCTCAAGCCTGCCCACCCTGTTGATGCCAGAAATTTCTTAAAATTTTTGTCACAGGGATACACTTTGTCCTAAGTTTAATCACTGATACATATTTTCTCCATTTTTTTCATTTTCCTTTATTTCAAAGATGATTTGAGATGGAGGTAGGGGATTAAATTTGAAAGCATATGTTGTGTTAATTATTCTTCATCCTTTAAGTGACTTTACACTGTCCTGCTTTGATCTATTAGGGTGATTTTAATGTCTAATTATCAGAGGGCACACTTTCCACCTTACATCATTGTGCTTGATTGATGATCCCCTTACCCCCAATGACAGTGTCAGTCAAGAAAAACTGACGAGACAAGTCCCAATCATATTAGGAGGTTTGTTTGCCAAAGTTAAGGACATGTGCCCATGACACAGCCTCAGAAAGTCCTGATGATATGTGCCCAAGGTGGTCGGGGCACAGATTGGTTTTATACATTTTAGGGAGACATGAGACATCAATCAGTATATGTAAGAAGTACACTGGTTCCATCCAGAAGGCAGGGACAACTTGAAGCAGGGAGGGGTCTTCCAAGCCACAGATAGATGAAGAGACAAATGGTTGCATTCTTTTGAGTTTCTGATAAGCCTTTCCAAAGAAGGCCGTCAGAATATGCATCTATCTCAGTGAGCAGAGGCAGGTTTGTCCTGAGCAGTTCCCAGCTTGACTTTTCCCCTAGCTTAGTAATTTTGGGGCACCAAGATTTTCCTTTCACAACAGGGACTCACATAATTAGTTAAATAACTCTTTAAAAGCCATGACCCTTGTGGTCTAGTCTCAAATAAGCATCTTGATTAGGAAAACATCATCCAGCAACCAAGAGATTATATCAAAGTAATGGCCTTTCTTTCTTTATCCAATTCCCACCTACTCTCAGGCCTCTTTCTGTCAAAGTCTCCCCCAATACTCCTGGTCCTTGCCTTAGCCCTTGCCCCTCTTCTCTTCCCTCCCACCCCTTCTACATCTTTTCTCACAAAACTGCATATCAAGAAAGACCAAAATAACAGACAGGAAGTATATTAGTCCGTTCTTGCACTGCTACAAAGGAATACCTGAAACAGGGTAATTTATAAAGAAAAGAGGTTTAATTGGCTCTTGGTTCCATGGGCTGTACAGGAAGCATGGCTGGGGAGGCTTCAGGGAACTTACAATCATAGCCAAAGGTGAAGGAGAAGTAGGTACATCTTACATGGCAGGAGCAGGAGGAAGACATAGAAGGGGGAAGTGCTACACACTTTTAAACAACCAGATCTCATGAGAACTCAGTAGCATTAGAACAGCAAGGGGAAAATCTGTCCCCATGATCCAATCACCTCCCCTCCAACACTGGAGATTACAATTCTTTGTGAGGTTTGTGCAGGGACACAGATCCAAACATATCATTCCACCCAGCCCTTCCCAGATTTCATGTCCTTCTCATTGAAAAATACAATCATTCCTTCTCAACAGTCCCCAAAGTCTTAATTCATTTCATCATTAACTCAAAAGTCCACAGTCCAAAGTCTCATCTGAGACAAGGTAAGTACCTTCCACCTATGAGCCTATAAAACCAAAAACAAGTTAGTTACTTCCAAGATACAATGGGGGTACAGGCATTGGGTAAATATACTCATTTCAAAATGGAGGAATTAACCAAAAGAGAGGGGCTATAGGCCCCATGCAAGTCTGAAACCCAGCAAGGCAGTCATAAATCTTAAAGCTCCAAAATAAACTCCTTTGATTCCATGTCTCACATCCAGGTCACACTGATACAAGAGGTGGGCTCCCAAGGCCTTGGGCAGCTCCACCCTTGTGGCCCTGCAGGGTTCAGCTCCCATGGCTGCCCTCAAGTGCTGGTATTGAATGTCTGCCACTTTTCCAGATGCATGGTGCAAGCTGTTGGTGGGTCTACCATTCTGGGGTCTGAAGGATGGTGGCCCTCTTCTCACAGCTCCTCTAGGCAGTGCCCCAGTGGGGACTCTGTGTGGAGGCTCCAACCCCACATATCCCCTATACATTGCCCTAGTAGAGGTTCTCCATAAGGGCTCCACCCCTGCAGCAGACTTCTGCCTGGACATCTAGGCATTTTCATACATCCTCTGAAGTGTAGATAGAGGCTCCCAAGCCTCAACTCTTGCTCTCTGTGCACCCTCAGGCTTAACACCACATGGAAGTCACCAAAGCTTCTGGCTGGCACCCTCTGGAGCAGAGGCCTGAGACACACCTGGGGCCCTTTTAACAACAGCTATAGCTAGAGTGGCTGGGACACAGGGAGCAGTGTCCTGAGGTTGCACAGGACAGCAGGGCCCTGGGCCTGGCCCATGAAACCATTCTTCCCAAATCCAAACCATATCAGGAAGGAAGAAGCAGCAGCTGACTAGGAGATGGCAGAACTGGGCACAGAGCAGGAGCCAGGACCACACAACACTGGGACGCACAGCCAGGCTGTGTGTTTGCATCTTAACCCTGCCATTTAATAGCCATACGGCTTCAACAGTAGCTCCCCACTCAGTTTCCTCATCTCCCAAGTGATAACAACCTCAGTACCATTGAGAGGAGAAAACAAGTTATATTCACAACACCTTTAGAAAGTGCCTGGCACATATTGTGAATTTTATAATCAACATACTATAATCTCAGCACATCAAGAAGTGCCTGGCATTAACCAGGGTTCAGAAAGTGTTTACTGAATGACAATCGTTTGTGTGTTATTTGGGCTTTGATGATTATATTGGTAGAAAATACCCACAACTCCAATTGTACAACTCCATCCTTGCATCATCACAAATCATGCCCCAATAGAGAAAAAAAAATCTTTCAAGAATTGTCAATGACTTTTGGCCGGGTGCGGTGGCTCACGCCCACCAAAGTGTAATCCCAGCACTCTGGGAGGCCGAGGCAGGCGGATCATGACATCAGGAGATCGAGACCATCCTGGCTAACATGGTGAAAACCCGTCTCTACTAAAAATACAAAGAATTAGCCAGGTGTGGTGGCAGGCACCTGTAGTCCCAGCTACTCAGGAGGCTGAGGCAGGAGAATGGCGTGAACCCGGGAGGCAGAGCTTGCAGTGAGCTGAGATCATGCCACTGCACTCCAGCCTGGGCGACAGAGCAAGACTCCATCTCAAAAAAAAAAAAAAAAAAAAAAAAGAATTGTCAATGACTTTCATCACATCTAGTCTGTGCCCACATCCCATTGCATTGTTTCCAGCCTCTGAAGACACACAGGAAATGAAAGTGGCTCCTGCTCTCTCGTTGCACAAAGAGCCGCCTCAAGTTCAAGTACCAAGATTGCACTACAAAGTGGCTACTGCAGCCTGGTGGATTGATGGGTGAGCCTGGCCCCGCACAGAATGGAAAATACATTCACACAAACATCTCAGTCAAAACTGTCAAGACAGAAAAGCTAGAAAAGACTCATTGAAAAGGAATTCAATTTGGACATGGTGGCTCACAACTGTAACCCCAGCACTTTGGGAGGCTGAAGCGTGAGGATTGCTTGGGCCCAGGAGTTTGAAACCAGCCTGGGCAACATAGTGAGACCCTCTCTCTGCTAAAAAGAATTTAAAAATTAGCCTGGCATGGTGGCACACACCTGTAGTCCCAGCTACTTGGGAGGCTGAGGTGGGAGGATTAGAATGAGCCCGGGACGTAGAGGCTGCAGTGAGCAGTGATTGTACCACTGCACTCCAGCATGGGCAACAGAGTGAGATTCTGTCAAAAAAAAAAAAAAAAAAAAAAAAGCATTAATCTTTAGCAAAATTAAAAAGCTTCTGACCACAAGAAGAAACGTCTATGTCGCCGGAGCTGGGAATTAGGAGAAATAAAAATAAGACAGAGGGAATCAAAGACAGGAGAGAGGATGATGCGAGATGATGGAAGCCTCTGTCCTGGGAGCAAAGCCCCAGCTGACCCAGAGTGGGGAGGGCCCAGCAGCTGGATCTGGAGGCGAGTATGCACCCAACAGCACCCAGGGGACCAGGGGATGAAGGAGCTGCTTTCCACGCTATCAGGGAAAAGCAGGGACATTTCAGGCCCAAAGAAGAAATGAGTCTCAGAGGTGAATCCACAGACAGGGCTATGTCTCGGTCAGTTTGAGTGAGTCTAGACAGGCACAGTGCTTGTCCCTTTCTCTGAGGTCACAGGGGGGTCTGTGGACTTGCGACTGTTCATTTCTTCCAGACCATGGCCCTCCCTTGGCAACGGACTTAGTGCTGGGACTAAATTAGACCCCGGTTTTATCAACTGATTTATTAGGCTTTGTTATTTTGCTGCAAATTTGTTCAAAACCAAAAGTATTGATGGAGGAGAAAATCACAAGCCTGGCAGTCCTGACCTCTTTGGATGCAGAGCTGCATGACATTAAAAATTCCAGACAATATTTATGCTTCTCTACAAGATATGTGTTATTAGCCCTCATCTAAACACATTTGTAAACACAACTTGATGTAAGTTACATACATCACTGAAAATACATGAATTATGGCACCCTCCAATGATTATTTAAAAATTAAAATAGAACAATAAAGCGACCTTTATCTGATGCAGAGAAAGCTAGGATCCGTCTGTCACTGATTGCTTAAATATATTCTACACCTTTCAAGGACAATCGCTGAAGGAGAAAGTCAAACGAATGATTTCCTAGAAGTTAAAAGGGGAAATATTTGTGCTGGGTTCCTTTCTCCTCAAATGATGGTTTAGGCTGTGGGGGGCTGGGTTGGGGAGGGGGTGACATTAGATAATCACAGAAAGAAAGATAAAGAAATAGAGACTAGAAGATTTCATGCTGAAATAAAGAAATTCATGTTGCCTTAAATATAATTTGTGTTAGTTACATTTCAATTCCTAATTTTTACATAGCAGGGTTGATAAAGAATTGCATTATAACGAAATTAGCCGGAATAATTAGCATAGTGTATGTGCCACTGATTAAACACCCAGCAGATAGCTTGGTAATTAAGATCCATGAGTGCCGTATTTTGAGGCTTTGTCATCTTATTATCTGCCTAACAAGTGCTTCATCTTTACCTCCCTTCTGATTTGAAGTTTGATAGCAGTCTCTAATAATTCTCATTTTGTTTCTTTAAATTGCCTTACCCCAGTGCTGATCATTTTCCTGTGGTCACTACCCCTCATGTCATTGTATCTACACAAATGTACTAGTGCTAGATTTCTCCCTACATGTAAGATATTTGATGCTGCAAAGTATTTGTGCTTGGAAATTTAAGCTCAAAAATCTCCAAAACCCCCAGTTCTTTGGTCAAAGAAAGAAGCAGAGACCAATTATACTCTGCAGTTCGGTCAAGCCTCTGAACAGCAGGCAGATCCTCAGAGTTCGTATTTCCCTTCTGGGAGGAGTCCATTGCCAGAGATTCCAAGGATGTCTCTATCAGGGTCCATTTGTCAGGGTCTGTGACACTAAAAGGTAGTCACTCCAGTGGCGCTGGCTACTATTCATTCATGAGCCCAAACTATGGTGCCATTGCTCCTCCACTTGGGGAGTCTGGAGTTGGCTGTTGTCATTGCAAAATCCACTGGGGTTTTATCATAGAAGGCAGGTCGTTACTATTATCAAAGAATAGAAGGCTTGGGAGGATCAACTCAAGTTCTTCACTGGCTGAGCCATTCCCCCTGCACCTCCTTAGACTAAAACCAGGACATTTCCATGATTGAAAGGCAGAGTAAATACACTACCTGTATCAACCAAGAATGCCTTCAGTTGTATGTAACAGAAAACACACAGAAAGTGCTTATGGCATAAAGACAAGAGGTCTGGTGGCTGGGGCCCCAGAGCTGGGGCAGGGGTTCAGAAATGTCATCCCCAGTCTCTCC
Source organism: Homo sapiens (assembly GCF_000001405.40). Classification (NCBI taxonomy): domain Eukaryota; kingdom Metazoa; phylum Chordata; class Mammalia; order Primates; family Hominidae; genus Homo; species Homo sapiens. The sequence goes on along the minus strand of NC_000002.12, from coordinate 236,266,106 downwards.
CCCGCTTTCCATCCCACTCTCCTTTCTGTGTTAATCCTTCATTTCATATCTGTTGCCTCCCAGCTGTGATGTGGCTGCTGCACCTCCAGATATCATGTCCATGTTCAAGGAAACAAGAACAGGAAAGGGTGTTGCCAGTCACTTCTGTCCCTCTTGATCAGGAAAGCACATAACTTCCCAGACTCACCCCAGCAGCCAGAACTGGGTTGCAAGGGAGACTGGACATTGAGTGCAGGCAAAGGAGACTGGGACTGACACTACTGACCTAAATCAACATGACTCATCCCCAGGGGCTGGGCACAGTGCCCCCACCAAGAAAGCCAGGCTGTGTTGGGCAGGTGGAAGGAGAATGGATGTTGGGCAGGAACTACAGTGCCTGGCACCTCAAGTGCAGATGGAACAGAAGCTGGAAAATCACACAAATGAGCTGAAAGGAGGAAGAGGGTGTATTAGTCAGTGTTCTCCAGAGGAACAGAACCAACAGTTATGTAGGGAGAGAGAGAGAATTTCTCTTCAAGAATTGGCTCATACTATTGTGCAGACTTGGTAAATCCATCATCAGCAGGGTGGGCTGATAGGCTGGAGACCCAGGGAAGACCTGAGGTTGAGACCAAAGGCTGTCTGCCGCCAGAATTCCTTCTTGCTCAGGGAAAGTCAGTCTTTTGTTCTATTCAGACGTTCAACTGATTGATGGAGGCCCACACACATTAGGGAGAGCCATCGGCTTCACTCCAAGTCTGCCGGTTCAAGAAATTCTAATCTGATCCCAAAAACACCTTCATAGAAACATCTAGACTAGTGTTGGGCCAAGTCTCTGGGCACTGGGGTCCTAGCCAAATTGAGACATAAAATTAAGCACAGGGGAGAAGAAAGAAAGTAAGGAATGGAAAAGATGGCGAGATAGAAGGCAAGGCGAAGGAGGCCCTGTAAGCTCCACGGCCCGCCCTGGGCCCTCAGAGACCACAGCACACTTGGCATCAGCAGAGAAGCTTCAGGCACAGCTGTGCTTATGCACAGGTTGGCACACAGAGACCCAAGCACACTGAAGACACAGGTCAAGGAGAGAAAGCCCCACCTTTGCCCCTAGGAGTGCACAGAAATCCCCCTGAGGGCTCCACACTTCCACAAGTCATGGAATTATAGGCTTTGAGCAAAGTTTACCAGCCTTGAGGCATAGGGAGGTCACAGGTAATATTTAGGTTACTTTTTTTTGTTTTTCTGTGATGCTTCCGTCTTCCTGAGATCAGCCAGTCCTTCTCTGCATTTGGAAACCAAAGATTCCATTCCATTCTATGCGTTTGAGGCATGTCCAATTTGCAGGTGACCAGACGCTCCTTTTAGAGGAAGTGAAGGAACACAAGGGGTAGAATATTAGAAAATGTTCCTTTCCACAGAATAGAGGTCCAAGCCCAGTGCCAGGAAGAGGTTTTCAAAGTTTCAGGAGAGAGCCTCACTTTTGATAAAAGAAGATATTATTCAACAATACCCATGAAAGCTGTCTTTGAAAATATTGTCTCTCCTTCTTGCACCACTCACAAACATGTCTGCTGCCCCCATCTCTAGAATAATCCTTTGCTGAGGCCTCTGGAAAGATTACTTCACACCTCCCTGCTGGCAGGTGGCCCTCCGCAGGGACTGTAAGAGGAGCCAGGGTGCTGCTATTTATAGCAGCCCCCACGCCACTCTCACGGACAGCTGCTGACTTTGGAGTCGCTTTAGAGGAAGAAAAGAAGGGCTGGTCACTGCAGAAACGACGTAACAATGTCCAACTCGGATTACCTTCCCGACTACCCACTCAACTCAGATTTAGTGAAGAGATTAAAGTCTGCCCTGGATGCCAAAGATGAGGAGAGAGTGAGGGATTTAATCTGCACTGAAATCACGCCTGTGGACGCTGTGATAGAACTGGCCAATGACGACTGGATGAAAGACCCCTCGGCTCAGCTGCCCACCGGCATGCTGCTAGGTAACCAGAACGAGCCTGCTGCATCTGGGATTTAATTACTAAGTTACACTGATGGGGTGGGCAGATCCTGGAGGTAGAGGGGCAAATGTTTGGAAAAAGTAAATGATATGTACTCGGATATCTGACTCTCATACATACATGCATATATGTGTACTGCATAGACCATGTACATGCGTGTGCGACATAAGCAACAAGTGCAACACAACACAAAAAAACTAATCCTACCACAGTGGCTGCTCTGTGGCTCCATTGTTTTCCAAGCCTGTCCATTTGCGTGTGTAAATTTCACCCACTGATAACCATATCATACACATAATTGTGTGTTCTGCTCCCTTGAGATCTACAAAATCTAAATCTAAAGCATTTTCCATGTTGCTACATAGTCTTCCCAATTTCAATCCCCTACTGAAATACTTAAACCAAATGCCTACAAAAAGATAGTATTTGGTTACCTTTTTGCTTCTATAAATAATGCTGTAACGAACATCTTTATTAGGATTCATACGGCTTTTTTCTTTTTTGGGATTATATCCTTACCATAAATTCCTAGGAGCCATATAACTGGAACAAGAACATAACATTTTTTCAAATTGTATTGTTTCTAAATTGGTTCCAAATTGTTTTCCGCAAGGGTTTCTGTTCCCTCTGACAGTGAGGTGATGTGTTTCACCACAACCTCACCAAGGAGCATCACTGGTAATGAATGTTTGTATTAAATTGCCATTTGATAAGCACACACTGGTAATTCTTCACTGCCTGTCGCCCATCCTTTCTTTGCAGGTCTGGACAAAGTCTTGTCCATAGGATTTTTTCTTTGTAGGCCTCATCAGGTGCAAGACCTGTCTATTTGGGTCTTGGGCAGGAACTCTCCATCTCTTGGAATCATTTTTATCATTTTGTAGGACTTCTTCACGTAACATAGACATCATCCCTTTGTTAGGTTTCCTGAAAGTGTTTTCCTGACCTGTGATTTACTTTTAGTTGTATTGTGCTGTTTCCCAGCTTGTCAGATTAGGGGACAAGGTTAGTCTTGGCCTCTAAGGGATGCTGAGGGCTCCTTTCCACCCCCATTCTCCCTCCCAACATAGGTGCACACACGCACACGCAAGTACATGCATCACATGCACACGTGTGCGCAACATGCAGGAGGAACACAGATGGGACATGAGTGGGAGTTGCTGCTAGGGAATGGAGCTTGCAGGGTGCTGAGGCGAGGAGTCTGAGATTGGAACTTCCGAGGGGGTCCGCCCCCCCCCCTTGGTTTGGGTCTACTTTCTGGGCTGCCTTTCAGTGGGGACTTAAGCAAGTCGCTTTAGGGAGGAACCTTCTCTTGCTTCCTCTTCACCTTGGTTTTCCTAATATCTGGCGGGGGTCCATAGGCCCAGGAGCCATGATCCCAAACTTGGTACCTTCCATCTCTCTAGAAGATTGCCCTGGGGGGGGTTTAGGGGAGGTTGTCATCACAAGCAGTGATTGGACTGGGAGTGCTGAGCTGTACATCTTGCATTCACCCTTTAGGCCCACCGTGCCCAAGCACCCCCCCGAGGCTGATCTCTGCAAACTGCATCAGTCCCACTTGCCCTCTGGCTCCTGTTGGGTGCCACTAATGATAGGAGTTGGAGGAAAGTGAGGGTAGGGCAAGTGCTTCCCCGGCCCTCCCTGCCAGATCGCTGCTGGGTTTAGCAGCCTCCTTCTGTGGAAGGCTTGGCTCCTGCCCAGCAGCTCCTGCCCCTCCTCCAGCCCTATCAGGTACAGGGTTAGGAATGGCCATCCGCTGTGGCTGCTGCCACCTGTAAGTGGTCTCCTGTAGCCCCTGTAACCCGGCCTGCCTTCAGCATGCCCTGAGCTCATGCCATCTGCTTTCTGTTGGGATCCTGACTACAGCAAGCGTCCTCTCAACAGCTCTTCCTTCATAAACCAGTCCCAGCCGGTTGAAGATTTGTGTATTGGGAATCCTGAACCTAAATATCCTTTCTTTTCACATTACTAATTGCCCTGCAAAATCTTTACTGTGTGTCTCATTTTACCAAACACTTGAAACTATGAAAATTGTTATAAGAAAGTTACATTCCTTCCACAGTTATAAATTACATACTGATATGGTTTGGCTGTGTCCCCACCCAAATCTCATCTTGAATTATAGCTCCCACAATTCCCACGTGTTGTGGGAGGGACCCAGTGGGAGATAATTGAATCATGGGGACAGTTTCCACCATACGATTATTGTGGTAGTGAATAAGTCTCACGAGATCTGATGGTTTTATAAGGGGCTTCCCCTTTCACTTGGCTCTCCTTATCTCTTGCCTGCCACCATGTAAAACGTGTCTTTGTTCTTCCCTCACCTTCTGCCATGATTGTGAGGCCTCCCCAGCCACGTGGAACTGTGAGTCCGTTAAACCTCATTGTCTTTATAAATTACTCAGTCTCTGGTATGTCTTTATCAGCAGGAAGAAAACAGACTGACACATACACATGTACTATTTCCTACCTAATGATTCAGCACTGCAGGGACAATTTGATACTAATGACATGTTTAAAGTGCTTGGGTCTGTTCCAGGTTGCTTCAATTCAGGACGATGGTATGCTAAATGATTAAACACATGATCCTAGGGCACGCGTTATCAGTGACTTTATCACAGAGAAAGCAGGCTGGACTTCAGGACAAGGGTGCAGGGAGCAACACGGTCAGACGTTCATTTGGGGTATGCCACTCTGGCTAACATGGGAAACTAGGATTTGAAGGAGGCAGAGAAAGGCTAGGAAGGAGATGAGTCTAGCTGGGAGTTCATTGAAGGCAGTTGCCCAGGTGAGAGATGGCAAGAGTCTAAGCCAATGCAAAGGAAGACACAAAGGCAAAGTAACAAAGATGAGAGGAAAGGGACCCAGGTTCTTGCCTAAGCTCTCCCATGACCTGTGTGACCTTGCACATGTCACACCACCTCTTTGAACCTTAATTTCCTCATTTTCAAAAAGGGGATTGGTGTGGATCATCTCTAAGCATCTTTACAAATAATTGGGGGGCTCAATGGGAAGGTTGTGGTGATGAATAGAGGATAGGGCCACCAGCTAAGATAGAAACAAGAGGGAACTGTGATTATGATGATTTATTGAACCTCTACTCCACTGAGCTGTGTAACCTCAGGAAACTCACTGTCTGTCTCGAGACCAACGTCTCCATTTATTAACGAGGGTATGAGATTAGATTAGTGCTTCCCACACAGAGACCCACAAGCTTCCTGAGAAGAGCTCCATGGTGGGATGAGCTTGGGAACTGCTTTCTGCTGGGGCCTCCCCTCAGAGACTGGCACGATGACATATCAAAGGCTTGGAGGAGTTTTACCACAAAGGGACTTAAGGATTGCAATTGCATTTGGCACGGTTTCTCATCTCAACCCAGAACCTCACTTTCATGTCTGCTGACAACCCGTAGAATTGGTGATTTGCAGATGCTCCTTGGGAACCACTGCTGGCTTGGTTCATCGTTTAGGTTCCCTCCTTCTCCATGCTTCTCTGAGGCCATAATCCCAAAGACTCACTGTCGCAGCCTAAAATGGGCATAGGTTCCTTTTTCCTGTGGGAGCAAATGTTCTCTTTCTCAAGGTAAGGGCGAGTTTGGGGGGACCATCCTTGATGGGAGAAAGAGCTGTTTGGATTCTAAGCTACATGTAGGGTCTTTACAATTTTTGAACAGTGGTCAAAACTTATGGCAATGACCTTGAAATGCAGCACATATTGGGAATGGACACTGTCAAACACCGAAATCCCTGAGAGGAGGAATGTGAAGAGGAAGGAATGATAACACAGGAAAACAGGGCTGGGCCAAGAGAGGGGGCAGAGCTGGTGATGCCCACCTGAGCCAGGAGAAGGCAAGAGTCGAGGGTCATGTTGGCAAAAGTACCTGGGGGAAAGAAGAGGGAAGAGGTTTCTATCCCAAGGACAAGCCCAGTAGACAGAACTCTGAGTTTTATTCTAAAGATGACAATGTGAAAAAATAAGAAAAAGAAAAGTAACCATTCGCTCTGCATGTTAACATGATCACTTGAGGACCTTGCCTCTTGCAGTGCAATCACCATGCTCATCGGCCTGTGAACTTACTACTCCCACCAAATAGAACAGAAAGAAACAGAATTTATTTTGATGCATCCATGTCAACATCACCAAAAAAAAGCATAGAGAAAAAGTGGCATCCAATGGTGGAAAGGGCTTTTTCTGGAGAAGTCCCTCAGGTGAACATGTGCCCCCACCTTGGTGCAGGCAGAAGTCAAAGGAACTGAAAATTTTAGCCCCAGCAGACATTGGGGGAAAGCACAGAACATACCCTGCTGAGGCAGGCATTAGGCAGGAGAATGGCCATCAGTCAGAATTCTCTTAAACAGGCAACTGGCCTGTGCCCTTGTGAAGGCACCTGCTCTCCTGCAAGGATGGACCTGAGATGCCCAACATCCTGCTGGGCTCACTGAGGCTGAGCCCCCCACGCTCTACAGTCAGCATCCCCATCCCAACAGGATCCTCCCAGCCAGGGCTGCACCTCCTCTGCTCACCTTTGCCATCTCATCCTTCCGACCCCATGCAGGGGAGGTCACGTCCACTGGAAGGCCATCCCTTCCCACTGGGACAGAAATCGTGCATCCTCCCTGCATGAAAGCATAAAGCCCTTAGTCTCCATCCATTACGGAAGTGCATGGCCTTGCTAGGCTGCTTTTTATATACCAACTGGATAATTCAAACCTGAATGCCACCTCTTCTAGGGCCAGAACCTCGCCTAACACTCGATTATATCCAGAGCCTAGCACAGGGTATTAACCCTGAGAGAAAGCTTGGACTCTGGGTGCAGTGATTGGCATGGAAGAGCTAAGCTCCTTTGCTCACCTTCAGCTGGGTGGGCACAGACTGCATTTCCACAGACACTATTGGGATTTGGGTTTCTGCAAAGAAATATTTAATTCTACTTTCTGCTAAAGCCAAGTCTCTACTGTTTAATATTAGCAACAACTGCATTATTTGTGCTTGCCTCTTTTCAATACCAATTGGTTAGTAGCTGCAGAGAACACAGAGAGGGAGAAAGGACGGCTGGGGGAGGGGCAGTGAGACCCATCTCGCCCCCCAAATGCATCAACTGTACAATTTGGTAACTGGTGTAATCAAACGACTTAAGAAACAACTGATTACTAATTGCTATTATTAAGGATGTCAGCATTCCATGATTTTGCTGCTGATATATTATATACAAGTCAAGATGCTACTTGAATTCTTGATTGAAATAGAAAAATAGAGGCATTATGTTGTGTTTGGGGTAATAGTATTTAAGCACCCAGAGGAAAGTTAAAGAAATACTAATTGAGTTTTTATTAAGAGATCTCACCAGCGTCATGTATAGGTGGGGAATGAGTGTGGGTAAACACACCACGGACATGTGCACACATGTGAAAATGGGGTCCATTTGCAGAATTAGACTTCTCATCTAAGGCTTGATGCAGGGCGAACCATGACACATGGGCCATATCCCCTGCTCCTTTAACTCAGACATCCTTCCTTATGCCTGGAGAATAACATCACTCAGGACAAACCAAACGGCTGACTCTAAATTAAATGAGCACAGCTCCCGCCTTAGAGGAATCATTTTCCAACACAGTGACAAGAGCGTACCCATTGATGATGGTGCCAAGATGTGGTGTAATGGGAAGGGCAAGGGACTGAGAGGAAGGGGACCCAGTTTCTTGCCTAAGCTCTCCCGTGACCTGTGTGACCTTGAACATGTCAGACCACCTCTTTGAACCTTAATTTCCTCATTTTCAAAAATGGATTGGTCTGGATCATCTCTAAGCATCTTTACCAATTGGACTAACTCAGGTTCTAAGACGAATGGCTTGTGTTTGTGGAGGGGATCAACAAAGCCTCCCGACCCACACTGCCTTCCCAGGAGTGGTGGATTCTAACAGGGGCCTGTGTGGGCCACACCCTGCCTTCGAAGGAAGGCCTCCAGTGGTGAGTTTCAGGTCAAGTAGGCAGCGAGGATACCAGCTGGAAGGTGCATAGGAAGCTGGTTTACGAACTCATATGCACAGATTAAGCAGCAGCTTGGCTCAAGGCTTAGGAAGAATAAGTCCCCAAATCAGGGTATGTTCAAACTGAAACTGGTCCTACACGGAGGCAAAGAAGGAGGAATTGGCAATGCCGCAAGTCCCTGCTGTTCCCTGGAGAACAGGTGAGAGCATCTCCAAGAGCTCTCCCCTTTCCACTCCTCCAGCTGAGGAAAATGAGGCTTGGAGAAGTTGCATGACACACCTTGGGTTCCACAGACAATTGGCACTGTAAACCCAGTGCCCTTTCCCGTGCTCCACGGCACCTGTAGTTCATCCCACAGCTGCGTTCTACAGACCGGAACACTGCTGCTCACCTGTGTTCACTTGCTGGTCAACAGCCAGTTAGGAGCAGAGCAGGAGCAGGTATGCTTCCTGACTTGTAGTCAGGGGCTCTTGCTGCCTACCCACCCAGAGACATTTTGCAGGAACGTCCCTGAAAAAACTTCCCAGTGAAGCTGTCTACAACCCTTTAATCTGACATGAAGCATACATATGCATATGTACACACGCACACACACAGTCATGCACACGTGCACACAATCTCAGTAGATAGAGTCCCTGGTTTCAAATCATTGAGCAAAAATAATCCCAAAAAATCATGGGCAAGTAAGTGGGGTGCTAGGCTGGAGAATAAAAACAGAAATGGGAAGCGAGAGGTCACCCACGGCAGGGCAGGCAGGAGGAGAAGCGCTCTGCTGTCTTGACTGCTCACTCCACCAGAGAGCGTGGGGGCAGGGAGACCCTGCTCGAAGCAAAATGAAATTAAACCTTTCTAAGTACTTATAAATCAGCACCTAATGACACTATCCCACCACCAGCCTGAGCATTGCTCTTATTACTTTGATTCACAAGCCAGGAAAAGATCCGGAATTATGCACAAATTATTGTCCCATCTTCTTAATTAACGCTGATTGCAAAATTCTTGCTAAAGTCCTTGCTAACAGACTCAATTATGCGCTGCCTGAATTGATTCACCCAGATCAAGTGGAATTTATTAGAAATACACTTTCCTACAATAACATCAGATTATCTTTGAATATAGTTGAATTATTTAGGAACAAAATGGCTGCTGCAGCAGCCCTCTCTTTAAATACAGAAAAATATCTCCCACCACCTAGAATTAAAATGTTTCTTTGCTTTCTACGAGACACACACCCTAGGCTCTTTTTTTTTCCCCAGAAGCAGGTTGAATGACACTGTGATGAGATGAGATGCATGCCTTAGAGCTAATGGTCCGGCTTCAAAGGCATATGGACAAGAAAAAAAATCCTACAGGGTCGCGTCTCAGCTCCCCCCAAGTATGAACTGTCACTGCCTGTGGAACACAGTGAAATTGCAATTAGACTAAATCAGGGTATTTTCAGAATCAAAATTGAGAAACGGGCTAATAAAGAAATAATGTATGCTGATGACATCCATCTATTAACATCATCCCCAAGCACACTGGAGAGTTTGGAAAGAACAAAAAGCAATGAGAATAATAGCGGAGAGGCTTTTCTACCTTTCTGAGATGACGACAGTTTCCTGCCACAAGTGCTCTGCTTGAGAAGTAAACATTCCGAAGGAACTAATTGGAAATGGCAGGCATGCTCTCTGTAGCCTGATTCTAGCTTCCCATCCAATGCCCCACTATCTTTTAATGCCAACCTCTGCACCTGGATATTGGACAGGGACTAGGTTTGTCTTATTTGCCACATCCTGCACATACTAGGTACCTAATAAATACTTATGGGCCGGGCATGGTGGTTCATGCCTGTAACCCCAGCACTTTGGGAGGCTAAGGTGGGCGAATCTCTTGAGCCCAGGAGTTTGAGACCAGCCTGAGCAACATGGCAAGACTCTATCTCTACAAAAAATACACCAATTAGCCTGGGCATGATGGCACACACCTATAGTCCCAGTTACTTGGGGGACTGAGGCAGGAGGACCACTTAAGCTGGAAGGTGCTGCAGTGAACCGTGATCATGCCACTGCACTCCAACCTGGCAACAGTGAGAGCCGGTCTCCAAAAAACAAATGAATACATAGAAATTAAAAATAAATAAATAAAAAATAAATATTAATGCACCAAATAGCACAGGGAGAACACTGTAGAAATCCTCTGACTTGACCCTCGAAACAGGAGCATGTTCCTGGGAGGCTGTGATCCAAAGGAAGGAAGCCCAGATAAAGGGAGGCGAGCAGGAAACGTAGTGCACCCAAGGCATGGCACGTGGGACAGGGAAGTGGGACACAACTTGGACTTGGGTGTGTAAATCAGAGAAGAGAGGAAGCCCCAGGCAAAGAGATTGGGACGATATTGTTTGAGGCTACACATTCTAGGCACAGGTGTTTACACTTACTTGGAAAAGCCATGAGGAGCCATTCAGCAAAGGAATGAGGTCATCTTAATTTGGAAAGAAAACACCTGACTCTTTTACTTAGGTAAAGCAGAAGATAGAGGAGAAAGGACAGGTGCCAGGAGAGGCCACCAGCTGCTAGCTATTCCCTCACAGCCACCCTCCTCTCCTGCTTTACCAGCAAAATCCCTGTGGCATGCAATGTGCCCACCTGAAAAAGAAATACATCTCCCCACTGTGTTAGTCCGTTCTCGCATTGTGATAAAGAAATACCAGGCCAGGCGCAGTGGCTCACACCTCTAATCCCAGCACTTTGATAGGCCGAGGGGGGCAGATCACCTGAGGTCAGGAGTTCAAGACCAGTCTGGCCAACATGGTGAAACCCCGTCTCTACAAAAAATATATAAATTAGCTGGGCGTCGTGGTGGGCGCCTGTAATTTCAGCTACTCAAGAGGCTGAGGCAGGAGAATCGCTTGAACCTGGGAGGAGGAGGTTGCAGTGAGCCAAGATCGCGCTACTGCACTCAGGCCTGGGCGACAGAATGAGACTCCGTCTCAAAGAAAGAAAAAAAAGAAAAAGAAAGAAATACCAGAGGTTTAATTGGCTCACGGTTCTGCAGGCTGTACAGGAAGCGTAGCGGCTTCGGCTTCTGGGGAGACTTCAGGAAGCTTTCAGTCGCGGCGGAACGCAAATGGGGAGCAGGCAGCTTACAGGGCAGGAGCAGGAGAAAGAGTGGGGTCGCGAGTGCTACACACTTTTAAACAACCAGATCTCACAAGAACTCACTATCTTGAGAACAGCACCAAGCGGATGGCAGGAAACCGTTCCTGGGAACTCCGCCCCCATGATCCCATCACCTCCCACCAGGCCCCACCACCCTCATTGGGAATGATAATTGGCATGAGATCTGGGCGGGGACACAAATCCAAACCCGATCACCCACTTCCCTTGAAGCTAGGGCTGGTCTTGTTCCCATCAACGATGGGCTTAACAGCAGATGGAAGAGGACAGAAGACAGAGCCGGCAAATTTGAAAACATCAATAGAAAAATATTTGATTTGAAGAAGAGAAAGTAAAATGATGGGAAATTAAATGAACAGGATCTGTGGGACAAAATAAAAGGTTTAACATACACAACTAAATGCAAGAAAGAGAAGAGAAGAATAATAACAGGGTGGAAAAATATGATTAAAGAAATAACTACCAAACGTTTCCCAAATTTAGTGGTAAAAAATGTAACTTTATAGATTCAAGAAGTTCAGCCAACCAGAAGAAGGGCAGAGTTGATAGAAGGGAGTCAGCTGTGTGGGCTCGCATGCCTGGGTGCTCAATTCCTGTTGTTGAGTCAGGTTTACTCTGAGAATAGAGAGCAGATTCCATGGGAGTGAAGGGGTGAAACGTGTGCAGAGAGAAGGGTGCAATCAGTTCGATATATGGAGATGCTCATGTAACACTTCTTCCCACAAAGCTGCCATGTTCTGTACTGCCTACAGCAAGCTGGCACACTATGTCCTGTGGGCTGGCTTCCTGTTTTTATGAATAAAGTTTTATTGGAACTCAGCCACCTCCTTCATTTACATATTCTTTATGGCTGCTTTCATGTGAGCGTGGCAGAATTGGGCAGTTGCCACAGAGACCATATGACCTGCAAAATGTAAAATATTTACTGTCTGGCACTTTATGGAAAAAGTTTGGTGACTCCTGTCACCAAAACACAGTTTAAATTTTATAACAGGCATCCAAAGGCCTAAAGATGTACCCTGAGCTAACTCTGGCATCCCTGCCATTCTCTCCCGGCATCCCTGCACCCACCCAGAGGCTGAACAGTCACAGGGGCTACTCTGAATGTGGTAGGAGGTGGGAGTCACTCTGGGAAGTGTTTGACCGAAATTGACAGTAAGTATTTAGACATGTTTACAGCAATTTTAACCTAACATCCATGTGTGTGATTTGCAGACTTGTAATTACCTGTCGTTTTTCGGTTTTATTTTTGCCGGTAACTAATTTCATTGTATTTTGAAAGAGAATCAGACCAGGTGAAGTAGCTCAGACCTGTAATCCCAGCACTTTGGGAGGCTGAGGTGGGAAGATCACTTGAGGCCAGGAGTTAGAGACCAGCCTGGGCAACACAGTGAGACCCCATCTCCCACCACAATAATAATAATAATAATAATAATAATAAGTTAACCAGCAAGTGGCTGTAGTCCCAGCGACTCAGGAGACTGAGGTGGAAGGATCGCTTGCGCCCAGGAGTTCAGGTTACAGTGAGCTATGACTGTGCCACTGTACTCTAGCCTAGGCAACAGAGTGAGACGCTGTCCTTAAAAAAATAAAAACAAAAATAAAGACTGAGCCCCTTGAATGAGAATCAAACTGCAACAAATTAGACTCAGAAAAGAAAATCCCTGGTCCCTCACCTCGGGTGCTTGAGAAACTCTGGTCCAAGCCACATCTCCACAACACCTCAGTCCGCAGTCCCTTCCTGGCGTTTGCACATCTGCCTCTTCTGCTGCTTCCTGTCCTCTTGTGTGCCAGGAACACACCCACCATCCTCCCAGTGGCTCGTGAGCTCAGGGGTCAGCGTTGGGTGCTGACTGGAGTTTGGCAGGAAACTTCCTAGGATCAACATCTAGAAAGCCAGGCTGGCGAGGACGGTGGGGATCCTTGACGCCACCTAACCATGCCTTGGCTGACCCCAGGGGCAGCTCTGGAACAGAGATGACCTGTCACAGTTTTCCCTGCATGGGGCCAAAATGGCAGGACAGCTCTAGCTGCACCTGGATCCATCACTGGATCTGGCCACGTTGGGAGGAGTGTTCTTAGGTGATGCAGCTCTGCAGCTGAGGCAAACCATGGAGGAGCTGACAGCTGGGGTGACAAGTCCTCCCTACAGCTGGGGCCTGGGTGGTTCATCTCTGTGTCCACCAAAGGATCTAGGCCCCTCCTCTCCTCTCAGCCCTGAATCACAGGTCTGCTGTCTGTGGCGGCTTCATTTCCTGCTCAGGTGCCCCTCTGCCTGACCCCTCCACATCATCAAAGGGCTGGCTGCCTTCCTGACTGCACCTGTGTCCCATGCGCCATAGCATGGTGGCTAGTGACACCTGCCTCTTGCTCAGGCCAGAACATAGGGTATAGCTCCCCGCAACAATAGATCAAGAGGAGAAAACAGACATCCTGGGGAGGAAATGCACCTTCCGTGTCCTACACCTCCCTGTCACTTTGCTCAGATGCCATATTAGGGGGAAGCTGGCCCTATCCCTACCCCATCACTCTGATTCCTTATTTGAGGCATCCCCATCTTAACACCTGTACCTCCATATAGCAGTGATCTGATTCCACCGCTAGTTGATGGTGGCCACGTCTGCCCTCCCACTCAATTCAACACTCCTTAAAGGCAAGGATTTCTACTGTGTGTGTGTGTGTGTGTGTGTGTGTGTGTGTGTGTGTGTGACGGAGTCTCACTCTGTTGCCAAGGCTGGAGTACAGTGGCGCAATCTTGGCTCACTGCAACCTCTGCCTCCTGGGTTCAAGCAATTCTCCTGTCTCAGCCTCCTGAATAGCTGGGACTGCAGCCGCACACCACCACCCTCAGCTGATTTTTGTACTTTTAGTAGAGACGGGGTTTTACCCTGTTGGTCAGCCTGGTCTGGAACTCCTGACCTCAGGTGATTCACCTGCCTCAGCCTCCCAAAGTGCTGGGATTACAGGCATGAGCCACCATGCCCGGCCAGATTTCTACTATTTATTTCTGTAAGCTTCTTGTACCTGAAAAATGCTCTGTACATGTAAACTCAGTATAGAACATTTCCAAACTGAACAGCAATTTACCCTCCCACCTGCAAACTGGGAGAGGATTAGTGTCACTGAACTCTTCAAAAACTTGACTTTTAAAAAATCTTTCACAATAGGCAAAAAGATCTCTTGTCATTTTTCACTTGTATTTTAGGTTAGTAAAATTGAACGTGATTAGCAGTCCAGTGTTTCAGCAGTCACTTACAGTTCTTATCATTTTTTTTCCTGTTTTTCCGTTGGAAGTTTAAAGTTCTAATTCTGGAATTTAACTCCATCAGACAAAACTGGCCTCACTTTGCTGGATGCAGTGTTGACCAAATTGTCTCCTAGACCACCCTTCTCAACTTCAGGATAGGTAAACTTCTCGTTTCTAGAAGGGATATAAAGGATCACAGGGCAGAACAATCAAAGCAAACCAACTTCAAGAGAGAAGTATTTTGCTCCCTGTGTGAGATTCATAAAAAACAATCAGTCTGAACACGCAATTTGTCTCAAGAGGCAGGAGCTGCAATTTTATCATGTAATTAAATCCCCACGCCAGTTGTAAAGAAACTTCGTCACCTTTATCAGGGAGAGCTTCAATGATACGCTTTCCAGCAACGTCCCCAGAGTCTATAAATGTCCTTCCAGGGCTATTTACTCGTGGTTGTGCACGCTGAGGATTGGGCCGCTGTGTTTTGCACTCATCCACAGCGGATACACGGTGTTCAAGGGCATCTTTGTTTCTGAGCTTCCAAAAAAGCCCTCCTGGGCTGCCAATGAAAGCGGCACTTGACCTTTGGATAAGATCACATTAATAATGAGAAGTGACTGTTGTTCTGCATTATCTGCACTGGGCTTGGTAGCAGTGACGGGAAAATAAGTTAGTGAGGTGGTTTCCTCCCTTATTGTGTTCCTCCACATGATGGAAATGAGATTTCTTAATAATGTGAAATCAGCACAGACAATTTAAGTCATTATTAATAGATGCACTTGATCTGAGGAAGTAAAATGTTTTAATGTTTTGTTAAATGAGGTGTGCTGTGCTAACATTGTTATTCAGAGAGGAGGTTGAGATACTTTAACATTTTTGATATTAATGTCTATGTGACTAACTCTGGTGGATGGATGTGTCCTGGAACTCTTAAAAGCAGAACTTTATATACCTGCCCAGCTTCTTACTTTTAAAATATATTTTTTTAATTCTGCAGGAAGTGGGGTGAAGGAAAGGTGGCTTTAGACATTAAAACAGGAAGAATAAAGACCAGAAGAGGGTGTGAAAGTAACTCCACTGGAAGGCCTGGGGCTGCTGCACCAGTTGGTAGTGATGTTATTATCCTAGAGTCCAGTCAGACTTAGTACATGGCCATTTACAGAAACCCTCCAGGTAAAAAAAGGGGTGAAGGAAATTGACCAGGTCAACAACGTGCGCTGGCATATTTAAGAAAGAATGCACGGAATTTCACAATGTCCACAAGAGTAATGACTTCCTGCCCCTGTCTGTCCACTTGGACACTTCCAGAAGGAAGCCAGACATTTGCCAATGACCTAGGAAAGAATCTGAACATTTGCCATTCCCCAAGAACAAGAGAAAATGGCAGGGTGTCCTGCAGCCTCAAAAATTCTACCTCTTGGCTTGAAGGCATGGAAAGTTGTGGCCATGGAGAATAAGCCTGGCCCTGCCACAAAGCCCACCAGCTCCAGGTTTCAGCCTCAGCTGGATTAATCCTTGGAGGCTTCTGGGGAAAAGAAAATCACTAGTCAACTCAATGGCAAGAAGAAAAGATCCCAATGTCACATGAAAATAATAGTTACCATTCAAACACTACCATGTGGATACCCCATTATAATTTCAAGGTGGATTTTACCCTTTTCATCTCATTTGATCCAGAGGCAAAAACTCCTTCTCATTAGCTACCTACACTATAGGACTCAATTATAAAGAACTCATGTTTGTGTCTCCACTATAGGACTCAATTATAAAGAACTCATGTTTGTGTCTCCTGCAGACAAAACATCATGCTTATTATTTAAGTCTCCAAAATATTCTTTGCAAAAGTATATTTTAATCCAGTTGACTACCTGGCTAGTATTAGAGAAATTCAGTCTATTCACTCAGTTAGCCAGACACAAGCCGGGCCTCCTCTCCTGCTTGGATTCTTGCCTTCCTTTTCCTAAATTCACTTCATGGTCTGCAGCAAAAGACCACAGAAATTACATTTGTTTAGTATTCTGCCACGGTCCACCCACACAAATAAGCTTCCTCTGTCAAATAAGTACACCATTTGAAAAACTAAAAATACTAAATGTACTGGCTTGGAGAAAATTATATTCATCAGAATCCCTCTCTTTCAAGAAGGGCATTGTATTTGTTCAGAAGCATTTCCTTGACCAACACCCTGGAATAGACGTTGAAACCCCATGGGCCCTAGCAGTGCACAGAACAACACTGAAGAAAAAAGGGGGAGGATTTCCATGGCTGTACCAGAGAGAATGGAAACAGAAATGGAAGTGAAGAGTGGAATAAGGCTGTGCAAACTGTGACAGACCCCTTCACATCCTCAGTGTGATTGCCAGATACACTAAGTGATGCTGTTAGTGGGCTAGCTTGAAAACAAACCAACCAACCAAGAAAAATCAAAGAAGCCAATTGTGGCCGCCATTGTGGGAGGAGAGCAGAAGGTACACAATGCAAGCAAACATAGAGATCAAGGACAACACCAGGAAGCAAAGCACAGGGGCTCTCTGGAGTTCTCAGAGGGACTCTCAGTTCTACAAAGCCAAGAGTCCCAATGAGAAAGGGAACTTAAATGGACATCTGTCTGACACGAGTTACTCTTACTGTACAGACATGCTTTGAATGTTTTCAAATAATTTGCTGCATTTATGCCATCTAAATTTGGGTATAAATATCAATGCATCAAAACAACCAACAACCTCTTAACTTAAAAACAAGAGAAAGAAACTTCTAGTGCCCCAAACGGGGAACCCATAGTAGTGAATAGCTGTTTCAGTCATTCGATTCACAAGGACAACAGATTCCTATGGGTCTGCAGTTTGAATGCTGCCTGGTGGCATTGATTGAATCGGCCTGTTGCTCTGACCTGTGGAGACCTTTTGGAATCTTGGCTGTGTCATGCTCCATGCCACGCATCTGATAGCTACCCTTCCACAAATTCATTCAAATCACGATATGTATCACACAAAATGGGGTAAGTCCAGGGATAAAAGGCATTCCACACCACATTGCAAGGGTCACGGATTCCATGGTTGCCTTTCACAGCAATGGTTCTCAACCTTGGCTGCATGTTAGAAGTACCTGGGGACTCTTTTTTCTTTCTTTTTTTTTTTTTTGAGACGGAGTCTTGCTCTGTTGCCCAGGCTGGAGAGCAGTGGCATTATCTCAACTCACCACAACCTCTGCCTCCCAGGTTCAAGCAATTCTCCTGCCTCAGCCTCCCAAGAAGCTGGGACTACAGGCGTGCGCCACCTTGCCCAGCTAATTTTTGTATTTTTAGTAGAGACAGGGTTTCACTATGTTGGCCAGGCTGATCTCAAACTCCTGACCTCGGGTGATCCACCTGCCTCAGCCTCCTAAAGTGCTGGGATTACAGGCATGAGCCACCACATCCAGCCACCTGGGGACTTTTTAACAGTCCTGTTGCCCAGGCTGCACCTCCAACCCATTATGCCTGAAACTACCAGGTGGGCTCCAGGCATCGTGTTTTTTAAAGTTCCTCAGGTGATTCATTTTTGTAGCCAACGTTTGAACCACTGCTGTTGGGGCATCACGTGTATTATTTCTCCAGTTCACATTATTTAGCCAGAGTTTCCTAAAGAAAGACTCGCACTGTTTCCATCTTTTCCAAGAGGCTGTCATGAAACTGGCATTGCATGTTGCTGCCTACACCCCGTCTGCATATTTATGATAACCCTGTCACAAAAGAAAATTCTAGTCCACCCTGACGTGTTCCTAGTGACTTGTGGAGCTCCAGGTGACTCCACTCTGTTTTCTAAATACTCCCAAACAATCTTTTTCACAATCCATGTAGGGATCTTGCCCAGGTCTAATGTCAAGATCACGAGTCTGTCCGAAGTCTCTTTCCATTTGAAAACTAAACCTCTAGTCTTCTGGTCCTTCTTTTGTTTTATCACAATTCCTCAAAGACTTTGACAATTGTTCAGCAACTTCATACACAAATTCACTCTTGAAAGAAGTTGCATTGGATACGTACTAAAGTTGGCAGAGAAGATAAAACCTGAATTGTATCTTGAGGCTATGTATTGGCTTTGACTAAGCTG
Source organism: Homo sapiens (assembly GCF_000001405.40). Lineage (NCBI taxonomy): Eukaryota > Metazoa > Chordata > Mammalia > Primates > Hominidae > Homo > Homo sapiens. Next base: position 236,247,644 of record NC_000002.12, on the reverse strand, counting down.
AGAAGGGTGAGGACCAAGAAAATAATGAGATTAAAATGACTTGACCCAAGCAAGCTATAGATAAATGTGAAGGCAGCAGGCAACAAAGAGCACAGTCAAGAGCACTGGGTCAGAAAACAGTGTTATTCATGTAACTACAGGGCATCATTCAGCTGCTGGGAAAGAAACCTAAAGAACTTCTGTCTTCTGGAGTCCTCCGCTCCTTGCTTTCTCCTGTTTGATCCTTGCAGGCAGGGGTATTGTTAGGTTTTTTGCCTCCAAACCCTCAAACCTTAAGATTCACCCTAAAACATAATAAAGATTACATAAATGCTTATTGAATGAATGAATGAATGAATGAGTTGGTTTTCAGGTTTGTTTGTTTTAATGTAATCATCAACATGTGGCTATTCTTGTTCTTTAAAAAAAAAAAAAAGACAGCTCTCTGCCATGCTTATGAAATAATCTGCATGTCTTATGAACTAATGCTATCTACCATGAGCTATTTTTAACGCTGTCACCAAAAAAAAAAAAAAAAAAGAGTCTGTTTCTTGACTACTACACCTTGCCTACTGAAATCAAACTTGGATACTTAGGAAGCTGTTGACAAATAATACTGGAAAGCTAAATTTAGTGTCTGGTGCAGTGTGGAATGGCTTTTATCCCTGGACTTACCTCTAGTGTCCTATCCCTTTTAAAAATAACCAACGACAAGCTATATCAGGCATCAGGAAATTCGTTAAAGTGAAACACAGTTGGATCAGATTATAGCTGTGCATGAGTAAGTCCTGCAGAAATTTATCCAATCACAAACAATTAGTCTGAGAAAAAATAAAATGGCAAAATGGCTATGCTTAGAGAAAGGAAAGACCCAAAGAGCTTCATATTGGTGGGAAAATGAATAGTGCAACTACAGAATACATAAATGAAGGGGGAAGGAGATGAGACTGAAGCCCATCATGTTGTTCTGGTGGACATTTGAGAAGGGAAGTGGTCTCCACTGTGTTACTATTGGTCATTTTATGCATGCAAATGCATTTGATCTCCAACGAAGGCTCTAAGTTCCTTACAAACATGGTCTATTTCTTCTTTACTGATGCATTTTCCAATGCACCAGCAGGGTCCTAGGCACACAGTGGGCTCTTTGAAAAAAAAAATCTCTGCTGTTCCAATTGATGACATTGATGCTGCTTTTGCTACTGATGATGTGGATAAGGGAGATGAACTTTAAAAACATGTGAAACAAAGTTTTAAAGAGTTCTCAGGGGGCATACAGTAGCCAAGGTCTTTTTTTTTTTTTTTTTTTTTTTTTTTTTTTTGAGATGGAGTCTTGCTCTGTCACCCAAGCTGCAGTGCAGTGGCATGATCTCAGCCCACTGCCTCCCAGGTTCAAGCAGCAATTCTTCTGCCTCAGCCTCCCCAGAAGCTGGGATTACAGGCATGTGCCACCACACCAGGCTAATTTTTATATTTTTAGTAGAGATGGGGTTTCACCATGTTGGCCAAGCTGGTCTTGAACTCCTGACCTCAAGTGATCCACCCACCTAGGCCTCCCAAAGTGCTGGGATCATAGGCATGAGCTACTGTGCCAGGCCAGGTCTTCTTACAAAACCTGGTAAGGATCTCTACATGTGGGGGAAGGTGGGCTGTGCAGTAAAGCCCACAGATCTGAGGTAGGTCCCCACGCTGAGCACCTGAGACCTGCCCTAGGCCAGCCGAGCGTCCACGTTATGGTGTTCTTCCCTAAGGGTGAAAGGCAACAGATGGCCAAGAATAAGAGCAAGAACCACTGAGGAGCTTTAATGTTGAGCAAGTTTCAAAGAGTCCAGTCCATTCGTTCTCTTCACTGTTGGCATTGAAGACCTTCTCTGTGTGGAACACCATGCGGGGCATGAAGAACTTCCCAGAGAGGAAGCAGCAGCCCCCACCGTCCTCCAAAAAAGCTCATGGTGAAGTGGGACACAGACAAGGAACCAGCAGTAATAGTAGAGCGCCCAGTGCCACAGTCAGAGTGCAAGGACAGACATCAGGACTGGTCTTGGAGGTCAAGGGAGGCTAAGCTGTGTTGGAGGATGAGCGAGGCTGGCCAGGCAAGGAGGGAAAATAAGGACTGCAGGCAGAAGGAACAGCCTGCACAGACACCTGGAGAGACGAAGGCACTATCTGGGGACTGCAGACCCCTATACTAAGGTGTGGCATGCTCCAGGGACAACGGTGAGGGCAAGGTAGGAAGCCCTTTTACTCACGGGAAGGTGCTTGGGCACTGGCTATGTCAGGATTCAGAAATCTTGAGAAAGGTAACTGAATCTGTGAGTCCCAGTTTCCTCACCTGCAAATGACATCAAGGGTATCAACCTGCAGGGATACACCTGACACAGAGTCACTAGCAGTGGGTGTCCAGGGAGCAGCAGCCCCCAAGGGCAGCTAGCCCTGACCCCACAAGAGCTAAGCCCAATGGGCCCTTCTGCAGCCCCAGAGCTGAGCCTTTGCCCAGAGGTCAGATAAACATGGTAAAAAATAAACCTACGGCCCCCGTGGCAACCAATTTGGGTCATGGCCAAGTCTCCCCCCACACCCAGCTGAGGTTGACTCTCACCCATGTGAGCCCCTCAGCTTTCACAGCACAGCCTCTGTCCCTTATCCCCCTGCATCATAGACTGCCAAACGTGGCCTCATCCCTCCCCACCCAGCACCACTGCAGCCCTCCTCTGTAGAAGAGAGGTGGGTTTTATCATTTGGGTGAACCTCCAGGCCTTGGGTCAGTCTGTGCACATAAACTCATGCCTGTAACAGGGGTCAGAACAAGGGTTCTACAACAAGGGTCAAAACACATCTATATCAAACCATAAATGTGTTCGATTTCTACTCCACCCTTTGCTGCAATCTCTTGTAAGGAAAATCAAAGGTCTCCCTTTGCTGAGCACTCCTTAGTTATAGAAGATCTTGGTGAAAGGGGCAACCCAAAAGCCAGGTTACTCTTCCAAATAAAGAGCCCACACAGAAAGCCTGCTCTGGTTGGGCACTCAGAGGTCGGGGGGCACTTGACGAGGGGTAGGGGGAGTCACAAGGCAGCCTTTGTGTGCAGAGAAGACTGAGAGAGAAGAAACTGGCATAAAAGGAGGCTTAGGAAGCTCGACTGTGACCAAGGATGCACAGCCCAGTGAGCTCTATTCCTTGATTTCACATCTGTTTTCCTGTTGATTCTCTGCTGTTGCTTCCTGGTTGCAACACCATGTGGGGATGGGATCCCATGGGTCCCCAGGTCTAACACTGGCTGTGAGCAAATGGGGGCTTATGCTATGCCCGCCTCCCTGGGCGAGGGTCTGCTTAGCCCTCCTGGGCCCATACTGCACTGCTCTTCTCTCTGCTCATCCAGGCAAAGCCCTCCTGACCCTTTCACCTCCCTCCAGCCTCTGCTCATATAGTTTGTATCGTAACTCATGTGCACAGGCCAAAGAATTCTGTAGCTCACCATCATTGGCCCATTCCAACTTCCTGGTGGGGAAAAACAAGAATGGTTGAAAGAAAGAAAGAAAAACAGGCCGGGCACGGTGGCTCACACCTGTAATCCCAGCACTTGGGAGGCCGAAGTGGGCAGATCACCTGAGGTCAGGAGTTTGAGACCAGCCTAGCCAACAAGGTGAAACCCTGTCTCTACTAAAAATTAAAAAATTAGCTGGGTTTGGTCGCAAGAACCTGTAATCCTAGCTACTCAGGAGGCTGAGGCAAGAGAATCGCTGGAGCCCTGGAGGCAGAGGTTGCAGTGAGCAGAGATCACATCACCGTACTCCAGCCTGGGTGACAGAGCAAGACTCTATCTCAAAAAAAAGGAAGGAATTGCATATTATTTATGTTACAAGAAAAAAATGAGCTTATTTAATTTTTTGACAATAAAATAAAGCCCTGAACCAAACCAAACCTTAGTAAATAACTCATAAGTTACTAATAAAGAACTGTTATCATTCATTTGAAAAAAAAAATGTGGCATTACTCATCTTCAGCAAGGGATGCACATTTAGGGATCAGTTCTCTGTCCCTGGAAGAAACTCACAGGTACCAGGGCCCCAGATCATGTCTTTGGGAACCCCGCATCTGTCCTATGGAGCCTCCTAACACCCAGGGACACTTATCTGGAACCTGGTCATTTTCAGTGTCCAGTGGGGCCTCCTTCACACATCCTCAGGGTGGCCACAACCCTTGGAACACACATCTGCTCATCACTGGTCATGGCAACAGAGAACATGGATGGGAAAAAAAGCTAAAAGACACTCTTCAAACCGAGAAAGACAAGCTTCACTTATTTCAGGTAGTAATTACTCTTTTTTTTTTTTTTTTTGAGATGGAGTCTCGCTCTGTTGCCCAGGCTGGAGTGCAGTGGCACGATCTCGGCTCACTGCAAGCTCCGTCTCCTGGGTTCACGCCATTCTCTCACCTAAGCCTCCTGAGTAGCTGGGACTACAGGCGCCCACCACCACACCCAGCTAATTTTTTGTATTTTTAGTAGAGACGGGGTTTCACTGTGTCAGCCAGGATGATCTCGATCTCCTGACCTCGTGATCCACCCGCCTCGGCCTCCCAAAGTGCTGGGATTACAGGCGTGAGCCACTGCGCCCAGCCCTTTTTTTTTTTTTTTTTTTTTTTTTTTGAGACAGGGTCTCACTCCACTGCCCAGGCTGGAGTACAGTGGCACAATCATGGCTCCTTATAGTCTTGACCTCCCAAGCTCTAGTGATCCTCCCCACCTTAGCCTCCCAAATAGCTGGGACCACAGGTGCATATCACCATGCCCAGCTAATTTTTTTTTTTTTGTAGAGATGGGGGGACCCTTGCTATCTTGCCTGGTCTCAAACTCCTGGACTCAACAAATCCTCCCACCTCGACCTCCCAAAGTGCTGGGATTGGCCAGACACAGTGGCTCATGTCTGCAATCCCAGCACTTTGGGAGACCGAGGTGGGCGGATCACTTGAGATCAAGAGTTTGAGACCAGCCTGGCCAACAAGGTGAAAGCCCATCTCTACGAAAAATAATTTAAAAAAAAATTAGCAGGGCGTGGTGATATGCACATGCCTGTAATCTCAGCTACACAGGAGGCTGAAGTAGGAGAATCACTTGAACCCAGGAGGTGGAGGGTGCAGTGAGTATCATGAAATATTATTCTTCTTTTGATTTTTCCCAACTATTTATAAATGTACAAACAATTCATAGCACCCAAACCATACAAGAGCTGGGAGTGGAGATCGCCAACTAGTGACAGCAGACAGACCCTTTCAGCCCTATCACCCTGAGAGTAGGTCCTGCTACCTGGCACCGCCTTCGCTTGGAGAAAGACTAAATCCTGGGCAGCCAAGAGGCCTCTCTGGAAAGTGGCTCCTGACAGTGCTGGCCCAGTTCTGAGTAGGTCCTACCTGATGCAACTGGAAGCCAGCAGAGTGGCGTGGGGGACAGAGGATGGACTCTTGAGACAGACGCACATGGGTTCCAATCATAGCACAGCTGCTAACTAGCCAGGCGGCCGTGGCCATGCTATTTCCTTCATGTGGTTGTTATTGGGAGTAAAGAAATAAATATGGTAATACTTAAAAAGCAACTGGTGTACATCGGGTGCTTCATAAATACTTGTTTCTTTCCTCTGAGCATAAGACTTTTATTTCCAGATTCCAAATATAGTACTTTAAAAAAAAATCTGAGAGGATATTACTTATTTGCTAAGTATTCTGGTCACCAAAGTCATTTTTGTAAGTGAGTCACTTACTCCACATAAACAGGTAAATGCAATGCTATTTAAGACTGGGGAATCATCTGCCCAACAGCAGGATAAATGAGTCCATCACAATTAAATGTGTGCTGGGAGTCTGCCCTCGGTGCATGGAGAGCTGCTTTGGAGCTATCCAGATGTGTCTGTCTCCAGAGTTAGCATCTGTATCATCACAAAGAGGGTGGCTGAGTACTGCGGCATCCCAGTGCTCACATGCCCCTGGTCATATCAAGTAACCATTATCACATCGGAGCCCACAGGAGTTATAAATATACCACCATCGAGCCCCAACTGGATGACAATTGAGTAATGACAATAGAAATAGCTCACACTCCATAAGACCATCTTTCCCGTTCCTGAAGAACTCTTCTGAAATCGACGGCATCTCAATGGAGAGACAGCCAGGGCCAGTGAGAGGAAAACTTCAAATATTTCAAAAGACAGAGAAGGATCCTCAAGCTAGAGCAGGGTCCCCGGTGCAGGAGTACCACACTGCCCTGGTCGCAGGGGACCTCGACCATCTGAAGCCCCTCATGGACCAGTTCTTCCAGGATGCCAACGTGGTGTTTGAGATCAATAAGGATGAGATGGAATGGCAGGTGAAATCTCCAGCCACGTTTGGACTATCAGGTACCCTTGTTCTTTAAAGCTCAGTCATTTATTTTTAAGGGGCTACTAATACTCTCTGGGAGTGTAAGGCTCCCGTGTGTAGACTGGGCACAGTGGCACTGGGTTTAACGTACACAAGAAAAGGACATCTGATGAAGTTTGCTCGCAGTAAAGTGTAGGTTTTAGGTGATGGCCTATAAGAGATCCAGTTGGAAAGGCAAAGCAGCGATTGGTGGGAATGCCTATCCGATGACGCTGGGTGTGCCTCTTGTCTTTACAAAGGAGCATTGGTTTAGGTGTGGAGCTGCCCGTGCCTGCATCTGGCAGCCAGGGAGGTGGGTGCTGAAGAAGGAAAGTCTCTCCTTCAGTTGCGCCCGGAGCAGCCTCTGGCACACAGCTCTGTGTGAGGTCCTTTATGAATCTGCAAATGCCACAGCTACAGCAGGGGCACAGCCAGCATCAGTAGAGGCAGGACCCCAGGACTCTCTGTAGATCCTCCTCCTGGAATCTGGGGAATCCCAAGAATGGGGAAGGAAAAAGGAAGAAACCAGAGGTCCTGACTTCATACGTGTCTGCAGGTGCTCTTGCTGCCTGAACATGGTCACTGTGCGCTGGGCGGACAAGCAGACCTCCCAAGTGGAAAGAGGTCCCCTCCTCCCCCTGCCCACTCAAGATGTGCAGACACTTGCTGACCACCATGCTGCATCTGGGGCTTTCTCGGATGGCACCCTGCTTTGGGCACCCCACCCGCCACCAGCTCAGATGCAACATATTTACCAAGAAGTTTCACATGCGTTGGAATCTACAGCAGCTCTGCCAGACCATGGGATTTGAGAATCTGAGGTCAGTGGCCGGCGGCCAGTGTCCCATGTCCCTGACTCTTAAGCTCTGGCAGGCAAAGAATGCGGAAGGTTGGCTTCCAAAGAACTGACACAGTTCTGTTTATACCTCACACGGGGAGAAGAGAATAAACTCAAAACACTGTCAGAGGGCCGAGCAGCTCCTGCCAACCAGTGAGGCGGTGGGGGCTGCAGGAAAGGCAAATGGCAGTTCCTGTTGGGGCTGCATGTCGCAGCCGACCCCTTCTGGGCCTCCTCTCCCTCACCTATCCCAGACCAAAAATACCAACGGCAGCCCTGGACATACACACACACAAATGTCACAATTTCAAATAGATAGTCATGTTCACCCATCATTTGCACATTCTGTATCCAAAATCAGTTTCCTCCTTCCCTCCCGAATCTTCCCACCCCTAAGTTCTGCTGCTGTCCTGTGGTACACCTGGACGACAGGATACTGGAGCACGCCCACAGCAAAGGGATGTGGGCTGGTACTGAGGAAACGGCAGCCCGGACAGTGAGTAGTGGCCCAAGGCCTCCACACAGGCTGGGAAGAGAGGGAGGCAAGCTCAGGCTGCCTGGATTCCAGCCTCCTCCGGCACAGACACCTGACTGCCCTGCAGCAGATCCAGCAGCAGAAACGACCAGACCCTGTTTGAAAGCAGTGGCCCCATGTGCTCTCCCATGAAAAGACTTCCCGGTGGCCAATTCCAGCTCCCCTGGTGGGGAAGGGATTGATCTGAGTACAGGGAGCAGGTCCCCAGTGGCCACCACCTCGGTGCCCCTCCGTGATAGAATGCTGGCCCATCCAGCCCACAGTCATAGAGAGCACTGACATGGGGGAGCTGATGCTTAGAGGGACACACCACATGCAGAGAAGCCTTAATTCATGTCCCTCCTGGTGGCAGAACTGGGACCAGAGGGCGGGAGTTACAGAAAGCTGATTCCGGCTTCCTGAGCCTTAATTCACGTCCCTCCTGGTGGCAGAACTGGGACCAGAGGGCGGGAGTTACAGAAAGCTGATTCAGACTTCCTGACTGCATCGCCAAGGACCTGGAGACGGTGCTGGCCCACACTGTGGCTGAGCTAGATCCCCACCTATGGCTTCTCCCCATCAGTCCCTGAGAAGACTCAGGAATCCAGGGTGGGTTTACTGAGCGCTAGGGTAGGGTGGGGCTGGGTTGGGGATTTAGCATTTCCCAGAGAAGGCAGTAAGTAGTTTTCATCTCTCAGAAAAACAAATCGAATCAAAAAACCAAGAGCTGGCACCTGCAGGAATGTAGGTTATTGTTATCACGGGGATAACAATGTAGATAGACTACATCCATCACCCCCTCCAGATCCGACCTGGTCTTCACTGGGAAGGGCAGCTCAAACCCATGCAGGTCCATGTCCCTGGGGCCTCTGGCCACCACCATTCCATGCCAGTCCCACAGGCCCCCCTTCCCCCACTGAGTGCACAACAAGCTCCAGGCTGGGCCTTGGGGACTCAGGGCGGCTGGAACTCGGCACCACATGCGGGTAGGTAATTAATGAATGGACTTTCAAGGCTGCTCAGCATGGGTCCTGGGAAGGAGGTGGCCTGTGAAAAGGGTCTCCTCTGCGGCTCATTACAGCCACAGTATCGATTCTTCCATCATTATCAGAAGGCCTTCCTGCCATGTGAAATCCTGCCCCTTGATGTGTATTCACCAGGGACTACATCCCCCATTTCCACGAGCGCTCCTGGCCGCTAACAACCTTCCACGGGCTTTTTGAAAGTGCCAAAGTTTTCAGAGAAGTAAAAATGTATAGCACCTGCTCCATTCATCCCTCAAGAAAGAGCAACCCTACACACACACACACACACACCCCTAAAAAGCGCAAAGAAACAAACCAGGATTGTGCTGAATGTGGACCACCACATCAAAGTGTGCTTCTGAAAACTCAGCCACTTGCAAGAGAGCTAAACTTTCTCTGAGTCCTTTTCTTGAACAACCTTGGTGATGTGTGGGTCAGTTTGTTTTGTCTGTTGTCTCTTCTTAATGATAAAGGGACAAGTTTGGAGCTCAGCTAAGGGAGTGCTGGATTCGGGAAAATTCCACAACCCACTTTCCTCTTTCAAGCTGCCCTAACTCAGGGCCTGGAACACGTGAATTCCTCACTTAAATTCGCCTACCGTGCACCCTGCTTGGACAGCTTTTAACTGACCCCATTTCCCAGTCACCCCCGTATTTGGCAAAATCCTCTTGCTTCTCAATACCCGGCGCCCCATCTCTCTAGCTCGGTTTTAGCCTTCAATCTCTCCTTTGTATTTCTTCCTCTGTCTACGCCTGTCTCTTCCCAGTGTGTCTCTCTGCTCTCTGTCTCTGTGTGCGTCTCTGATTCTATCCTCTTCTCCCTACATGCCTACCTGGTACCTACCTTTAAGAGACGGCTTCACTTTCTTTCCGCCTTAAGGAACACCGCCCACCACCACCACAACTAACCTCCCCCTGACCTTACATCCCACCTCCCTCCCCGCAGGCCTCTGGACCCTGGAGTACAAGCGTGAGCTCACCACGCCCCTGTGCATCGCCGCGGCCCACGGCCACACCGCCTGCGTGCGACACCTGCTCGGCCGCGGCGCAGACCCAGACGCCAGCCCCGGCGGCCGCGGCGCCCTGCACGAGGCCTGCCTCGGGGGCCACACCGCCTGCGTCCGCCTGCTGCTGCAGCACCGCGCCGACCCCGACCTGCTCAGCGCCGAGGGCCTGGCGCCTCTGCACCTCTGCCGCACGGCCGCCTCGCTCGGGTAAGGACCTCGGGACAGGCCCGCGGCGTCCGCCCCGCCCCGAGACCAGACGCCCGCCTCCCCCCACGAGACCGCCGACCCCGCCTCCGCCTCCGTCCCAGCCCCCGCCTCCGGACCCAGACCCTGCACCCTTGACTCTGCCCACTGGATCCCCAGACCCGCATCCGCCCCGTCCCTACCCCGGCCCCTGCCTCGGGACCCAGATCCAAGATCCCTGACCCGGGACCCCAGACCTGGCACCTCCCGGCCCTCGCCCCGCGCCCCGGCCCCGGCCCCCGCCCCGCGCCCCGGCCCCGGCCCCCGCCCCGCGCCCCGGCCCCGGCCCCCGCCCCGCGCCCCGGCCCCGGCCCCCGCGGGTTTAATTAGCGCTTGATTGCGAGCGCGCGCGGGAGGCGCCACGCCGAGGTAATGAGCGCGGTGATCACAGCCCAGCCGCCGGCGCCGGGGATGCTAAAAGGCCACTGGCGGGGTTGGAGGCTGAAAAATTAGGGTTTTTAATGATAATTTTATGCAGAATAATTGTCACAGTGTGACATAAATGGTTAGCTCCTCGGGCGGGGCTTCCAGGCCCGCTCGGAAGCGGAGCTGTGCCGGCCTCTAGGGAGGCCCAGCGGCCGCTCAGCTAGTTCGCGCCCGGGCGCGGGGTCTGGGGGTCCCGCAGCCCCCGTCCCCAGAGAGCGCCCTCCCAGCGTGTGCTCCGGGTCTCGGAAAGGCAGCGGGGCCACCTGTCTTTGCACAGGACTCGTGTGGGGTTTCTCGGCTTGCATTGTGTCATCCTGACTTTTCTGTTAGTCAAAATGCTCCAGCCCCTGCCCTTGGAGTTGTCATTGCATGGCCTTCTGTCTCTGGGGGAAGATTAAGGAAAGTCGCCCACGTTTAGTGCTGGGAACCCGCGCGGCTCTCTCAGAAACCGCATCGCCCTTGCTGCTTCTCCACCGACTGTCAAAGTTGCCTGGATGTCCTGCCCAGCAGGGGCAGCAACGCAGGCAGGCGGGACTGCTGGGCATTCAGGGACTCAGGCAGGGGACCCACCTAAGAAAGGTCATTTGAGTTCAGAGGGGGGATCAGGGGGCCACGTGGACCCCCGCCAGTCTTGAGAAAGAGGAAGGAAACAAGGTTCTAGCAATGCTCTTTAAAAGCAGCTTTACCGAGGTGTGATTGACATTCAGCAAGCGGCACGTGTTTAAGGCGTACAATTTGATAAATTCCGCAGACTTATACACTCGTGCAACACCCCGCAGTCCATGGAGGGCAGATATTTATCATTCCCCCTGTGGCCTCACGGTGCCCACGGTTCTCCCTCCCACTGGCCCCTTTCTCACTCTCCATCCCTAGCATCTGCTTTCTATTACTTGGCTTAGTCTGAATTTTCTAGAATTTTGTATAAATGGAATCTGCAGTCTTTTATCTGGCTTCTCTCGCTCGACATAATTATTTTAAGATTCATCTGTGTTGCTGTGTGTGTCCGTAGTTCATTCCTTTTATTCCTGGGTAGCGGTCCGTGGTATGGATGAACCACAGTATGTTATGTTCATCCATTCAGATGTTGGGAGACATTTGATTGTTTCCAGTCTGGGTCTTTTACAAACAAAGTTATCATGCACATTTGTGTGCCAGCCTTTGAATGGGCATATGCTTTTATGCATTTTGAATAAATACCTAGGTCACACGGTATGATTAAGAACATAACTGTTAGGCTAGGTGCGGTGGCTCATGCCGGTAATCCCAACACTTTGGGAGGCTGAGACAGGCAGATCACTTGAGTCCGGGAGTTCAAGACCAGCCTGGGCAACACGGCAAAACCCCATCTCTACAAAAAATACAAAAATTACCCAGGCATGTTGGCATGCACCTGTAATCCCAGCTACTCAGGGGGCTGAGGTGGGAGGATCGCTTGAGCACAGGAGTAAGCCATGTTCACGCCACTGCACTCCAGCCTGGGTGACAGAGTTGAGACCCTGTCTCAAATAATAATAACAATAACTAATAAATGGCCCAACTAGTTTTGAAAGTTGTACCATTTTACATCCGCACCAGCGATGTCTGCATGTTCCAGTTGCTTTACAGCCTCACCAATACATGGTATGGTCAGGGCTTAATTGTATACATTCTAATAGGTGTGTACACATGTCTTGTTATAGTTTTGATTTTCATTTCCCTGGTAACTAGCGATGTTGAGCATTGTTTCATGAACTTACTTGCCATCCACATACAGTCATTTGTCGCTTAACGATGGGGATACATTCTCAGAAATGTGTTGTTTCATCATTGTGTAAACATCATAGAGTATATTTACACAAACCAGGATGGCATAGCCTACTGCCCACCTAGGCTATATGATTAAGCCTCTGGCTCCCAGGCTACAAACCTGGACAGCATGCTACTGTACTGAATACTGTAGGGAATTGTAACACAATGGGAAGTATTTGTGTATCTAAACATAGAAAACGTACAGTATAATCTTATGGGACCACTATTGTATATGTGGTCTGTTGTTGACCAAAACCATTGTTATAAGGGACATGACTGTATCTTCTTTGGTAAAGTGTCAGTTCAAATCTTTTGCCCATTTTTAAAATTGGGTTGGTTTTCTTATTTAAGTTTGAGGTTTCTTGGGATATTCTAGATATGAATCTCTTGTGAGATATGTGATTGATAAGTATTACCTGCCAGTCTCTGGCTTAGATTTTATTCTCTTAGCAATGTCTTTTGAAGAACAGAAGTTCTTAATTTTTATGGAGTCCAGTTTATCCATTTTTTCTCTTTTAAGGATTAGGTTGGGTTATGATATCTAAAAAAAAATCTGCCTAACCCAAGGTCATACAGATTTTCTCTTATATTTTCTTCTAGAAATTTCATAACTTTACATTTTACATTTAAGTCTGTGATCCATTTTGAGTTCATTTCTGAATATGATGTGAGGTAGGGATTGAAGCTTTTTTATTTATTTTTGCATGTGGATATCTGACAGTTCCAGCACTGTTAGTAGAAAATAAGTATTTGTGAATCTAAACCCTTCCTTTCTCCACCAAACGGTCTTTGCACCTTTGTCAAAAATGAATGGACTATATATGCGTGAGTTTATTTCTGAGCTCTCTTGTCAAGCATGTGCAAAGCAGGGCAAAGTCTGACTGGTTCACCTGGTGAAGACGTGAGGAGCCACTCTATTATATAAAGAGTGAAAGGAAGAGTAGCCAGTGGTGTTGGCTCCTCACAATCTTTATGCCACACACCAAAAAGGATAACACCTAGACAAAAGGGGCTGGATGATGTCAACACAAATTGAAGAATACCCCATTTCTGAGCAGCCATGCCTAGATCAGAGCTGAGAGGTTCACAGCCTGTATCTCTATTCTGAAGGGGCTGAAGCAGGAAGGTCCCTGCCTCCTCAGGATCCAGAAGGCATTGAGAAACCATCTCATAGCAGCCTCCTAGGGGACATAGCCAGGGGAGGGGGCAAGGGTCTTATAGCAACTCCTTACAAGCTTCCAACCCAGGAGTATCCAGGTGTTCTACCAAGACGTAGATTCAGTAGTGGTTCCAGTTTTGCTTTGTGGCCTATGTGGATATGTGCAGGGTCACCAAGGTGCCATGGCAGAGCCATCCCCCTTCATCTCTATTCTGTTTCATTGCTCTATTTGCCTGTTTTAACACCAATACCATACTGTCTTGAATATTGTAACTTTATAATAAATTTTGAAGTCAGGTAGTATAAGTTTTCAAGCATAGTTCTTCCTTCTTGAAGTTGTTTTGGCTATTCTAGCTCCTTTGCATTTCCAGATGAATTTTAGATTCAGTTCATCCATTTCTACAACATAGCTTCCTGGGTTATGTTGTCCAAATCTATAAATCAATTTGGAGAAAAATAAAAATAAAAATATTGAGGCTTTCAAATCATGCACACAATATACTCCTCCATTTATTTATTTCTTCCTTTTCTCAGCTGTGTTTGATAGTTTTTAGGGAACAAGGTTTGCATATATTTTGTAAGATTTATCCCTAATTATTTCATTTTTTGATGCTGTTGTCAACTGTATATTTAAATTTCCATTTCTGATTGTGTGTAACTACTATATGAAATTTATAATAATTTATTTTTGTATATTGACCTTGTATCCTATAACCCTTCTAAACTCACTGTTCTAGTAGAATTCCATAGGATTTCTTGTAAGCAATCATGTCGTCTACAAATAAATACAATTTTACTTCTTCTACAATCTAGATGCCTTTTATTACTTTTCCTTATTTTATTGCACTGGCTAGAACCTCCAGTGCAATGTTGAATAAAAGTGGTGAGAGCAGATAATTTTTCTTGTTCCTGTTGATCCTAAGGAAAACATTAATTCACCACTAAGTATGATATTAGCTGTAAAATTTTGCAGATTCCTTTTTTCAGAGATACAGAACTCCCTTCTGTTTCTAGTTTGCTGACAGTTTGTATGATGAATTAATATTGAATTTTCTCAAGTGCTTTTTCTACATATATGGAGATAATCATGAGGTATAAGTTTTGTCTGTTAATATAATAATTTATATTGATTAATTTTCAAATGTTAAACCAACCTTGCATTCCTGGGATAAACCACACTTGATCATGAGGAGTTATCCTTTTTTATATATTATTGGGTTTGGTTTGCTGGAAAAAATATTTAGTATCCGCATCTATGTTAATGAAAGATATTGGTCTGTAGTTTCATTTTCTTGTAATACCTTTGTCTGGTTTTGGCATCAGAGTAATGCTGGTCTCAGAAATAATTTGAGAAAAAATAATTTGAGAAGTATGCCCTTCTCTTCTATTTCCTGGAAGACCTTGTATAAAATTATGTCTTCCTTAAATGTTTGGTAGAATTCATCAGTAAAGCTATCTGGACATGTCTTTTTGTAATAAGGTTTTTAACTATGAATTTAATTTCTTTACTAGCTATAGGGCTACTCAGATTATTTCTTTTTTTTTGAGTGAGCTTTAATGCTTTAATAGTTTGTATTTTCTAAGAGACTGACCTCTTTCAGCTAAGTTGTTTAACTTATTGCCATAAAGTTGTTCCTTATTGTCCTTTTAAGAGCTGTAGATTCTATAGTGATATCACCTCTCTCATTCATGATACTAGAATTTGTCTTCTTTTCCCCCCAATAAGTCTTGCTTTTGGTTTCATTGTTTTTCTCTATTGTTTTTCTATTTCATTGATTTCCACTATACTCTCTATTATTCTTTCTTTGCTCACATTGAGTTTCATTGGCTCTTCTTTTCTAGTTTCTTAAGGTGGAAGCTAATGTCACTGAGTCAGGAACTTTCATGTTTTTTAATATAGGCTTTTAGTGCTATACATATCTCACTACATACTATTTTAGCTGAATCCCACAAATTTTAATATGTGTTTTTACTTTCGATCAGTTTTAAATACTTTCTAATTTTCTTTTTTTTTTTTTGAGTCATGGGTTATATAGAAGTATGTTATTGAGTTTCCAAATATGTGGGGATTTTCCAGATATCTTATGATTTCTAATTTAATTCCATTATGGCTAGAAAATTTACTTTGTATGACTTTAGTCCTTTTTAAATTTACTGAGAATTGTTTTATGATCCAAGATATGCTATACCTTGATAAATGTTTCATGTATACTAGAAAAGAATGTATATTCTGCAGTAGTTCAATGTAGTATTCTATAAATGTAAATTAAATCAAATTGCCTAACCATGTTGTTTAATATTTCTATATCCTTGCTGATTTTCATTGGACTTGTTTTACAAGTTATTGAAAGAAGAGTGTCAAACTCTCTAAGTATAATTGTGGATTTGTCTGTTTCTCTTTGCAGTTCTGTCAGTTTTTGTTTCAAGTAATTTGAAGCTCTATTATTAGGTACATAAATGCTTAGCATTATTCTGTCCTTTTGAAGAACTGACCTTTTTATCATTATGAAATTATTTATCTTTAGTAATATTCTTTGGTCTAGGCCAGGTGCAGTGGATCACACCAGTAATCCCAGCACTTTGGGAGGCCAAGGTTGGAGGATTGCTTGAGGCCAGGAGTTTGAGACCAGCCTGAGCAACATAGCGAGAACGCTTAGCCAGGGGTGATGATAATAAAAATGTATTTCTCACAGTCCTGGAGGCTGGGAAGTCCAAGATCAAGTTGCCAGCAGATTCATTGTCTGGTGAGGGCATGTTCTCTGCTTCCAAGATGGCATTGTGTTGCTTCCAAGATGGCATTGTGTTGCTGCATTGTCACATGGCAGAGGAGCAGAAAAAATGGAAGAGGCAAATTTAATCCCTCAAGCCCTTTTATAAGGGCACTAATCCCATCTATGAGGGCCTAATCACTTCCTAATGACCCACCTCTTAATACTATTACATTGGGAATTAAGTTTCAACATGAATTTTGGAGGGACACAAACATTTAAACCATAGCACTTGTCATGTGGACCTCTCTAACATGAAACTTGTTTCATCAAAGTATGCAAGCTGAGAAGACAATAGAGACAATCTGCTTGCAAGATGGAATTTACAATCTTCTGTAATTTATTCACCAAAACAACCTCCTGTCACCTTTGCAATAGTCCATTGGTTAGCGGCAAATCAAAGGTTCTGCCCACGCTCAAGGAGAGGAGAGAAGAGCATGGACACCAGAAGATAGACTTCAGTGGGGGACCATGCTAGATACTGCCTACCATACCATCCTTTCATTTTTTAACTTACCTGAGTCTTTATTTTTTAAGTGGGCTTCTTGTAGGCAGATTATAATTGAGTCTTGCTTTTTTTAATCCAATCTGACAGTCTCTGTTTTTTAACTGGGTGTAGATCATTCACATTTAATGTAATTTTGATATGGTTAGGTTCAAAACAAATGTCTATTTCTTTTCTATTTGGTTCATCTATTATTTGTTCTCTTTATCTTCTTTTCTACCTTTTATTCTGAACATTTTTAATGATTTCATTTTATCTCCTTTTTTGGCTTACTAGATATAACTTTTTGTTGTGTTAAGTGATTTCTTTCTGGTTTATAGTATACATCTTTATTTTATCACACTCTACCCTCAGGTAATACTATTCTACTTCATGTGTAGTATAAAAACTGTATGGCAGTATACTTCCATTTCTCTCCTCCTGGCCTTTGTGCTATTATTGGTAATATACATTTTACTTCTATACAAAAGTCCTGCAATACATTGCTATTATTTTTGTTTAAACAGAGGATTTTCTTTTAAATATATTGAAGTAATAAGAAACAAGTGTTTATGTTTACTCATATAGTTACCATTTCCACTTCCCTTCATTTATTTGTGTAGCTCCAAGATTCCATCTAGTATCATTTTCCTTCTGCTTGAAGTGCTTTCTTTAACATTTCTTGCACTGTATGTCTAATGGTAATGGGTCCTTTCAGTATTTGTATGTTTGAAAAAGTCTTTATTTCACCTGAGTATTTGAAAGGTATTTTTGCTGGGTAGAGCATTATGAGCTGACAGTTTGGTTTTTTATTTTCTTCTTATTTTTTCTGCACTTTAGACCCATAACTCTACTGTCTTCTAACTTAAATTTTTTAAAATGAGAAATCTACTATCCCCTTTTTATCTTCTCAAACAGGTGGAATATAGTTATAACAACTGTTTTAATGGCCCTGCCTACTAATTCTATCACCTGTGTCATTTCTGTGTCACTTATTTATTTATTGTAGAGTTGAGGTCTTGTTTTGCTGCCCAGGGTGGTCTCAAACTCCTAGTTTTATCTTTGTTCTTTTATAGCTAATAAATATCCTTTTATCTGGCTTTAAGATTTTCTCTAATCACTGGTTTTAAGCAATTTGGTTATGAGGTGCTTTGATGTAGTTTTATGTTTCTTTTTATTATTATTATTAAATGGTGTCTCACTCTGTTGCCCAGGCTGGAGTGCAGTGGCATGATCTCAGCTCACTGCAACCTCTGCTTCCCGGATTCACATGATTCTCCTGCCTCAGCCTCCCAGATAGCTGGGATTACAGGTGCATGCCACCACACCAGCTAATTTTTGTATGTTTAGTAGAGCCAGGATTTCACCATGTTGGCCAGGTTAGTCTTGAACCCCTGACCTCAGGTGATCTGCCCACCTTGGCCTCTCAAAGTGCTGGGATTAGAGGTGTGAGCCACCATGCCAGGCAAGTTTTCTTTATGTTTCTTATGCTTGGGATTCATTGAGTATCTTGGATCTGTGGGTTTATATGCTTTTCATCCAATTTGGAAATATTTTGGCAATTATTTCTTCACATTTTTTTTCTATACAACCAGTACTCTCCTTCAGGGACTCCAATTATACATATACTATGCCACTTAAGATTGTTCCACAGTTCACTGATGCTCTGTTCATTTTGCTCAGCCTCTCTCTCTGATTGATTGATTGATCTTCTCTTCTGAAATACCTGATCTGCCATGAACCTTATCCACTATATTTTTATCTCCAACATTGTAGTTTCAATTTCAGAATTCCAATCTTAGGACTTATATTTCTGTATTTTACTTAACATGGTCAGTCTTTCCTCTAGCTTCTCAAACAGGTGGAATATAGTTATAACAAGTGTTTTAATGGCCCTGCCTACTAATTCTATCACCTATGTCATTTCTGTGTCATTTATTTATTTATTGTAGAGTTGGGGTCTTGTTTTGCTGCCCAGGATGGTCTCAAACTCCTAGTTTCAAATGATTCTCCTGCCTCAGCCTCCCAAAGTGCTGGGATTACAGGCATAAGCCACTGCTCCCAGCCTCTGGGTCACTTTTGATTTTTTGGTTTTTTCTCTACATTTCATTGGGTGTTTGATATTTTTGTATTCCTGTCAATATTCTTGATCTCTGCTCTGGAATGTAAAGTTACTTGGAAATAGTTTGATCCTTTTGGGTCTTGCCTTTAAGCTTTATTAATCAGAAGTCAATCGGTGGTTAGTCTAAGGTTAATTTTTTTTTCTGCTACTGAGACAACTCTTTTTGGTACTCTCTCCATACCTAATTATTTATAAGGTTTCACACTTTGGTTGCTGAAACCAGCCACTATTCCTGAACCTGTGCATGTGATGAGCACTGCACCGTTTCTGTCCTAGAAACTTTCTGGTAGAAATCCACCAGCCCACACTCTCAACCTCTATGCACACAAAATATTTGACATATTTCAGTCGGTTCTAATCCTTCCTTTCAGGTGGCTCTTTCCACAGCTTAGGTAGTTTCCTCATGCCCACACACTAATTGGTATTGAGCTGAATAATCAAGGGGGCCCTCTGCAAAGTTCTTTCTGTGTGAAGCTTTCTCCTCTCCAGCACCCTACCCTACAAACTCCAGCTGTCCTGGCATCCCTAGACTTCCAGTGCCGTCTCCTCCACTCAGCTCACCAGGCTCTGCTGGGGTCCCCTTCATAGAACCCTCAGCCTGAGAGCCCAGAGGCCCTTTGGGAGGTTGAGAAATCCAATACTGCCAATCATATTGGGGAGTAAGTTCCAACCTTGTGACACATTTCCATCCTTGGCTACAAGCATTCTCCACTTTCCACCAGGAGGCTTTCTTTCCAACTATTCTTTAGACATGGATTAATTTCTACCTTGCATTCACTTCCAATTTTTGTTCTTGACTCATCTGATAGATGATTTGCTGGGATGTAAAAAGGTATCATCTTGTGAAAAAATTATAGAAATTCCATTTATTTTGAAACACACAGCTCCAAGGTCAACCAATATTGACTCCATTCCTGCAAGCATTCAATCACCAGTTATTGAACCCTGTAAGGGGCTGAGGCTGGGCTGCATTAGACATAGTCCCTGCCCTCAAAATGCTTGCAGTTTCAGGGAAGAGGAAGGTAATGCTATGGCAATGTGTCAAACATTGGACCAGAATATGTCAGATATATTGTATGCATGGAGGTTAAGAATGGGATGCCAGTGGATTTCTACCAGAAAGTTTCTAAGACAGAAAGAAGCATCAGCTTCATTAAAGGACATAAGCCAACCAAATCAATTGCAAAAGTCTTTCTACATACTAAGAAAAGAGGCAAAATTATTCAATTGTGTATTGATTGCATTCAAGTTTGATCACATTTTCATACTATACAATTTTATATCTACACATAGATATTTTACCACATTTGAGGCCCAGGTTGAATTCTAATTCCAACACTTACTAGCTGTGCAACATTGGACAAGTTATTTTTCTATGTCTCTGTGTTCTCACTTGTAAAATAGGGTTGATAATTGAGCCTACTACATAGGATGGTTATGAGAATTAAATGAATTACTATAGCTAATTTGCTTAGAAGAGCACCTAGCATATAGTAAGGAGCAGGTGCTGACTGCAATTGTTGGGGCCTCATGTCTAATCACTGTATTTCTTTTATAGGAATTGAAACTATATTTTACTATTTCAAATTCATTTGGGGGCTTGATGTTTCTTTCCTTTATCTCCATAGTTATTGGTCATTTATGATTTATTTGCTATAATGTCTCTAGTCAAGAACATAACTCCCCATTATAACATGTTCCTATGGAAAATATAACCCATTTGATGATATTCCAAGTCAGGGTATTCACCATTCCTCCCTCCCCGCCTTGCCAAAATGCATGGCTATATTTATTATTCTCTTGTTCAAAATTAAGTTCTTTAAATGCAACATGGTATCCTGTATTAGATCCTAAAACTGAACATGAACATTTGTGGGAAACATGGTAAAATCCAAATAAAGTCAACAGTTTGGTTAATAGTCTTGTACCATTGTTAATTTCTTAGTTTTGACAAATATACCATAATAATATTAGATATTAACTTTAGGGGAAGCTGGGTGAAGCGTATTCAGAAACTCTCTATGCTATCTTTGCAACTCCTCTGAAAATCTAAAATAATTTAAAAATAAAAAGGTTTTTAAAAATCAAGTCTGCTTCATACCTTGGGCCCCAACTCCTCTCCCACTTTAAAGGATCAGAAAAATATTGCTTCTTACTAAGAAATCAGAATGCAGCACCCAATCATAGCACAAAATAAACACAAAATGCTGTGAATCATTGCAACACTGCTGAAGAGACGCCAACAAGCTTACATTTGGACACCATAAGGAGCTGAGGCCATATGCAGACCACCAGAGCTACTCAGCTTACACACTGAACAATAGAATCTAATATCCTGGCTTCCGTTGGTTTTACAAAAATCATACAGGCCCAGGCCATTGTTTAATAAGGACTTTTTAAATGTCTTTTTATTAAAGTGGGGATTTAAAAAATCTCTCTTCTTCTGTCTTCCTCTTCTTCCTCCTCTTTCTTCTTTCTTGTTTCATTTTCTCTTCTCTGTGTCGCTCTATGGGAGTCTTTCCCTTTGGCTGTTTAATTTGACACTCTTGACTTATTTAAATCCAGATTATTGGGGGAAAGTTTAAGATAAGTGATGAATCAACCAGCATTTCAGGCAGAACTCTGTAACAGCTGACTTAGAATCCCTTCAATATCAATGATGATAATGGAATATGCTGGCAGGTCCCATTGAACACCTCTACAATAACACAGCCAACTACCTTGAAGGATAAAAAGTTAATAGATGTCGAAAGGGCCTGAGGTTTTGACCATGGCTTTTCAGCTCTAAAGAGTCCCCCTAAAGTCATACTCTGAGGAGGTCTGGCTTCAGGTAGTATAAACATTATCACTTTGACAAGAAAGAGCTACTTTCTCTGCAATCTTTTTAAACACAGTAGATTTTAGGTCATCCTTAATTTTTTTACCTCACAGTAGAGAGGGGGTCGCTGACCTACATACAGAGCCATTCCATTTTCTGACTCTTGATGACAATGGTCTCCACACCTAGGGACCCCGTTCTGCTCCATCCCCTTTTAGTTGGCAATTCGCCATGGGCACAGGACTTTAAAACCTTTGAGTCTCTGAGTTCCTGGGATTAAAAAAAAAAAATTACCTGTGCTTCCTTCCAACCAGCAAGCTTCAGAATTCAGAATTCAACACACTGAAAGGGATATCAGAGCTTTAATCTAGGAGCCTTTTGAAGAGATTTTCCCAAAAAGAAAAGTTACAGTAAAGTAACTGTGTTCACATTAGCAGCCTGCATGCCAGCCTCGCCCTATTTGTTATCAGATTCCTCTCCTTGACCCTTTTTATTCGAGATAATTAAAATAAGAAAAGAATGTGTTGACGCCCTATTCTTTTTCTTGTCTATAGCTGTCTCGATTTAAACAAAAGTGAGAATGACTTGCTTTCCTCACGGAATTTATTAATGAAAAGCATGCAAGTTTACTTTTTTGTCCCAGGTGTGTTAATTCAACTGAATGAAAAATAAATCATGTGGGCACAGTGGCTCCTGCCTGTAATCCCATCATTTTAGGAGGCCAAGGCTAGAGGATCGCTTGAGCCCAGGAGTTTGAGACCAGCCTGGGCAACATAGTGAGACCCCATCTCTGCAAAAATTAGCAAGGCATGGTGGCACACAACTGTAGTCTCAGCTACTTGGGAGGCTGAGTCTGGAGGATCACTTGAGCCCAGGAAGTCGAGGCTACAGTGAGTCATGATCATGTCACTGCACTGCAACCTGAGTGACAGAGTGAGACTCTGTCTTAAAAAAACAAAAAATAAATTAAAAATGATTCATGAGCTGGAGTTGGATCTATAAAAGCAGCTAATTATCTTATGGGTGGGGGGACCCAGCAGTCTCCACCTAAGAACAGGAAGTTCACCTGCCTGAGATGCCAGGCTCACAGGCATTGATACATAATCCAGAAAACAATACATTCTTTCCACATCCCAGGTGAGTGACTGATTGGTTATTCAAGTAGAGAGAAGAACATGGTCTTGTTTGATAGGACTTTAAGGCATCTTGAGGAATACTGAAGAATGAGATCTCAGAGAAGAATGAGATCTCAGAGAAGAATGAGATGTCAGAGAGAGGCGGCACCCAATAGATGATTTAATATTTGCAGAATGTCACACATTCCTGAGCATGTGCAAATGTCTTATTTCCTCTGAGCCTCTCAGGCCTGCAAGGCATGGTACACAGATTAGAAAACCAAGGCTCAGAGAGAGTCCGTGTTATGCCAGTAAGGTTGCACAGAACGGAAACCAGTAGAGCCAGGACCCAAAGCCAAAGGTTGTGAGAACAATGCTAAAAGATTGCATCTCCTTTGTTAACTGAAGTTTTTTTCCCAAAAACTGTCTGTAATCAGGAAGTAGCTCCACTTATCTCTGGCCACCTCCCTCCAAACATGCTGTGTTACAAGTGTGTCCCCTTCCCTGCCCCTCAATGGCATCCCAGGTACATTCTTCAGCTTTCTGGTCACTTGGCAAGTCCCATTTTAATATCCAAAAGCCAGTCCAGGCCAAATCAAAACTTTACACTCAGGGCAAAAGCCTCGATCAGACACTTTATGAACAACATACAAATGGCCAATAAGCAAATGAAAAGGTGTTCAACATCATTAATCATCAAGGACATGCAAATGAGACCACAAATAAATATTCACCATTTCACATGCATTAGAATGGCTAAAAAAAAAAAAAAAAAAAAAAAAAAAAACCTGACAACACCAAATGTTGACAAGATCAGGGAGCAACTAGAACTTTCATACATAGTTTTGGGTGGGTAAAATGATATCTCTTTGGAAAACTGGCAGTTTCTTACAAAGTTAAATACATACCTACCAGTAATTCCATTTTTAGGTGTTTACCTAAGAAAAATGGGAACATATGTCCCCAGGAAGACTTATACAAAAACGTTCATAGAAGCTTTATTTATAATAGTCAAAAAATAGAAACATGCAAATGTCCATCAATATCAATGGGAAAATGGCTTAAAATTGTGGTATATCCATACAATTGAATATGACTCAGCAATTTAAAAAAAGAATGAATTACTCCATGCAGGCAACAGTATGGATGAATGTGAACAGCATGATGCTGAGCAAAAGAAGCCAGATACAAAAAAGTGGAAAATTTTAGAAAATGCAAAACTAACCCACTGTGAGAAAAATCAGCACAGTGGTTGCCTACGGGGGTTATGACTGACTGGT
This sequence comes from Homo sapiens, assembly GCF_000001405.40. Taxonomy (NCBI): domain Eukaryota; kingdom Metazoa; phylum Chordata; class Mammalia; order Primates; family Hominidae; genus Homo; species Homo sapiens. The sequence goes on along the minus strand of NC_000002.12, from coordinate 236,223,692 downwards.
GGTAAACACAGGAGAAATTCCTGGCAAAATGGAAATATTCTATGTCTTCATTGAGGTATTGGTTACATAGGTATATTCCTTTGTTGAAATTCATTCAATTGTGCTCTTAAGACCTGTGCATTTCTGCGTGTGTACCTCACAGAAGTTATTGTATTAAAATATACATACATACCTACATGCATACAATGTTTCTCTCATCCAGTTTAAAGCTCCCCCCACCTCACCCCTATCCCTGTCTAAGAAGCTAATAGAGTCTTTTCTTTTCCATTTCCTCCTTTTCTTTCCACTCACTCTGATGCTACTGGGTCTTCCTCTTCACCTAGTATATTGGGACCAGGGGATGAGAGAAAGAGAAAGAAATGTTATGCATGCCTTACTGAGGAAGGCACACCAATGAAGCTTCTAGAAAGTCAAATGCTGCTTAGTGGGCATGTGAAGTGTATTAGGCCATTCTTGCACTGCTATAAAGAAATACTTGACACTGTGAAAGTTATAAGAAAAAAAGCTTAATTGGCTCACAGTTCTGCAGGCTGTACAGGAAGCATAATGCTGGGATCTGCTTCTGGGGAGGCCTCAGGAAGCTTTTTACTCATGGCAGAAGGCAAACAGCAAGCAGGCACACCACACAGTGAAAGCAGGAACAGGGATGGGGGGTGTCACACACCTTTTTTTGGAGACGGAGTCTCGCTCTGTCACCCAGGCTGGAGTGCTGTGGCACCATCTCAGCTCACTGCAACCTCCACCTCCAGGGCTCAAGTGAGTCTCCTGCTTCAGCTTCCCAAGTAGCTGGGACTACAGGTGTGCGCCACCACACCCATCTAATTTTTGTATTTTTAGTAGAGATAGGGTTTCACCATGTTGGCCAGGCTGGTCTCAAACTCCTGAACTCAGGTGATCCACATACCTCGGCCTCCCAAAGTGTTGGGATTACAGGCGTGAGCCACCACACCTGGCTGCCACATGCTTTTAAACAGCCAGATCACCCATGAACTCGCTATCGTGAGGAAAGCACCAAGGGGATGGTACTAAACCATTCGTGAGAGACCTACCCCCATGAACCAACCACCTCCCACCAGGCCCCATCCTGCCCCCAGCATTGGGGATTACATTTCAATATGAGATTTCAGCAGTGATAAATATCCAAACTATATCATGGGGCACACAGTGGAGCTGACTGTACAAATCTTGTTCACTAAATCATTTTTCAGTTTGCCAAGTTTCCATTTACAATGGGGAGAGAATTTGCCCAAAATATCATCATCCACTGCAATCATCCCACACTTCAGAAAAACATAAGATGGCTGGCAGCCATTGCTCCAAGGGAAACCGTGATGATAGAAATGGCCAACCAGTTTCTCTTCTCAGTCGCCCTCCTACCCTGAAGGATTTGTCTATTCACATCAGCCATTTCAATTGTAAACATTTATGTCTGATAGTCTCATAGCTTAGCATCCCGGGAGAGAGGGAGAGAAAAGAAAATGCAGAACAGAAAGGGGTAGATGGAAGATCCCCAAAGGAAAGCCTCAGCAGAAGGTCCAGGGAAATAAAGTGGAACCGCTCCTCCATCAAAGTCGTGGAGCTGTGGCTTCCCCGTCCTTCATCGGAGTCAGCTGGGGCATAGAGCCACAGGAGGAAACCTTCCTGCAGCAGCTTCGTTAGAAAACACGGCTCTGTTTTCCTCCCAAGGCTCCCCTGCAACCTTGCCCCCATAGGCTGGCACATGCCCAGCACCCACCCTGGGACCCAGCCTTCAGCTGCAGCCACCCTTCCCCTGGGACATGTCTCTAGCCCATCTGCCTCCGTGTCATCTCTGAGGAGGAAAAGCAGCAGTAACAGTAATTCAACAAGACGAGCTCATAACACCCATTACCCCCACTGAACACACTGTGTAGTGCTCAACCCCTTCTGTCTGTCAGAAGGGATTCCAGGAGCAGTCACATAAGGAGAACAGGAGAGGGAGCTCAGGATTGCCCAAGGACTCCGGTGACTTAAGGAGACAGATGCTGTATTAGTCCGTTTTCACGCTTCTGATAAAGACATACCTGAGACTGGGCAATTTACAAAAGAAAGAGGTTTATTGGACTTACTGTTCCATGTGGCTGGGGAGGTGGAAGGTGAAAGGCAGCAGCAAGAGAGAGAATGAGAACCAAGCAAAAGGGGTTTCCCCTTATCAAACCATCAGATCTCATGAGACTTATTCACTACCAAGAGAACAGTATGAAGGAAACCACCCCCATGATTCAATTATCTCCCACCGGGTCCCTCCCACAACACATGGGAATTATGGGAGTAAAACTCAAGGTGAGATTTGGGTGGGGACACAACCAAACCATATGAGATGTTTAACATTACTAACAAAATGTTCAGAAGCAATGTCCCTTTCCCCACTCACACACAAAAGGTGACGTTTGAGTCTTGAATGCAGCCTTATTTTTAGCAGCTGTTTGTTGTTGTTGTTGTTGTTGTTGCATTGCTCAGTCAGCATCATCTTTTGGTGGTTGTGGAGTCCTTGTATTCACCACTGGATAGTGGGGGCTGGAGTTCATATCCCAAACAGGACACACTGACTGCAAGGCCACCATCCTCTGCCGGGCCCTGCCCTTTAGACCACTGCTTAAACCTCAAAGATGAACTCCTCACCAAAAAGGAGGGAGGATGCCATCTACCGTGCCAGGTAGCTAGGAGGACTGGGTGAGAACCGGTTACTGTGCCACCCCGTAGAATGAGGTCCATGGGTCGCCTTGCCCTGCCTTCAGTGTCCTGTCGGTGAGTCTGTCCAGGAATTCCTGTGGAGTGATAAGAGGAGAAACACTTCTCCTTACCTCGAAAGGAGCATGGCACATGTTCTCTGCTTATTGAATGAATGAAAAGGTCACTCATAACTTGTGGAAAACGCCTAGAACAGAACCTGCCTCAGAGAAGGTGCTTAACAAATAAAACCAGTGGGAAGGGGCAGTGGAGGGGTGTGTGACTGACAGTGGGAAGCCTCATGAAGCAACGAGACCTCTGCTTTGCCACTTCCTGCCTTATGCATGTCACTGGCCTTTTAAGCCTCAATTTCCCCAACTGTAAATTCCACCTACAATGCAAAGTTGTTTCAGGGACTAAAGATAAATAGTTGTTTAAAAAAAAAAAAAAAGGCCAAGTACTGGGGAATCCAAAAGACCTTTCAGTTCAGAACCAGGAGGCAGAGAAGCAGCATTTCCAGGGCTTTGAATAAAGAGGGTGATCAGGAGGCAGGGGAGACGAGAGAGTGGAAGCCTGGACAGGCTCTGGCTGAGAGAAGAGGTATCTGGGCAGAGCATGCAGGGAGCATGGAGGCTTGGCAGGCAGCTGAGACAGGTGGGAGCAGGTGGGTGAGACAGGTGGGTAAAGGAAGGAGGAAACAGTGGGAGAGCCCAGGCTGAGGCCTCCAGGCCTTGTGCCCTGGGAAGGGACTAGGAAAAGCCAGTGCTTTGGGAAGGTGCTGGAGGGTGGATGGGAGGGTGTGCAGGGAGTGGCCAAAGTCCCACATCCCCCCACCCCATAGACATGAATTGGAATGACATTGATTCAACAGTCCTTGATGGGTTCATCTCTATTAACTCCTGCCTTTTGGCTCAAGTTACTTTTTCTTTCTGCTGTTAACCCTGGGCCCCTGTAACAACCTGTCATTGCAGTCATTATCGAAAACAGAGATGAGGCACCCAGAGATTAATGTGTTTGTCCAAGTTGCTTCATATCAGAAGCTGTTGAGACAACATGGTGTCTCCTTAATCCTTGCAAGATAAAGACAAAGTTGTTCTGACATCCTCAGATGGGAATTCTACCCTTAGATCCCAACGGTGACTGTTCTACCCTGACCCCAGGCCTTTCTGACTTTTGCCTTTCTATCAGGACAGCAGGAAACCCACTCACAAAATCTTGCCTTGGAGTAAAAGGCTCAGCCAAGGCTGGGTCCCAGACATAGACCTGCAAAGGCTTCAGGGATGCTTTCCCTACTGAGCTATTTCTTCTTCCACTGGTGGCATTGATACAGAGAAGGCAATGAAATGACAAACAGTAAGCTTTCCCCACTGGGCCATTTCTTCCACTGGTGACGTTGATAGGAGGGATTGAAATGATAGTGTTTCAAGGATGGGCCTGGGTCCTGGGGTCAGGTCTGAGAGGTCCCCACGATTGTTATCACTGAGTAGCTCCCAGCCAGCCCAGGCCTCTCCTCTCCTCACCTTCTCATGGGCATTGCCATACATACGTTCCAAAATGCTGCTTATACCTAAACAGATTGATGGAAATTTCAAGCGTATTCTGGGAACCTGGAAAGCCAAAGGGATATTCTTAGGATCCAGGAGCTGTTGCTGGAGCAGGTGGGGATGGTTTTGTTATTAATAACCTCTGTTGTGGTTCTTGTATCAAACTGCACCTTGACTTATTTTGGATAACTTGAAAAACGCATGCAGGCAAAAAGGAAACAAGCTCCCACTATGCCCATCATCCAGAGATAAACACACATTGCCCTCTAAATTTCTAGGTTTTTTGGCAGGGCACGGTGGCTCATGCCTGTAATCTCAACACTTTGAGAGGCCAAGGTAGGAGGATCACTTAAGCCCAGGAGTTTGAGAGCAGCCTGGGAAACATAGCAAGACCCTGTCAATACAAAAATAAAACAAAAAAAAATTAGCCAAGCATGGGGGCACTCGGCTATAGTCCCAGCTACTTGGGAGACTGAGGCAGGAGGATTGCTGGAGCCCAGAAGTTCAGGGCTGCAGTGAGCCATGATCACGCCACTGCACTCCAGGCTAGATGATAGAGCAAGACCCTGTCTCTAAAAAAATTAATTAAAATTAAAATTAAAATCAATTAAAAAATAAAATGAAAAATTTCTGGTTTCTTTTTCTTTTTTTTTTTTTTTTTTTGAGATGGAGTCTCATTCTGTCACTCAGGCTAGAGTGCAGTGGTGTGATCTTGGCTCACTGCAAGCTCCGCCTCCCAGGTTCACGCCATTCTCCTGCCTCAGCCTCCCCAGTAGCTGAGACTACATGCACCCACCACCACACCTAGCTAATTTTTTGTATTTTTAGTAGAGACGGGGTTTCACCATGTTAGCCAGGATGGTCTCTATCTCCTGACCTCGCAATCCGCCGGCCTTGGCCTCCCAAAGTGCTGGAATTACAGGCGTGAACCACCACATCCGGCCAATTTCTGGTATTCTTCATATACGCATAGATATATTTAAGCTTTTTCAAAATGGGACTGTACAGTGGTGCTATTTTGTAACCTGATCTGTTCACATCCACTGCAAATGTATTTCCATGCCATTAAATAGGCTCTCACACCTTCATTTTTAATGACTGCCACCGTGTACCAGCAGACGTGCCCCAGTCAATTTGTTGTTTCTTTCCCATGCCCGTGGTTCTGCTACTTAAATCATTGCCCACTCTAAAAAAGTGCCAAGGTTTAGCCAACTAGAAGCTCTTCATTAAAAATGAAAAGAGCATCTGCAGCCCTCCAGAGGGTGGGCCAGTGTCCTCATTCCTCTGAAAGGTATCTGTGTTGCAGATAGCAGCCTGGCCATTAGCCAGCTAGGCTGTGCACGTGGAAAAGCCTGGCCATTACCCAGCTATAGGCTGTGCACGTGGAAAAGGGGACTGGTCATATTTCCCTGTGGACTTCTTTAGAGAGGCTGAGCTGCTTAAAAAAATTTTTTCTTTAAAAAGAAGAAAATGTTTTGTAATTGTTTGCAAGTGCACACAGGCTCAGTGGCAAAACGAGAAGGAACCCTTGATTTCTAACGTCCTGCTGCACTGTTCAAAATTCCTCCCAGAGAAGCAAATAGGAAGCAAAGTGAAGCGCTCTGACTGTAAAATTTGCATCCTCCCTTAGCCAGTCCTGGTCCCAAAGGACTCCACATCAAACTGTACTTGTTTGTAAAGATCTTTCACTCAAGACAGACCACTTCTCAAGACACTGCTGATGTAGAAACGAGACAATCCAAAGGGAGAATTTAAAATACTGAGAGCCTCTAGGTAAAAATATAAATGGATTTAAGGGCAGCCGGGAAACCCTCAATGGATGATCTTGTTCAGAGCCCCAGTTAGGTTAATATAGTAGGAAAAGCAGCGGCAATATAAAGAAAAGCTGAAAGATGTTAATTAATGGAATGTGTTTGTTCAATATGTTTTTAGGGAATACCAATAGTGTGATAGGCACTATGATAGGCACTGGGAATCAGAGATAAACAAAGCCTCCATTTCTACACCCAAGGAGTTGAAGGTGCCAAGATTTATTTTTTTTTTTTTTTGAGACAGAGTCTCGCTCTGTTGCCCCCAGGCTGGATGGAGTTCAGGGGCACGATCTTGGCTCACTGCAACCTCCACCTCCCGGGTTTAAGTGATTCTCCTGCCTCAGCCTCCCGAGTGGCTGGGATTACATGCATCCACCACTATGCCCGGCTAATTTTATATTTTTAGTAGAGATGGGTTTTCACCATGTTGGCCAGGCTGTTCTCAAACTCCTGACCTCAGGTGATCCACTCACCTCAGACTCCCAAAGTGCTGGGATTACCGGCATGAGCCACCGCGCCTGGCCCAACAAATATTTGAAATATGGGGTGACCAATGTGCCTGGGCACATAGTGCAAGACATGTGACAACACAGAGGTGTGACCCCTCTACCTGGTGGCACAGGAAGGCTTCCAAGAGGAAGGAAAGATGGGACTGTGTGGGCCATCACGTGCAGCGGGGCAACCTGGAAGGAGCAAGCAGAGGGCATGGGGGCATGGCACGGCAGAGTGTGCTCTCAGCACCATACCTGGTCAGGCAGAATTGAAGCATGGAGAGGCGGCGCCTCAGGAGGTGAACCCGGTGAGCCCCCAGGAGCTGGATCATGATGTGTCCTGGGTCCTGAAGAGAGCAGTGTGGGCTTCGCCCAGCAGGCAGGGGGAGTGGTGGGGTTGTTGGCAGGCACATTTGATTGGCACTGGAAAGGCTCTTTCCAGATAGTATGCAGTTTGCTAGATTGCAGCAAGGGGCAAATGAAGAGACTTATAAGCATTCCGAGAAACGATGTGGCCTCAACAAAGGACAGTGACACTGGGAGTGGAGGGAGGAAGCAGTTCAGGTGATGAGATGGCTCAGTGACCAGTTGAAATGGGGCAGGGAAATAGAAAGACAGGAAAATGGCAAGAAGCAAGTCATCTAGAGCAAGACCCCAAATAAGCCAAAGACGACTAACTCTGGGCCAAGATGATCAAGAGGGAGTGCCTTCCTTAGGCCTGGGGAAGAGGGAGGCAACAGCTGTTGTCAAAACAGATTCTAATCAGTGTTGAAACAGATGTGTTTGCAGAAGGCAGGCAGGTGAGGGAGTTCCTGGGAGCTGCACCCTGAATGAAGCTGATGTAGACAGCTGAAAAGGAAGAGGGCGGAAGCTTGAGGACCAAGGTCAACATTAGGAGTGGTTAGTGGAGAGCAAGGCATGAGGAGGTGGCCTTAACACTGAAAGATATCAGTTAACTGAGGCCCAGCTGAGACCAAGGCCAGCTCCATGAAGGCTGCGTCCTCCAACAGGGCTCGGCAGACCCGCAGAGAAAAGGAGGGGGGTGAAGAATGGACTCCGGCTTGAAGATTCGGCCATTTGAGTAGGGGATGGCCATGGTCCCCTCCATTCAAGGGAACTGAGGATGCAGATGACGAGGTGACCACAGTGCTGCCCAGGAAAGGAACTGAAGCCAGGAAGGGTAGAGAGAAACGAGAGGTCCAGGGCTCAGGTCTCCATAGAGCAAAGATGGCAAGTAGGACCAACAGGCATTGGGGAGCTAGAGGACTAGGGCTGTAGTCTGAAGTCGGCATGTTTGCAGACTTCCAAGGCTGGAGCGGCCTTATCGATGGCAGGTGACTATGGGAGCAGGTGGCTGAAGTTGGGGGTGGGCTTGTGTTTTTCCGTGTCCATGAAGGACAAGGACCAGCGGAGGGCAGAGGGTCTGTATGACTGTCTTCCGGCTTCCAGGCTGGGGCACACTTCTCACCAGGCATCTGAGCCTAGGCTGAGCTGTTTAGAGTGCCCCCAGGGGATGGGAGAGGCTCTGAGGAAGCCTGGTGCCTGGGGTAGAGGACAGTCATGCTCCTGGAGGCAGCAGAAGGAAGACACTCGTCTCTGGGGAAGACCGCAGGCTCCCATGGGGGTCTAGAAGCTCCTGGAGACCACTGGGGAATTCAGGTGCAGCCAATATCCAGTCTGTTCAAGCAGCACAGGTAGGCTCACAACAGGGCCTGGTTGTGCTTCCCACCTAATGCTCCCCGGACTGTCAGAGGACAGGGTGGTGCCAGCCTGAGTCAGTGTCCTGAGGGATGGGGAAAGTCCCTTCGTGGTGCAAGGCAAGGCTTGCCTCACACCCTCACAAAGCTGAGCGGTTTCCAGAAGGGCTAGATGGGGGCCGGGAAAGAGTCTGACCCCCAAGGGCCTCTCCTTAGAACTGTGACTGCCAAACCCTTAACCTCCAGGTGTGACAAAGAGCTCAGGTAACCAGTGCATGGAGCACCGTCATTTGAACCACATCACCTTCCCAGGAAGCTCCAAGCAGTTAAAATTTCCTTATAAATTGTAACTCTGCACGTGGATTCTTATGGCATATCCTTTGCTATTTACACCACTCAGGAGCTGGTTTTGCCATAATCTCTTTTTTTTTTTTTTTTTTTCCAGTTTAGTTTGAACTCCTGACGCCTTGGTATGGGAGAGCGGAGCATGTCTTTTCATTCAGAGGTCACTTGATATTTTGCAGCAGCAGGCCGGGGGTGGAAGGGTGCGGGCGTCCTGCGTGGCGCCCGAGTGACAGGCCCTGGCTTCCCACAGGTGCGCGCAGGCGCTGCTGGAGCACGGGGCCTCGGTGCAGCGCGTGGGCGGCACGGGCCGGGACACGCCGCTGCACGTGGCGGCGCAGCGCGGCCTGGACGAGCACGCGCGCCTGTACCTGGGCCGCGGGGCGCACGTGGACGCGAGGAACGGCCGCGGAGAGACGGCTCTGAGCGCGGCCTGCGGTGCGGCGCGGAGGCCCGACGAGCACGGGCGCTGCCTGCGCCTGTGCGCGCTGCTGCTGCGGCGCGGGGCGGAGGCGGACGCGCGCGACGAGGACGAGCGCAGCCCGCTGCACAAAGCCTGCGGCCACGCGAGCCACAGCCTGGCGCGCCTCCTACTGCGGCACGGCGCCGACGCGGGCGCGCTCGACTATGGCGGGGCCTCGCCGCTGGGCCGCGTGCTCCAGACCGCATCCTGCGCTCTCCAGGCCTCACCGCAGCGCACGGTGCAGGCGCTGCTCAACCACGGCTCTCCCACCGTGTGGCCCGACGCCTTCCCCAAGGTAAGGCAGGATCCAGCCCGGCTGGCACGTGCCCTGGAGTTTTGCCACTTAGTGACCGGCCTGGGAGCTGGGTTGCATGCGGCGCTCTCAAAGTGTAATGGCCCAGGCACCCCTGGGGACTTGTGAAAATGCAGAATCTGCTCTGCCGGTCTGGGGTGGGAGAGCCTGCATTGCCAACAAGCTCCCGGGTGTGGCCTAGACTGCTGTTCCTGGGACCCCATTTTGAGGAACAGGGGCCTAGAAGCCTTCTGGTTAGAGCCACGAGACAATTAAGGGGTTGCATGTGAAGAATGCATCCTTTCAAAGTAGTCACCTGGGGACGGACGCCAGGCACTTATTTCGATGATGCAGTCAGAGCTCAAAATATTTTGGCAGCTCATCATCAGTGTCATTTTCAGAACGATGAAAATCAGTCTTTTGCCACATCTGGCATTTGATCTGAAACAAAATTACCCAATCTGATCATCCACCTTGTTAATGAGAGTGCTTCGTACATTTGCAGACTTCTCTCATTCGGTCCTCACCACATTGCAGTGAAACACGAGAGGCAGGTGATATTCTCCCTCTACCTGGGGTTCGGTCAGGTGAAGTGCCCTGCCCAGGTCATTGCAGTGTTGGGACCTCACCCCCATTCTGCTGGCTCACCCTTGCAGACTTGACTCTGAACAACTCATCCTTGTTCCACCCGTCAGATCTACCCTGAAATAATAATGATAAAGAATAAAGATTTCTCACCTCAGAAAATAACCCAAAAGACTGAAAATGTTTCCAAAATATTGGCTGGAGTAACAGGTTGTCCTCCCGAAAAGACTTCATTGAAGGGAAGTCATTCCATTAGATGTAAAATCCGGGTGTGTTTAATTTAAAAATTATCTCCATCAACCAAGACTCATCACTCATAGACATAAGACATATTTTGGCCTGATTAGTTTTGAACAAATAGCTGAAAAGCTAATATTCAAAAGTACAGTGTTCTCAGTGGTCTGAACCATCGAGAAGTGAGATTCACTCATTTCTCTCAAATGCTAACTTTCCATTATAGATGCGTTCAGAGTAGACTGTGCCTCTGAAAGGTTAGAAAATCCCCCGAGACAACTCCCCTAGTGTTTGCTCACTTGACAAACAGGATGGCACTTTCCCGATGCTGTCTCACCCCCTCTTTGGGTAATTGTCTTGTGGTGCTCCACTAAGGCAATGATTTCAATATAGTGGACTCCTGAAAGGGAAGAAATGCTAGCATTTTTATGTTCTGTGACAGCTACCTTTTATATTTATAATTTACATTTTAATGTTTCCCATCATTAGCAGGCTTAGTTCATCAACTTATAACATGGAAACAAGACTCACTGCCCTTCCCATGCACACTGTGTCTGCATTAAACCAACACACACTTCAGCCCTTGTCATATGCAACTGCATAAAGAATGAAAAGAGGCCAGGCATGGTGACTCACACCTGTAATCCCAGCACTTTGGGAGGCTGAGGCAGGAGGATCACTTGAGTCCAGGAGTTTAAGACCAGCCTGGGCAACATAGCAAGATCCTATCTCTACAAAAATTTTTTTAAAAAAATTAGCAGGGCCTGGTGGCATGCACCTGTAGTCCCAGCTACTCAGGAGGCTGAGGCAGGAGGATTACCTAAACCCAGGATGTGGAGGCTGCAGTGAGCTGTGATAGCAACACTACACTCCAGCCTGGGTGATAGAGCAAGACCCTGTCTCCAAAAAAAGGAATGAAAAGAGAAAACAAAGTTACAGGATGGGCCAAAAGGGGAAAATATCTGGGCCAATTATTTTTTTCTGACTTACTTATTCAGGGAAGAATGGGGCAATTTATTTTAAAGAAAAAAAAAGGAGTCAATATATTTCAGTAGCGACTAGAAATAATCCTTTGTTAGCCTTGAAATTGTTTCAATTTGAGTGATCTCTGACCAGGCTTTCAAATCCTAGGGGCAGCCCCACAGGCATCATTTCTAGGAACAGGACCTCTGACCCCTGGACTCTGTTTCCAAGGCTGTAGAAATTACACTGCCTTGACTAGAGATGCAGGACAAAGCACAGCACCTCCTCTCTAGGTGCTCAGGGGCCCTGTTCTGGGATGGGATCCCCAGTACTATGTCAGCCACACAGAAATGGGGTCAGTCAGTGGTGCAACTCATCCTCCATTCAGGTTGGGGGTAGGTTTAGATTTGTTGTACCTGGGGGCCAAAAAGCCATGGGAAGTGCTTGACAAGGAATCTTGTCAGTTCCCACCCATCCTGGAAGGAATTGGAGTTTTCTTGAGAAATCTTAATACCTTGAGGCTTTTGCAAAAAGCGTTGCCCACCGCTGCCTCCCTGAACATGGCGCCTGCAAGCACAGACCTTCCATCAGTGTTTGTTGAATGAATGAAAGGGATTCCAGCCACTGCAGGCTCATGGCCTGCATTAAATCTTTGGAAATAAGGATTCCACCTTTTTGCACTGGGATTCCCCCACACCTCCAGTGGGTACCCCTACACCTGGCCAGGAGAGGATGGTGGATGAGGATGCATTCACCATGCTGAGAATCCCACAAGCAAAGGCAGCAGTGCCTGTAATGTTCTAGCTTGGTCCCCACAACCGAAGCAAAACTCTGTGGAAAGCTAGAGGCAGCCTCTTCCTCCACCCAGTCTCCCTGCAATCGCTCCTCCAGGGACGGCATCTAATCATGTGCGACATCAAAGCAACAGACGCTGCAGCCAGCCACAAAGATGCTGGGCAGGCACCACACGGGCGCCATGGCGAGCCGAGCGTAGAGTCACCAGCACTGTCACAGGGCAAGCCGTCCGTGGGCAGCAGCCGTACTGTGAATAGATGTAAAGAGACACCCATGGAGCGCAGAATTACCGAGGCAAAAGGTTTCACAGCGAGCTTATGACATAAATCACAGCTCCCCATGCCCAGACAAAGGCACCATCGTCGCGGCAGGCGGACACAGGGCATCCTTCCGAGCCGGCGCAGTGCTCTGCAGTGAGAATCAAAGTAGTGTCACGGCTTCGGAAGCCCACGTGTTGACAGTGCCAGGCCTTTCTGCCTGGCTGACCGCTAGTTAACACTGGGGGCAGGGACAGGGCACCGAGGGCAGGCATAGGGGGCAGGCTGTGGATTCTGGCAGGTTTGGATTCTGGAAGATGTCAGGGCAGGCTGGGGCTGGGCCTGTTGGACAGCAGGTAGGAAGGCAGAGAAGCACACACAGACGTGGACCTGAACTTGTTTGGCATCTGCCACAGGTGACTTTTTGGGCTGGATGCTTGGTCTGGATAAAAGGCTGTGCTCAGGGGTCTCTCTCCTTCAGCCTCTCCTTACCTGGAATACGAATCTGTGAAACAGTCATGAAGTCCCATGTGATCTTTTTCCAAGGAAGCACTACTTTGCTCTTCTCTCCTCTTTGAGGAGCACATTTCTGGTTTGACCCCAGAAAATGATGGAGCATCAAAGCGTGTGGGAAGATGTAAGTCCAGCCCCGCTCCAAGATGGGACACAGAGCTGACAGTAGCAGCACGCAGCCAGGGCTCAAACCCCTGCCCTCCACTGCCTCCTTCACAGGTGTTCCTTTGGGAACCTCCTTGATTCACCGCTCAGTTTACATGGCCAGCTTTATTTGTCCCTGGATGTCACCTGACACCCGTCCATGAACACTTTTCATTTGCAGTCAGCATGCGTGGCCAGCACATTCCAGCCCCTCCTACCCTGTCTCCTATTTTGTGCTATTTCCCAAAGGCCTTCTGTTTCCTGTGGTGCAGAGGCCAGCAGCAGCCCGGGAAAACGCACCTGCAGGTGACTGTAAAGAGTTCAGACTCTCACCTGGCAGAGGAGATGCCATGATCACAAAGGTGGTTTTCTCAGGGTGAGACTTATGGATTGCATTCCGGGTCTGATGACCCGCACGGTTTTCCCAGATATGAGAAACTCATAGATGCAGAAACTGCATAATTTATGGTTGAGAGGGACTGCATTTCTACTTTACCCTGTGTAAAAATGAAATACTAATAATACTTCAGACTCATACTTGTCCACCAGTCGGGGAAGTGCAGGGACAACACCAGTAATGAAGGATTTCCCCCAAGTCATGTAGGCATCGGCTATGCTTCCCACGGGCATCCCTTTAGTACTTATGTATTCATTCAACAAACATTTTGGGGGAACTTGGGTGCTTGGTACTGGAGTCACAGTGAGGAGCAGGAGCATGTGTATTTCCCACCCTGGTGGAGCTGCCTGTCACGTGGATCAGACAAGTACACACACTAAGGTGAAGTTGCCATGGTGAGAAGTGCTGCAAAGCCGAGGCTCACTTCACCTTGAAAGCACAGAACAGGGGTTTCACCTGGCTGGGGGGCAGGGTCCAAGGCTCCCTCAAGTGTGTGATGAGTGAGCCGAGATCTGAAGGCTGAAGGCTTATCTTTGTGAAGCGGGGGACAAACATTCTAGACAGACGTCCTGGGCAAATGTCCTGGAGCAGGACAGGCACGGCAATGTGTGCAGTTGGAAAAATGAGCTAGTCGTTGGAGAGGAAACAGCTAGGGGGCACCAGTTGAGACTAGGCAGCCAGGCAGGGCCTTAAGGGCCTGGGCCTCTGACTTTGGAATATTGGGAGTTGATTACATCATTTTCAAGGAAGGAGATGACATCATCCAATCAGTATTTTGGAATTTCTAAGCTCGACGTAGAGAACACACCAGGTAGGGGGCTGATGGAAACCACAGGCTGTGGTGGCAGTCCAGGTAAGGGATTCACATAGCTTGCATGGGGGATGGAGGTTGGTGCAAGAATAACAGATTCTAGGCCAGAGGCAATAGCTCACGCCTATAATCCTAGCACTCTGGGAGGCACAAGGATGACTTGAGCCCAGCAGTTTGAGACTGGCCTAGACAACATAGTGAGACACCATCTCCACAAAAAATTAAATTACCTGGGCATGGTGGCATGCAACTGTAGTCCCAGTTACTCAGGAGGCTGAGACAGGAGGATTACCTAAACCCAGGGGGTGGAAGCTGCAGTGAGCCATGATTGCAATACTACACTCCAGCCTGGACGACAGAGCAAGACCTTGTCTTAAAAAAAAAAAAAAAAAGCAGATTCTAGAAACATCTGCAAATCTCTGGTCTTGTCTCAGCTTCTGGGCACTAACCATACTGAAAATGGAGACCTAAAGTTTTCATGTTTTCTTTTTACCTAATTACTAAATCAGGTAAAGGGACTTCGCTTATCCCAATTCCACAGGATTTTTAGTGGGAGATTTCTGGAGTAGCAGTAGTCAAAAACCAGGGCTCCCCCTCCCATCTTCACAGAGTTGCGTGCACCCAGTCCCCAGTGGGAGGAGAGAGGGGAGATCATAAGTAGGGCGCCTGTGTTTTTCTTGCTGTCGTTTTATTTCTCCATCTACATATAAAGCAATGTGCCTGTGTGATTTTTCCCCTTAATTTTCTTTCTGCCGCCTCATTAGCTGAAGAGAGTGTGGTGTGCGTGGACACTAATGACATCAGCATGTCAGAGTAATGTGGCAGCCGCCTCTCCGCAGACAGCAAGGAGGCCGCGGAGATTTTTAAACTGTGTTGGCGTAAAAATAATGAAGGCAGCCAGCTGCCTGGCAAACATGAGGGGGCACGATGCAGAGGACGGGGAGGGGCAGGGAGCCCCAGAGAGGTGGAACAGAGGAGAGACAGAAAATGAATTCCCAGAGACAGGCAATAAGACTCTGTCACAGTCTGTGACCCGGTGGGGGAGGGGCGGGAGGAGGTGGTGCTTTTGCTCTAATGGAGGGCACCTCTTCCCAGGGTGGGGCATGTCCGGGTTACCTGCAGTCCCTGGGAGCCATTTAACATTTTGCAGAGAAGTGACAGGGCCAGTGGGAGGGTCGCTGGAGGTTTGCAGTGAGCAAGACCTGAGCATCGCCTAGGGTACCAGATAAATAGCAGCAGACTCCATCCCGAGGGGTCCAGCGTGAGTCCTTCTTAATGGCGTGATTTTTTTCCCAACACAGAAGGGGATGATTGAAATCAGAGACTGCCGTGCACGAGGAAATGGCATGTTAGTGGGGCTCGTGTGAGCCAGAAATATCAACATGTGTGGGGCGCAGAGAGGGACAGGGCTGGCGAGATGGGCTGGGAAGACCGTGCTGGCCCCAGGCCTCCTGCCAGGCACTCCCTCTGTGGCTTGGTTTCTCCGTGTCTCCGTGTTCATGCTCTGTCTCTCTCTTTCCGTAAAGCCTGCCAAGCCTGACTCAGTGACAGTAATGGATGAGAACAAAAATAATTGGGCATGGGGAGGGGACCACCGATAATAGCTCTTATGATGTCGATATGATGCCCAGTCTAGAAAGAACAGCTCCTGTCCTCCAAAAGATAGCTTTGAAGGCACAGATGAGAGGAAGGAAGAAAGAAAAGGAGGGAAAGAGAGAGAGGAAATCCACAGCAACAAGGCAACCTCATGTCTGAGTCTAGGAAGACCCAGACCCAATGTCCTTCTGCTGCACGGCCGTAAGTTTCCAGGCTGTCAGGCAGACATTACCAAAAAAAAAAAAAAAAAGTCAGCCAGGCAGTGGGGGAAGCCTGTGAAGCCACAGTAAAGTGCAGATGTGAAAATCGGGGGAACCCAGCTTTCAGAGCAACTTGCCAACTGCCAGGAAGAGGGTAGCAGGAAGAAGCCTCCAGGCCGAAGCTCAAGTCCACCGGGCAAACCGTCCAACCGGGAACGGGGCTGGGCCAGGCCCTCGTCCCCCTCCCTCCACGTCTCCCGGCTGGGCACAGAGTAGGACCACAGACTTCCCCTGCATGTTGGCAAAATTTGCATCTGGTTCTCTCCTTAATCAAAGACTAATAAAGAGAAAAAGGAATAGATTCATGGGGGAAAAGAGGACAAACCGAAAAATAGAACAGCATCCAGAAAACAGGAGATCCAAGAAAATCTCAGAAAGTATGTGCCATCCTCTATGGAGTACAAGAAGACATAGCTTGTGGGATTCATCGAAACAGTACTGGTTAAGATGAAAACTCAATAGAATGACATGAAAAGGAAGATGGAGGAGATAGTTACACCAAGAAACTAACAGCACAGTCAGATTGAAGTATACACTAAAGAAGGAAAAGGCAGAGTTGATTCATAAAGAAAGAATCAAATCCGTGCTGGGCCATTGGCCCGTGTGCCCTCAGACCCTTTCCTGCTGTTCCTGGGTCCTGCTCTGCATCCTGGGTGACAGGGGGAAAGGGAAAGCCCCCTCAAGCTGCACTCAGAGCCCCCATCAGCTGGCTTCTAGTCGGACTCAGCCAATGGGAGACACCATGGGAAACGAGTGTGGAGGAAGAAAGAAACCAGGGTATTTCTCTCTTTTGTCTCTGTCTTGTGTAGCTTCACCAGCAGCACCTGCATCGTCTCTGTGACACCAACACCCACCAGACAGTCCCTCCCTTCATGGCCCCAGTCCCCAGTGGGTAGCCCCTGACTCAACTTGCTTCCAGCGGATGGCCCTGGTCTCTGGACTCTGATTAGACTACCTCATCCCACTATCCCACCAACTCTTAAGAGTAATGACAGCTTTCTATTTCGCTAATCTCTAGGCTACTTCACCTTCCCCTTGTTGGAATCTCAGCAGTTTGATTACCTACGTAACCAATTCCATGTGTAAAGTTGTTTCTGGTTGAAATACCTAGAGTGGTTTCCTTTGCCTGATTGGACTCTGATACAGGTGGTTTAAATCACAAGTAGCAGAAAACCCAATTCAAACAGGTTTAAATAAGGAAATGCATCTTTTTATCTCATATAACAGTAAGTGCAGAAGTAGCAGGCTTCAGAATTGGTTGTTTCAGTGTCTGGATGATGTCCTCAAAGAACCTGGTGCTTCCCAACTCTCTGCTCTGCCAACCTCAGTGAGTCAGCTTTGTCCTCAGAATGCCTCCCTCATGGTCACAAGATGGCTTCCAGCAACAATGGGCCCGTTTCCTTGTTCATATCCTGTTGTTCCTTTTTTCTAGAAACCCTGAGGAGGTGTCCTCAGTTGGCTTAAACCTACCCTTCTCTGAACCAATAACTGGCAAAGGAGATTGGTTTACCATGATTGGATTAAACTAATCATCTGAATTGTTGGAAAGTCAACCTCAGTGTTCACTATAATGAAATACTAATGACAAAAACTATTCTTAAGTGCAAAAAAAAAAAAAACCCAAGAAACTAAAAGAGAAAGTGATGGTAATAAAGGATAGAGAGCCAACCCACAGATAAGTGATGTTACTGCAGAAGGAGCCTAGGACAAATGGATCAGAAATAATAACCAAAGACATAATAGAAGAAAACTTAGCTGCACTGAAAGTCTTAACTTTTGGTTGGCAATCGAAAAGGGTGTTCTCTGCAAATCAATGACAGGAGGCACATACCTATATACATTCTAACAAAAATGTTCTAAAAAGACATGGAAAAATCTGGCAAAGTATTTAAGCAGAAAACAGGCTATTCATAAAGGAATAAAAACCAGGCTGGACTCAGATGTTTCTGCTGTAATAGTAACATAAGACAATGAAATATCATCCACCGATTTTGAAAGGAAAATTTGGACACTAGAATTTTAGACTCAGTGAAGATACTTTCATTTTGATGATGAAAGACACTTTTAGATATCAAGGGTTCATAAAACATGCCTTTCTAATGCATTTTCTGAAAAAGAAAAAATACTTCAATTATTTATCAAAAAGTATTTGCTGAGCACCAGTCATGTCCCAGCAATATACTAGGCACATAGGATAAGTGAGTGAACAGATAAGGGGAAAGAAGTATTCCTGCCTATGTGGAGCTTACATTCTAATGGGGAAGACAGGCATTAAATATTGAGCATGATCAACAGACCAAAAAAGTGATAAGGACTATAGAGAAATTAAAAGGGTGGAAGGCAGTTGCAATTTTAAGTCAGGCAGTTAGGGTCAGTGACTGCTGAACAAAGACTTGAGAGATGTGAGGGACCCACTGTGTGGATGTCTGGGGAAGAGCAGCCCAGCAGAGGACCAGCCATCTGTAGCCTAAGGCTGGAGTGGGCCAGCCCTGCGCACAGAACCACAGGGGACCAGTGTGGCCGGAGATGGAAGGAGCTAGTGGGATGGGAGTAGGAGATGAGATTAGGGGTGGTAAGGGAGAGGGCACAGGTTGTGTGGGGTCTTACAGGACATTGTAATGACTTTGACCATTGGAGGGATTTGAGCAGAGGAGTGACGCAATCCAACAATATTTTGTAAAGATCCTCCTCTTAACATCTGCCATGTTAAGCAGATGCTTGAGAAAGAGGAGAACAGATGTCGAAAGATGAGTTAGGAGGGTGTTGCTGTGATTCACAGGAGGGGTGATGGTGGTGTGGACAAGGGAGGCGATCTGACCCTGGATATATTTTGGAGGTAGAGCCAACAGGATTTTTTAACAGATGGGATGTGGAGTGTAGGAGAAACAGGAGCAATGGACGACTCTGATTCTAGCCCAAGAGACTGCAAGAATGAGTTTGCTATCACTTGGGAATGGGGCAGGTTATGGGTGGCACAGCAGGTTGGGACCTGGTGAACAAGGGAGTTCAGTTTTTGGTATGTGGAGTGTAGGAGAAACAGGAGCAATGGATGACTCTGATTCCAGCCCAAGAGACTACAAGAATGAGTTTGCTATCACTTGGGAATGGGGCAGGTTATGGGTGGCACAGCAGGTTGGGACCTGGTGAACAAGGGAGTTCAGTTTTTGGTATGTTGAGTGTGGGATACAGCCAGGTGTAGCTACAATGTAAGCAGCTGGATATCGAAGCCCAAAGTTTGAGAGGGAGAGATTTGGCCAACCTGGAGATATACCTTTGAGGGTCAGTGACAAAGGATGGTATTTAAAGCCAGGAAACCAGATAAGATCACCAGCAAGTGAGAGTAAACGGAAAAGAGGAACAGGCCTGAATGCAGGGATGGTCGAACATCTGAAGGACGGAGATGAGACAGCAGCTAAGGAAACCGAGGAGGGGCAACCAGTGAGGTGGAAGGAATGAGAGCACACCTTCCTCAAAGCCAAGTGAAGGCTGCATTGAGGTGGAAGACATCGTCAACATGTCAGGCGTGGCTGACACAGCAAGTAAAGTGAGGCAGAGCATGGACCACTGGCGAGGCAGAGCCTGGGCCAAGAGCAGCATTGGTGCCATTGGTAAGGACAGTATGGGGGAGTGGCTGGGGCTAATGGCCCATTGAGGTAGATGTACTCCAGCTGACAAAGAGATAACACTAACGAAGAGCTCAGGAAGGGGGAAATCCATCCCCAGATTCTCCCCACTCTTCCCCCTAAATATATCTCAAAATCTCCTACCCTCCTGACTGCCACCACCTGAGGTGAGGCCACCACCATCTCTCCCCTAGATGGACACATCTTCTTCACTGGGCTCTCTGTCTCCTCTAAACTATTCCCCAGATCCAGCCTTGGTGATATGTCCTTGTTTGGTTGGTTGGTTGGTTGGTTGGTTGGTTTGGTTTGGTTTGGTTTTTGAGAGGGGGTGTCACTCTGTTGCCTAGGCTGGAGTGCAGCAGTGCAATCATAGCTCACTGCAGCGTCGACCTTCCAGGCTCAAGCAATTCTTCCACCTCAGTCTCCTGGGTAGCTGGGATTACAGATGCACACCATCACACCCAGCTAAGTTTTTGTATTTTTTGTAGAAACAGGGTTTCTCCATGTTGCCCAGGCTAGTCTCAAACTCCTAGACTCAAGTCATCTGCCTGCCTTGGCTTCCCAAAGTGCTGGGATTACAGGCATGAGCCACCACACCCAGCCTTGGTGATATTTCTAAAATTAAAATCAGACCCAGCCTCTCCTCCACTCATACCTGGCAAGTGCTCCCTGTGCCAGCCTCCTTCTCAGGCAGATAATGGACTCCATGGTCTTCCCTGCTTTCCTCTCCTGTTTCATTTCCGAGCACTCCCCATGTCAGACTCATGCCCCAGCCAACATTATTTGCTCCTTCTCACCTCCCAAACCTGGCATAATACGTTTTCTCTGCCTAGAACACTCTTGTCCCCAGAACTCTCCATGCCTTTTTTTCCCCCTGCTAACTCCTGCTCCAGAGCCAGGTCTCGGCTTGGATGTCACTTCTTCCAGAAATCTTCCCCTGAACTCCCCCTCATATGACCACAGCACTGTATTGTTGTTGTTATATTTGGGACTGTAAAGCTCTGTGAAGGTGGAGCTGGCCATCATAACATGCAGACATAACACAATCCCTGCTTTCTAGTAGGAGCTCGGCAAATACCTACAGAAGGGATGGCTTAAAGGACAGGTGGTGAGCATACAACCCAGCTATAACAGGGACAAATAATTGGGAAACACATTGTAAAACTAAATGCAAATACCAAAATTGTTACTGAAGGAGATACGCAATATAAATATGATCATATAATAATGACAACCTGGAACTAAAACTCCAGTATTATTAAGAAAGGAAGGGAGAAGAACTGGTTAAGAGAGAAATGTAAGAGAAAGGATGATGGCATATCCGGAACATAAAAGATACTATTTAGATTTTTAGAGAACTATAGGTGTGTGTATATATATATATATATATATTTTTTTTTTTTTTTTTTGAGACGGAGTCTCACTCTGTCGCCAGGCTGGAGTGCAGTGGCGTGATCTCAACTCACTGCAACCTCTGCCTCCTGGGTTCAAGTGATCCTCCTGCTTCAGCCTCCTGAGTAGCTGGGACTACAGGTGCATGCCACCACACTATGTTGGCCAGGATGGTCTCCATCTCTTGACCTCGTGATCTACCCGCCTCAGCCTCCCAAAGTGTTGGGATTACAGGCGTGAGCCACTGCATGAGGCCTAGGTTGATATTTTTTTTTATTTTGAAGGTAACTAATAGCATTTTAAAGACAATGCATACTTCCAAAATACGGAAGATGAATCCAAAGAAAATACAAACATGTACAACAGAACCGGAAAACAAAGGAAACAAGAAGCAGAAAACAAAAAGAATAAAGTGAGACCAGAGTGAGACCAAACGCTTGATTTATGATAATAAATGAAAATTGCTTAAACTACCCTGTTACCAACACAGACTCTCAAATACATTTAAAACAAAGTGAAACAAAAGGTTAAAATTTAAAAATGAGGCCAGGTGTGGTGGCGCACACCTGTAATCCCAGCGCTTTGGGAGGCCGAGGAGGGTGGATGACCTGAGATCAGGGGTTTAAGACCAGCCTGGCCAACATGGTGAAACCCCATCTCTACAAAAATACAAAAAAATTAGCCAGGCATGATGGCGGGTCCCTGTAATCCCAGCTACTCGGGAGGCTGAGGCGGGAGAATTGCTTGAACCCAGGAGATGGAGGTTGCAGTGAGCCAAGATCTCGTGATTGCACCCCAGCCTGGGTGACAGAGTGAGGCTCTGTCTCAAAAAAAAAATTAAAGAATGAGCAGAGATAATTCTGGCAAAAAAAAATGTACTTTTATATCAATATGCAAATAGAATTCCAAGGAAATACACAAAATGAGAGGGGAAAAAATATTCATTTGATATTGACCAAGGATATAACCCATAGTGAAAAGATAACCATTATAAACTTTATGTGCCAAAGAAGATTGTGTTAAAACAGAGAAAATGACTGAAAAATAATTTAGGTGATTCTTAATTCATATCTATCACAGACCAAGTGAGCCAAAAAAAAAAAAAAATGAAGTGCAGTAGCTCCAAATCATAAATGTGACAAACATATTTTGAACCAAATGAAATGTGACTTCTGCTAGTGCCAAAACAGACATTGTCTACAGCCATATTGCAATATACCAGAAAATTAATAGTAAAAAGTCTGTTCATTTTAAAAAATAACCATTTGAAAATGTTATAGCACACTCTCAAATAACTACTGCCTCAACAGTTATTTAACTGCAGACTATTTAAGAAAGATGAGCCGGGTGTAGTGGCTCACATCTATAATCCCAGCGCTTTGGGAGACTGCAGTGGGAAGATCGCGTGAACCCAGGAGTTCAAAACCAGCCTGGGCAGCATAGTGAGACCTTGTCTCTACAAAAAAAATTTTTAAATTAGCCTGGCATAGTGGCATGCACCTGTAGTCCCAGCTACTCAGGAGGCTGAGGTGGGAGGTTCGCTTCAGTCCAGGAGGTCAAGGCTGTAGTGAGCCATGATCACACCACTGCACTGCAGCATAGGTGACAGAGCAAGACCCTGTCTCAAAAAAGGAAGGAAAGAAGGAAGGAAGGAAGGAGGGAAGGAAGGAAGGAGGGAAGGAGGGAAGGGAACACTGCCTCAAAACTCTTGGCTATGACCCTACCAACGTTCAAAGGGAAATTTATACCATTTTGAAAGTTGCCTTTATTATGACTCTAGGAAAAAAATGTTATGAAATTAACTGAGCAGTCAATCCAAGGAGCATGAAAGACAAACAAAACATACCTAAGGAGATAGGAGAAAGGAGTTAATAATGATAAAGGCAAAAATTAATGGGTTATAATATTTTAAAAGAGAACTGATCAACAAAATCCAATAGCTGATTTCTTGAAAAAAGGAGTAAAATGGAAAAACCTTCAGCAAAACTAAACAGGAAAAAAAGCATTGAAAATACAATTACAGTGAATTTCAAATGAGAAAAGGGTGCTTATTCATCGATAGAGTGAAGATCTCTTCCTTCCACCTTTATGGATCCGTATGGACCTCATTCTACAGCTCTCGGCCCTCTGCCTTCCAGCTGGGTATAGCCAGTGGGGTGTCCCGGCAGCAGGAGGGAGGAAAGGAGAGTGAGGGCAGAACATGCATTCTCTGGGCTGGCTCTTTGCCTCAGGCTAGCTGTGTATCCCCAAGCGAGGACTGCTGCTTCTGCTACGACAGCTCACCTGACTGGCCCTTCAGCCCAGGGTGGTAATACCTCTGCCACGACCCCACATTGCTGCCCTGACCCTTGTCAGTTTCCTTGTACCCACATCTGGTTAAATAGTTCCTGTATCAATAAACACTTCTGGAATGATCCCATATCGAACTCGCCATCTCTTTTTTTTTTAGACGGAGTCTTGCTCTGTCGCCCAGGCTGGAGTGCAGTGGCATGATCTCAGCTCACTGCAACCTCCACCTCCTGGATTCAAGCAATTCTCCTACCTCTGCCTCCCGAGGAGCTGGGACTACAGATGTGCACCACCATGCCTGGCTAATTTTGTTGTATTTTTAGTAGAGATGGAGCTTCACCATGTTGGCCAGGCTAGTATCGAACTCCTGACCTCAGGTGATCCACCCACCTCGGCCTCCCAAAATGCTGGAATTACAGGAGTGAGCCACCGTGCCTGGCTTCTCCATCTCTTTTCTAATGGACCTTGACTGTTATCTATGCAATGCTAAATTTCTTTAAAATGAAGATTATTTTCCAGGAAAATATAGATTAACAAAATGGACTCAAGAAGAAATCAAAATAAAATGTGCCAATAACCATGAAAGAAATGAAAACTATCAAATTACTACCTGCAGCTAAATGCCAGGCATAGACAATGTCAAATGCAAGATCTACTGTGCCTTCCTGATTCCAATAATGGTCTACTTGTTAAAATATTCCCAAGTATTAAAAAAAAAACAAATTTTATCAGATAGTTTTACTAAGTTAACATAAAATGATGTTAAAACTTGACAAAAATAGCTCAAAAAATTATAAACCAAATTTATTAAGAGATTTAAAAATCTTAGTAAATTGAGTCTGGCACTGTATTATGTATACTCTACTATTTCAAATGAGAAAAGTGTGCTTATTAATAGATACGGTGAAGATCTAGCCTGATCTAGTATATATAATAGCATATATATCCCTCTCTGATATATAGTGATATTATCATTTTATATTTTTATATATAATATGTATATTAAATATAGAAGAATAGCCAAATAGGGCCTGTTTTATGAAGGCAAAAATGGATCAGTATTGGAAAATCTTTTTCTTTTTTTTTTTTTTTTTGAAACAGAGTCTCACCCTGTCACCCAGGCTGGAGTGCAGTGGCATGATCTCAGCTCACTGCAAACTCCGCCTCCCGGGTTCAAGCGATTCTCCTGCCTCAGCCTCCCAAGTAGCTGGGATTACACGCGTGCACCATCATGCCTGGCTAATTTTTGTATTTTTAGTAGAGAAGGGGTTTCATCATGTTGGTCAGGCTGGTCTTGAACTCCTGACCTCAGGTAATCCACTTACCTCAGCCTCTCAAAGGGCTGGGATTACAGGCATGAGCCACCACTTCCGACCTGGAAAATCTTTTTCTATCAACTTGGTTAGAAAAAGGCAAAAAATGAAATTACATCTTAAACTTTGTAGTAACCTAGGAATAGAAAGATATTTTCTTAACTTAGAACAGGGTATCTATTTGAAACTAATGTTCAAGGTTATATTTATGGTGAAACATTAGAGACAATCCTATTAAAGTTAGGAATAAGATAATTATGCATGCTATTAATGTTGTTATTTAGCATTGAACTGAAAAGCTCTAGCCAGTGTAATAAGACAAGAAATATTAATATTGAGGAGAAAAAAATATCATTATTTGCAAAATTATTGTCTACCTGAAAATAACCCTAATAAATAAAATGTACTTACAAATCAGTGAAGAAATGAACACACCAATAGAAAAATGAGCAAAAGACATAATTGAGCAATTCACAAAGGAAGAAAAACAAATGGTCAAACAAAACAAAAGTAAATAGTCCATATTGGGCTGGGCACAGTGGCTCACGCCTGTAATCCCAGCACTTTGGGAGGCTGAGGTGGGCGGATCATGAGGTCAGGAGTTCAAGACCAGCCTGGCCAACATGGTGAAACTCTGTCTCTAATAAAAATACAAAAATCAGCCGGGTGTGGTGGCACCTGCCTGTAGTCCCAGCTACTTGGGAGGCTGAGGCAGGAGAATAGCTTGAACTGGGAGGCAGAGGTTGCAGTGAGCCAAGATCATACCACTGCACCCCAGCCTGGGTGATAGAGCAAGACTCCATCCAAAAAAAAAAGAAAAAAGGATAATTGCTTGTAAATAGATTCACAATCTATTCTGCATGGAAAAAAATCAGATTTCAAAATCATATGCAAAGCATTCACCCATTGTTGTCATATATATTAATTTTCTGTCTAAACACATAAAACATTAGCATACACAAAATGTTAATAGTAGTTACCTCTAGCCAGAGGAATATGAATTTTTTTTAGTTTGTCATATTTGTATTTTAAAGGGGTTTTAGGTCTGGAGCTGTGGAGAAGGGAGGCAAGTTGTGAAGTGAGCAGCCTCCATGAGTGACTTCAATACTTTCTTTTGTTGGACTCTGTGTCCATAGAGCCCCAGTAGACATGACGCAGGGCAGGCCCCGGTAGTGGTTCAGGTCATTGCTGCAGATATATGGTAGCTGGGCTTAGAAAAGTTGCATAACCTCTGGTCTCTCAACCAAGAAATAGAAAGAACGATTATACAACACTTGGCAAATCTTAGACCTCAAAAAGAGAGAGCTATGAAATTGCCCTGCCCCTCTCCAAAATCGAATCTGAATTTGGTCCAGCTTCTTTTTTTTTTTGAGACTGAGTTTCACTCTTGTTGCCCAGGCTTGAGTGCAATGGCACAATCTCGGCTCACCGCAACCTCCGCCTCCCAGGTTCAAGCGAATCTCCTGTGTCAGCCTCCCGTGTAGCTGGGATTACAGGCATGTGCCACCACGCCCAGCTAATTTTTGTATTTTAAGTAGAGACGGTGTTTCTCCATGTTGGTCAGGCTGCTCTTGAACTCCCAACCTCAGGTGATCCGCCTGCCTCAGCCTCCCAAAGTGCTGAGCCACTGCGCCTGGCAACTGAATTTGGTCCAGCTTCTAAATCCAACTACTAATTTACAGAAAACAGAGGAAGAGCAGCATGTCCACAAATCCCACAGGGATGTAATCAGCAAAAGCCCCACAGTGAGAAATGCTACAGGACAAATAACCCAGTTCCCACCACAAGTAAGTCACATGAAACAAAAAAGACATCTAAAAATACATCACAGCAACCAGTCTCATTATATCGGCCCTAACTGGAATGATTATTCAAACAAACAAATTATTTTGTTAATATAATGGCATTTAAGAGAAATCTGTGAATTTAAACACTGATTGTATATGACGTGATATTATGAAACTTGTTAATTTCTCAGGTGCTATAATATTATCTTTGTTTCTTCAAAGGGTCATATAAAAGATGCACTGAAATACAGATAAAATTATAGGATACATGGAATTTGCTTTAATCTTAGGAGAAGTGGATGGGCAGGATCAACCATGGGTTGATGGGGGGGGCGGGGATACATGGGAGTTTATCATACTATTGGCACTACTTTTTTGTATGAAGGTTCAAACTTCTCCATAACAAAAAAAAGTTTATTTTTTAAAAGCAAATAGTGTTCCCATCTTTATGGTGAAGCTAATGGACTTGAATTATAAATTTGTGAATAAGGCAATAGGAATCTTTGCCAGTGGGGACTGTGAAAATAAAACGGAAATGCCAAGTCAAGAGGAAATTCAACAGCAAAACAATTCCTCTTCCCCAATTCTCAATTTCCTGACACATCTGAAAATTGAGGTAAGAAATTGGGAACACCATCCTCGGGCCAAACTTCCTCCTAGCAGAACTTCATTCCTTTTCTCTGAGCAGCTCTCTGGGGGCCAAGGAGGCCTGCCAAGCCACCAGCATAGCCCCCCTGGGAACCTGAATGCTTAAGCACTTGGCCCAGACTTTGGCTGGGCGGCCATCATGATGGGAAGGAGGGCTCCCTTGCAGAGCCGTTGCCTTGTGTCTTTGTGTGCACTAATTCATGTGATCCCTGCAGCAACCCTGTGGTACTGCTCTGTTGCTGTTCCCTGTGTGGCTTGGGCGTAGGGAGGTCACACAGCTAGGGAGAGCATCCCCCCACACCCCCCACCCTTTCCCCACTGAGACCCAGAACCCAGTCGGCCTACGCTGCGTCTTTCACCTCTTCCCACCAGGTGCTGAAGACCTGTGCATCTGTCCCCGCAGTCATCGAGGTGCTTTTCAACTCCTACCCTCAGCTCTGCTTGTCAGAGTCCTGGAAGGAAGTGATTCCTGAGGAAGTATTCCAGGCAAGAGGGCTGCCTTTCTGCCCATCTTTAGTACAAAACTTTTGTCTGTTTTTGCTTCTTTGCATGGGGAGTTTTGCACTGATATTCGGCTAAGTATTATACATCTGAAAAAGGAAGAATGGGAAATGAGGGTGTATTTGCACGTTTCTGGTTTTTTCTGGAGGCTCCATAATCACACAGCCAGGAGCTTGTTATAGTAGTTGCGGTGCCATGGCCTCAAGGAGCTCAGAGCCCCGTGCTGGCCTGAAAAGCGCGAGGGTTCCTTAACCAGTGTCCAAAGAAAGGCCAGAGCCGCCTGAATCCACGGGCCTAGCTCCACGTCAGGACATACTAATCCGGCCCTGTGAGTCAGCTTCATGCTCCAGCAGCTCAAGATACGACCAAGGAAGCTATGGGGATTACATCTATCCACGACAAAGTCCACAGGTGACTGTCCATTAAAAGAGAGTGAGAACAGGCCAGGTGCGGTGGCTCATGCCTGTAATCCTAGCACTTTGAGAGGCCAAGGCAGGCAGATCGCTTGAGGTCAGGAGTTCAAGACCAGACTGGCCAACATGGTGAAAGCTTGTCTTTACTGAAAATACAGAAATTACCCAAGCATGGTGGCAAGCGCCTGTAATGCCAGTTACTCAGGAGGCTAAGGCAGGAGAATCGCTTGAGCCCAGGAGGCAGAGAGTGCAATAAGCTGGGATCACGCCACTGCACTCCAGCCTGGGTGACAGAGCTAGACTCCATCTCAAAAAAAAAAAAAGAGAGTGAGAAGAGTTGTGTGTGTTTTTTCTGTTTCACTGACTTGAGTCATGTGTGCATGACTGACCACCAGACCAATGCCATGCACTCGCTCCTGAGCCCCTCCCTGGCAGAAGGGAAGAGCTGGTCATGACTTGGGGAGATGAACAGGGCCACCCCGGAGCTGTAGGGCTGCTGTGCAAAGAGGATGGAGCAAAACGGAATTCGGGGAGACCACCTGGAGCATCTGAAGTCACCCCAGTCAGAATCCCCTCTCACTCGGCAGGAACTGTGCTTTGGGAGAGCACACAAGCCCCTGGGGTAGAGGGTGGTTCCCACAAGATGGTGCGTCTCCCTCCAGTGCGCTTATCTGGGATCAGTTAGCCATAGAAAAGCCCGCTTGTACCATCAGTGGTCTGGCTAAGAAGAAAACGTATGTTGGTTCCACGTGCCCAGATTTCTAATCCACCTGCCTTCCCTTCCAGATGCACAAGCCGTTCTACCAGTCCCTCTTTGCCTTGGCCCTCACCCCACGCTGCCTGCAGCATCTTTGCCGCTGTGCTCTTCGCAGACTGTTTGGCAAAAGGTGCTTTGACCTCATCCCCCTGTTACCCTTGCCAAAGCCCCTGCAGAATTACCTACTTTTGGAGCCACAGGGTGTTTTGCACTGAAACGCAGAACGCTGCAACCAATACTGTTGTTCTCCTCGCTGACCTTCCATGGAGGCCGTGTGTTGGAGAGTGCCCTGATGCAGATGGAGGTGATGGGAGTTCCCTTCCCACTTGCTCTCCGTGGGACCGGGTGAAGCACAGACCTTGCCAAGCTTCAGGTTCACCTCGAAATGGAATTGGCAACAAAAGCCCTTTCTGCCTCTCAGGGTCGCTTGTGAAAATCCAGTGAAATCGTGACTATCACAGCACTTGGTCTGGGAAAGTACCTTTCAACAACAGTTAAGCCAAAAGGTACAGTGAGTCCTCACTTAAGGTCTTCGATAGGTTCTAGGGAACCAGCTTTAAGCTAAATGAGGTATAACAATGCCAGTTTTCCCAAGGTTAATTGATATAAACAAGAATGATGTTCCTACAGCATATTTCTGGTCACAAAAAGATCACCACACTTCTAAATAAAGACCAATACAATTCTAATAGTAAAGATTGAAATAAAGGCAAGCTACACATACCTTTAAAAGAGATTAATAACAAGTAAGATAATTATTTACCCAATTTTTGGTGAATCAGTATGTGATGGTGGTTGTCCTGCTGGTGGGTTAGATCAAGGAATAAATGTTTGCAAAACGAACCTTGTCAGGAGCACCTCCTACCACCACGAAGTTCAGAACAGTCACCAATGTGGCAGGCTTGCTAGGCCCTCTCATACCGCATCATTTATTGTCATGCATTTGGATGATTATTGTATGCCTTATGAATTTTTACTTTACAATAATTTGTATTCATTCATTCATTCATTCATTCATATTCTAATGTGCTTATTCTAGTTCAGGGTCGTGCGTGGCCAGAGTCCACCCCAGCAACTCAGTGTGCAGGGCAGGAACCAGGCCTGGACGGGGTGCTATTCCATCGCAGGGTGCTCACACACCCCCACACCCACCCACCCACACACAACACTGGGACAATTCAGACACGACAGCTCACCTCACTTGCTCAGCTTTGGGATGTGGGTGGGAACTGGAGCACCCAGAGAAAACCCATACAGACAGTGGCCTTGCCCAGGAATCAGTCTTGTTTCTTTTTTGTTTTTTTGTTTGTTTGTTTGTTTGTTTTGAGACTGGCGCAATCTTGGCTCACCGCAACCTCCGCCTCCCAGGTTCAAGCAATTCTCCTGCTTCAGCCTTCCTGGTAGCTGGGATAACAGGCATGTGCCAGCACGCCCGGCTAATTTTTTATTTTTAGTAGAGACGGGGTTTCTCCATGTTCGTCAGGCTGGTCTCAAACTCCCGATCTCAGGTGATCTGCCCGCCTCGGCCTCCCAAAGTGCTGGGATTACAGGCATGAGTCACCATGCCCTGCCGAATCAGTTTTGTTTCTTATCGGTGTTATAATAAAATGACATTAAACAAAACATTATTTAAGGACCTACTGTATATGTATTTTTCCAGTGTGTTAGCAGCCCTCATGCTGCCCCTGAGCCTTGGGACCGTCCCCTCACAGAGAGGCCTCTCACCCCGCTGGGGCCCGACCACCCGGGGAAACTCTGTACCCTAGATCACAACGGACCTGCATGTTGAGAAAGGACACTTGCAACCAAGGCACGTGCACCTGCCCAGGGCCTGTCGGTGCTCTCAGTGCTCCCAAGCATATTACAGCCCAGAGCTCCCCCGGAGGACACCGGCAGGATGGTGAATGGAAGTTTCCATCCTGTGTGAGTCTTCATGTGACACCCTCACCAAAAGCCACTGCTCCAGCTCCAGGAACAGTCTGGGAAGTCAGATGCCAGGAACAGACACAGGTTGATCAAAGGGGCCTTCAGCTCAGCCTGAGCGTCACATGCCAACAGAGATGCTCTAGACAACAAGGACTATATCAACCTTGTCTTATTTTCTCTATTCCATATATATATACACCTTGGGGTAGAGGGTGGTTCCCACAAAATGGTGCATCTCTCTCCAGTGCACTTATCTGGGATCAGTTAGCCATAGAAAAGCCTGCTTGTCCCATCAGTGTCTGGCTAGGAAGAAAACGTATGTTGGTTCCACGTGCCCAGATATATATATGCCAGAATCTCACTCTGTCACCCAGGCTGGAGTGCAGTGGTGCAATCATAGCTCACTGCAGCCTCGACCTTCTTGGCTCAAGTGATCTCCTGCCTCAGCCTCCCATGTAGCTGGGACTACAGGTGCACACCACTGCACTGGGATCATTTTTTCTATTTTATATAGATGATGGGATCTCGCATGTTGCCCAGGCTCTAATTCCTGGCCTCACGTAATCCTCCTGCCTCTGCCTCCTGAGTAGCTGGAATTGCAGGAGTGAGCCCCCTCCCCCAGCTTACTTTCTCTATTCAGATGCTTTGACATCTGGGGCCTTGCTGACCCAGGAGGAACT
The DNA here is from genome assembly GCF_000001405.40 of Homo sapiens. Taxonomy (NCBI): domain Eukaryota; kingdom Metazoa; phylum Chordata; class Mammalia; order Primates; family Hominidae; genus Homo; species Homo sapiens. The sequence continues at coordinate 236,192,480 of NC_000002.12, read as the reverse complement.
GACTGCCCCCCACCCACCAGGCTTAGCTGGTTCTTAGCAACAGTAAACAATTCCACACAAAGCATGCTTTTCCAATGTTAGCCAACCAATCTGGAGCCCAGAGCCCACACCTCAACCACCTCTTATATCCCACTCTTTCTCACATGCCAGACCACTGTCTACTCCAGAGCAAGTGCCACACAACTTGGGAAAGTCCTATGCCCCAGAGTCTGCTGAAATTATCCAAACTAGACAAACTTCAGCCTTGCCCTCTCTTGCCCATTCCTCCCCTGCCTCCTGAAAGACCCTGGGGCTTCCTCATGGGCTGCCCCCATGTCATAGCATACCCTCTCCTCTTAGGAACAATGATCAATAAAACACCTTTTCAATAGCAGTCATCTCCTGATCTGTTGGCCCTATGAGACATCAAATTTTCTATGAATACACTGTATTTTAAAGCAAAGACTCTTCATGTTCATCCTCCAAGGACAAGCAGTGGCTCTCTTTTTTCCATTACAGCCAGCGCAAGGTGCTGCCCCAATGAACCTCAGAGGAGACACTCCCTCTGTATTGGTCTGTTTTGCATCACTCTAAAGGAACAGCTGAGGCCGGGCAATTTATAAAGAAAAGAGGTTTATTCAGCTCACAGTTCTGCAGGCTGTACAAGAAGCATTGTGCCAGCATGTGCTTTTGGTGAGGCCTTTCAAGAAGCTTTTACTCATGGCAGAAAATGAAAGGGAGCCAGTGTGTCACATGGCAAGAGAGGGACAAGGGAGAGCGAAGGAGGTGCTGGGCTTTTTAACAATCAGTTCCCAAGTGTACTAATCCAGCAAGAACTGACTCAATACTGCAGGGAGGTCACCAAGGCCCTGTGACCCAAACGCCTCTCATGAGGCCCTACCTGCAATGCTGGGGATCAAACTTCAACATGGGATTAGGAGGGAACAAATATACAAACCATACCACCCTCCCATTGGTAGAATCTGGAAAGGGAATTCAGACCCCAGCAAATAACTGCAGGGTGAGGTGGGATGTTATATGCACCATAAGTAAAGCCCATCATGGAGTGAAAGGGGGGCCCAGGCAGAGCCCAGGAAGTGAGGATGGACATCATGAAGGAGTTAGCCAGGGTGCACCTTGGTGGACAATCAAGTTTTAACACAGTGGACCTGCCCAGGGAGTGATAAGACAGCATCCCCCAGCTCCATCAGCTGACCCACCTTCACCCACCCTTTGAGATGGACAATTGATCTGTCCTACAAAAGGGCTACGTAAACCCAGCTTCAAGACCCCTCAGATCCCCATCCCAGGCAGATGACTCTCCCCAAGCCTCTCCTACATAGACTTTCAGGAGTTACCACTGCCTCCAAAGGAAAACTTGAATGAAGGCAGGTGTGCAGGGAAGTACAGGGTTCCATGGAGGGATAGTGATTTATCCTCCTGGCTAGGAGGATCCCCATGCTTTGGCAGCTGGAAGGAGGCAAGGCTAGAGAAGGTGGGGGCAGATCAGGAGGTACTTGGCTTCCAGACCAAGTATTCTGAACTTCACTGGACAGGCTGTGAGGAACCACGAAGCAAGTGAGCAGGTTTGGTCTCAGTGGGACTCTAGGAAGATTGCTTTGTCCTGGAAAGGGAAGCAATACACTGGAAGATGAGTAGCAGCCCAAGGTAACACCTTAGAGATAGGTTCAGAGCTTCTCCACTGACCAAGAACAATGACTTAACTGAAATTGGTTCAATTTGCTTACCTGGGAAGTGAACATATCTGCGCCTCTCTCACTTACTTAGGAATTAGTAAGATGTCTGGTGTAAGGCAGGTCTTCACCAAATTTGAAGGGATCTTGTTGAAATGCAGATTCAGACTCTAGAGGTTTGGAGTGGGGCCCAGATTCTGTGGCTCCAAGCATTTGGATGTTTCTGTTAACCTTGGATCCTGATCTGCAGGCCCCACTGAGCAGAGAAACTGCAAAAACCCAGGCCCAGAGCCCAACCCAGAGAAAGAACTTGATAAATGGTTCCTTCTGTTATTAGGATTGTTTTATCATTAGAAAAAGAAAACAGCCCAATATTAAGATAGAGACTGTAAAAAATGGGGAAAAAAATAGCAAATTTTTTTTTTTTTTTTTTTTTTTGAGACAAGGTCTCACTCTGTCACCTAGGCCAGAGTGCAGTGGCTTGAATGTGGCTTACTGCAGCCTCGACCTTCTGCACTCAAGGGATCCTGCTGCCTCAGTCTCCCATGCAGCTGGGACTACAGGTGCACACCATCAATTTTTTTATTTTTTGTAGAGATGGGGTCTCGCTTTGTTGCCCAGACTGGTCTTGAGCTCCTGGGCTCAGTAATCTGCCTGCCTTAGCCTCCCAAAGTGCTGAGATTACAGACATGAATCACCATGCCCAGCCAGCAATGTTATTTAAATAGCAAGGGTAAGAACAGTAAGAAATACAGCCACCATGGCCTCTAAGGAGCACAGTCCTCATTGAATTCTGAAAATGGAAATATGCCTGTCTTCTAAGACTATACCCTCCAGCCACCCCTTCCACCCCACCCTACTATAGAAAACAGTTTGGCTGACTTTCTAAAATTTTAAATATGTATTTAAGAGTCCTGGAAGAAGGCAGAGCTCTTTTAAAACATACTGACGATCGAGACCATCCTGGCTAACATGGCAAAACCCAGTCTCTACTAAAAATACAAAAAATTAGCCTGGCATGGTGGCATATGCTTGTAATCCCAGCTACTCGGGAGGCTGAGGCAGGAGAATCACTTGAATCCGGGAAGTGGAGGTTGCAGTGAGCTGAGATTGCATCACTGCACTCCAGCCTGGGTGACGGAGGGAGACTCCATCTCAAAAAAAAAAAAAAAAAAAAAAAATACTGACTTGGCCAAGCATGGTGGCTCCTGCCTGTAATCCCAGCACTGTGGGAGGCCAAGGCGGGTGGATGACCTGAGGTCAGGAGTTCGAGACCAGCCGCTGACCAACGTGGCAAAACCCCGTCTCTACTAAAAATACAAAAATTAGCTGGACACAGTGGCAGTTGCCTGTAATCCCAGCTCCTTGAGAGGCTGAGGCAGGAGAATCACTTGAACCTGGGTGGTGGAGGTTGCAGTGAGCCGAGACTGCACCACTGTACTCCACCCTGGGTGACAGAGCAAGACTCTGTTTAAATAAATAAATAAATGAAAACATACTGACTTTACACTTCTAAAAATCTAATAAATAATAATCAATTATTAGGTTTCCAAAAGCTTATTTTTCCCCAAATTGCAGCTTAAAAACAGCAACACGATTCTCACAGTGATCCCCAAAGGTCCCCCCATAGCTGCCTGAAGTTTTGCCAACATGGAGGACTTATTTCTTTTTCATTATTTTCACCCCTAAGAATTTTTAAATTCAGATGCTCCGGGGAAGAGTTAATCCATGAAGTTCCTTTGGAATAAACCATTCACTCATTTGTTGATTTATTTTTAATTTTTTTTTTTTTTTTTACATTTTATTGTGGTAAAAAGCACATAATATAAAATTTTCCCGACCGGGTGCGGTGTCTCACACCTGTAATCCCAGCACTTGGGAGGCCAAGGCGGGTGGATCACGAGGTCAGGAGTTCAAGACCAACTTGGCCAAGATGGTGAAACCCCGTCTCTACTGAAAATACAAAAAAAAAAAAAAAAAATTAGCCAGGCGTGGTGGCGGGCACCTGTAATTTAAGCTACTCGGGAGACTCAGGCAGAGAATTGCTTGAACCTGGGAGGTGGAGATTGCAGTGAGCAGAGATCGTGCCACTGCACTCCAGCCTGGGAGACAGAGTGAGACTCCATCTCAAAAAAAAAAAAAAAATTCCTCTTAGCTATCTTAAGTGTACAGTTCAGTAGTGTTAAATAGATTCACACTGCTGTGTAATAGTTCTCTAGAACTTTTTCACATTGAAAAGCAACTCCCTGTTTCCCCTCCCCCCAGCCCTGGCAGCCACCAGTCTACTTACTGCCCATAATTTTGACTGCCCTAAATACCTCCAACTAAATGGAATCATACAATATTTGTCCTTTTGCAGCTGGCTTCTTTGATTCAGCGTAGTGTCCTCAACATTCATTCATGTAGCATGCCACAGGATTTCCTCCTCCTTTTTTTGGAGTCAGGGTCTTACTCTGTCACCCAGGCTGGAGTGCGGTGTCATGAACACAGCTCACAGCAGCCTTGACCTCCTGGGTTCAGCTGATCCTCCTGCCTCAGCCTCCTGAGTAGCTGGGACCACAGGCACACGCCACCGTATCTGGCTAACTAAAAAAAAGAAAAATGTTTTGTAGAAACAGGGTCTCGCGCCATGTTGCTCTAGCTGGTCTTGAACTCCTGGGCTCAGGTGATCCTCCCACCTCGACCTCCCAAAGTGCTGAGACTATAGGCATGAGCCCCCAGGCCTGGCCTCTTTCTTTTTAAGAGCTGATAGGCTGGGCGCAGTGGCTCACGCCTGTAGTGAGCACTTTGGGGGTCCGAGGCAGGCGGATCACGAGGTCAGGAGATCGAGACCATCCTGGCTAACATGGTGAAACCCTGCCTCTACTAAAAATACAAAAAATTAGCCGGGCGTGGTGGCAGGCGCCTGTAGTCCCAGCCGCTCGGGAAGCTGAGGCAGGAGAATTGCCTGAACCTGGGAGGTGGAGGTTGCAGTGAAGCGAGATCACACCACTGCACTTCAGCCTGGGCGACAGAGCGAGACTCTGTCTCAAAAAAAAAATAAAAATAAAAATAAATAAATAAAAGCTGAATAATATTCTGTTGTATATACCACATTTTGTGTATCCACTCATCTGTCAATGGACACTTAGACTGTTTCCCCCTCTTGGCTATGGTGAAGAATGCTGCAATGAATATGGGTGTGCAAACAGCTCTTCCAGATCCTACTTTCAATTCCTTTAGATGTATACCCAGAAGTGGGATTGCCAGATGATATGGTAGTTCTGGATTTAATCTTTTAAGGAACCTCTATATTATTTTCCATAGCAGCTGCACAATTTTACCTTCCCACCAGCAATACGCAAGAGTTCCAATTCCCCCACATCCTCATCAACACTTACTATTTTCTGGGTTTCTTTTTTTTTTTTTTTTTCTTGACATTTGCTCATTCATTTAACTATCACTTTTGAAAGTCTGCCGGGGGTGGAGCCCAGTGCTTGGGGCCAAGGATCCATCATCAACAAGACAGACTTGACTGGTGCCCTCCTGCTTGTGGTGCTCACAGCCAAGTATAGGACAAGTTGTCTCAAGGCTGCTGGAGAAACTTGGGCATATGAGGAAGGCATGGAGAGAAGGGCCCCATTCTTGGCCATGTTCTCTCTGCCTATGGGCCTGTGTTGAACGGGGGCTGTCGTATTCCCAGGGCGGGTGGCAGTTTGTGCACTGTGTGGCTTCCCTGGCCATCGATCTCATCAGTGTCCCACAGGCAGTCAGGTGATTTCTATGATGAGCATTCCCTTAGTCCCACCCTGCCAAGTCAATATCATATGAACTATGGCAACCAGACCTTCAGCCAAGTGCTCTTGGTCAGCATGGACCAAGTCACACAGTAATTAACTGAACCTCCTCAGCTGGAAAGAATCCTTCACTCTGCCCCTAACTTCTCAGGAACATGACATCACAGCTGCAAGAGAAGGGGTAGGAAATCAACTGGCACTAGAAATGAGTTCTAAGTCACCTGGGTTCTAGTGGCTGTCAAGATGTGTTGAATATTGTACCTGATTTATGGATGGCTGTGATTCTTTGAGACAAAAATGGCTAGTGGGTTCTCTGGCCCTATCTTAATCATCAGATGAGATGGAACTTATTCATAGTTTTGTAGTATTTACGGCTAGCAAATTGCTTTGTTAAAGCAAAAAAATAAAATGCCTGACAAAAATATTGTTTCAGTGACTGTGTTTAGCTATGCTCTGTGCTACATGTGTTAGGAAGTTCTACAATTAAAGGACTTGCATAATTCCACATGGATAAGTGTATTAGTCCGTTCTTGCATTGCTATAAAAAATGCCCAAGGCTGGGTAATTTATCAACAAAAGCGGTTTAATTGGCTCAGGGTTCTACAGGTTATATAGGAAGCATGGTGCTAGCATCTGTTCCCAGCAAGGGCCTCAGGAAGCTTCAATCATGGTGGAAGGCAAAGGGGGAGCAGGTGCGTTATGTGGCAAGAGCAGAAACAAGAGAGTGGGGAGGTGCAACACTCTTTTTTTTTTTTTTTTGAAATGGAGTTTCACTCTGTCACCCAGGCTAGAGTGCAATGGCGCAATCTCGGCTCACTGCAACCTCCACCTCCCGGGTCCAAGCGATTCTCCTGCCTCAGCCTCCAGAGTAGCTGGGATTACAGGCATGCGCTACCACGCCCAGGTAATTTTGTATTTTTAGTAGAGACGGGGTTTCACCATGTTGGTCAGGCTGGTCTCAAACTCCTGACCTCAGGTGATCCGCCCACCTCAGCCTCCCAAAGTGCTAGGATTACAGGCGTGAGCCACCATGCCCAGCGCAACACTCTTTTAAACAACCAGATCCTATGTGAACTACCAGAGTGAAAACTCACTCATCACCAAGGGGATGGCACTAAGCCATTCATGAGGGATCTGCCCCATGACCAAACACCACTCACCAGGCCCCACCTCCAACACTGCGGATTATATTTCCACATGAGATTTGGAGAGGACAGATATCCAAATCATATCATTCTACCCTTAGACCCCAAATTTCATGTCCTCCTCACATTTCAAAATACAATTATGTCTTTGCAATAGCCTCCCAAAGTCTTAACTCATTCCAGCATTAAATCAAAAGTCCCAAGCCCCAAGTCTCATCTGGAGTTCCTTCCACCCATGAGCCTAGGAGGTCAAAAACAAGTTATTTACTCCTAAGATACAATGGTGGTACAGGAATTGAGTGTACATTCCCATTCCAAAAGGGAGAAATTGGCCAAAAGAAAGGGTCAACAGGCCCCACACAAGTCTGTAATGGCAGGGCAGTCATTAAATCTTAAAGCTCCAAAACAATCTCATTTGACTCCGCATCCTGCATCTTGGTGTGAGGGGTGGGCTTCCAAGGCCTTGGGTAGCCCCACCCCTATGGCTTCCCTGGATGCAGCCCACATGGCTGCTGTCACGCGTTGGAGTTAGGTGCCTGCAGCTTTTCCACACTGAGGTTGCAAGCTGCCAGTGGCTCTACCATTCTTGGGTCTGGAGGGTGGAGATCCCCTTCCCACAACTGCATCCAGCAGCTGAGCAATCCTGTATTTCCCCTCCATATTGCCCTAGTAGAGTTTCTCTATGGAGGCTCTGTCCCTGTGGCAGGCTTCTGCCTGGGCACCCAGGCTTTTCCATACATTCTCTGGAATCTAAGTGAGAGCTGTCAAACCTCCTTCACTCTTGCATTCTGTGCACCTGCAGTCTTAACACCATGTGGAAGCCGCCAATGTATACGGCAGCTTGTGCTCTCAAAAGCAGCAGCCCAAGCTGTACCTGGGCCCCGTTGAGCTGATGTTGGAGCCAGAGTGGCCAGGATACGGGGAACAGTGTCCTGAGGCTGTGCAGGGCAGCAGGGCCCTGGGCCTGCCCCACAAAACCATTCTTTCCTCCTAGTCCTCTGGGCTTGTGATGGGAGGGGCTGCCTTGGAGATCTCTGAAATGTGCTTTTTCCCATTATCTTGGACATTAGCACTAGGCTCCTTTTTAGCCATTCTAATCTCTCTAGCAAATGGTTGCTTAATGGCCTGCTTGTATTCCTCCCTTGAAAATGTTTTTTCTTTCTCTGCCACACAGCTAGGCTGCAAATTTTCCAAACTTTTATGCATTGATTCTCTTTCAAATATAAGTTGCAACTTTACGTCATTTCTTTGCTTCCCTGTCTAACTGTAGGTTGTTAAAAGCAGCCAGGCTGCCTCTTGAACACTTTGCTGCTTCGAAATTTCTTCTATCAGGCTGGGCACAGTGGCTCATGCCTATAATCCTAGCACTTTGGGAAGCCAAGGTGGGCAGATCACTTGAGGTCAGGAGTTCGAGACCAGCCCGGCCAACATGGTAAGGCCCCATCTCTACTAAAAATACAAAAATTAGCCAAACACAGTGGCAGGTGGCTGTAATCCCAGCTACTTGGGAGGCTGAGGCAGGAGAATTGCTTGAACCCAGGAGGCAGAGGTTGCAGTTAGCCAAGATCATGCCACTGGACTCTAGCCTGCACGACAGAGCAAGACTCCATCTCAAAAAAAGAAAAAGAAAAAGAAAAAAAACAGACTTTCTTCTACCAGATACCCTAAGTCATCATTCTTAAGTTCAAATTCCACAAAGCCCTAGAGCATGGACACAATGCAGCCAAGCTCTTTGCTTAGGTATAACAAGGGTGACCAGTTATACCTTTGCTCCCGTTCCCAGTAAGTTCCTCATTTCCATCTGAGACCTCCTCAGCCTGGCCTTCACTGTCCATATCACTATCAGCATTTTGTCACAACCATTTAACCAGTCTCTGGGAAGTTCCAAACTTTCCCTCATCTTCCTGTCTTCTTTGGAGCCCTGCAAACTCTTACAAACTCTGCCCATTATCCAGTTCCAAAGTCGCTTCCACATTTTCAGGTATCTTTATAGTAACACCCCACTCTTTGGTACCAATTTTCTATATTAGTCTGTTCTTACATTGCTATTAAGAAATACCTAAGGCTGGGTAATATATAAAGAAAATAGTTTTAATTGCCTCAGGGTTCTGCAGCTTATACAGGAAGCATGGTGTCAGCATCTGCTCCTGGTGAGGGCCTCAGGAAGCTCAATCATGGTGGAAGGTGAAGGGGGAACAGGCATGTCACATGGTGAAAGCAGGAGTGAGAGCAAGAGGGGGCAGGTGCCACGTTCTTTTAAACAACCAGATCTCACGTGAACCACCAGAGCAAGAATTCATCCCTCACCAAGGGGATAGTGCTAAGCTATTCGTGAGGGATCTGCCCCCATCACTCAAACGCCTCCCACCAGGCCCCACCTCCAACAGTGGAGGTTACATTTCAATATGAGATTTTGAAGGGAAAAACATCCAAACCATATCAATAAGAAGAAGAGAAAGAGCCAGTCACAGTGGCTCACACCTGTAATCCCAGCACTTTGGGAGGCCAAAGCGAGTGGATACCTTGAGCCCAGGAGTTCGAGACCAGCTTGGGCAATATGGTGAAACTCCATCTTTACCAAAAATACAAAAAATTAGCCAGGTGTGGGGGCATGCACCCATAGTCCCAGCTACTCGGGAGGCTAAGATGGGAGGATCACCTGAGCCTGGGAGGTGGAGTTTGCAGTGAGTCAAGATGGCACCACTGCACTCCAGCCTGGGTAACAAAGTGAGACCTTGTCTAAAAAAAAAAGAGAGAGAAAGAGAACAAAAAGAAAGAGGAGATAGAGAAGGAGGAAGAAGAGGAGATGGAGAAGGAGGAAGACAAGGAGGAGGGAGACAAAACCAAGAAAAGGAAAGGAGGCAATTAGAGAAGCAGGGAGGGAAAGAAGGAGAGAGGGAGGTAAGCTAGTTGATAAACATCTAAAGAGGCATTCTACTTTAAGACTAGAATTATCTTGGCTTACTTCTTTTCCAGTGAACAAAATATATTCTGGTTTGTTTGTTGGTTGGTTTGTTTGTTTTATTAAAGGGTCTAAAAACGTTTTCCTTTCTTACACAGTTCACACTGAACATCATTCTTTTTCTCACTGAGTGTATTACCTAAACTCAATTCTACAAGGCCTAAATTATTTCCTTTAATTTCAAATTTAGTTTTTAATGACACATTCACACAGCTCAAAATTCAGAAAGTAACAAAAGAGTAAAGGATGCGTTTACTGGCTGTTTCTACTTTAAAAAAAAAAAAAAAAGATAGCAGAGGGCCGGGCACAGGGGTTCATGCCCGTAATCCCCGCCTTTTGGGAGGCAGGAGGATCATTTGAGCCCAGGAGTTCAAGACCAGCCTGGGCAACACAGTGACACCTTATCTCTACCAAAAATTTGAAAATTCACCGGGCATTGTGGCATGCGCCTGTGGTCTCAGCTACTCAGGAGGCTGAAGCAGGAGGATCACTTAAGCCTGGAAGGTCAGGGCTCCAGTGAGCTATGATTGTACCACTGCACTCCAGCCTGGATGACAGAGTGAGACCCTGTGTCAAAGAAAAAAAAAAAAAGACAACAGAGGAATATTTTGCCTCCAACTTTTATTGAATGTCTTTGATTATTACTTGTCATTTGACGACAGAGAATTAAAAAAGAAGTGGCTGGGCACAGTGGCTCACACCTGTAACCTCTGCACTTTGGGAGGCCTAGGAAGGTGGATTGCTGGAGTTCAGGAGATCAAGACCAGCCCGGGCAACCCTATCTCTGCCAAAAATACAAAAAATTAGCCAGGTGTGGTGGCACATGCCTGTGGTCCCAACTACTCAGGAGGCTGAGATGAGAGGATCGCTTGACCCTGGGAGGCAGAGGTTGCAGTGAGCTGAGATCGTGCTACTATACTCCAGCCTGGGTGGCAGAGTGAGACCCCATCTCAAAAAAATAAAATACACAAATGAAGCTCTCCACTAATATTGGTCCTGGGGAGGCTGGCCTCTGTCCGCACCAACCATGTCCAGGACAGGACGAAACATTCATGGTTGGACCATCAGACACAATCCACAGTCCACAGGCAATTAGTACACAGACCCAGTACTGTGTGACGTGTTATGTTTAAAACTCTGAACCCAGCATTAGGCCTGCCTTTTTAGTATATTTACGTTGATTTAAGTTACTTGATAATCATCGACTCAGTATGGTTTAAAGAAAATCAAAGCCACTGACTCTTTAAGTCTATGGAGCATTTGCTGATCCCAGTTAACTGTATATAATTGTCAAATTTCCAATCTCTGAAATGACCCTTTGGACACACACTGATGGGGCAGGCTGTTGAACTTTTGCAAAGAACACTTAACCTTCTGCAGAAATGGTGTAAAATACAGGCTTGCGGAATGAGCTGGTCCACTCCAGTGCCCCCACCTCCTGTCCACGCCAGGCACCTAAGAAGCTGCTCAATCACTACAATTTCGGGTGCTATTAGCTTGCCAAGTGCTTTTCATCTTTTAAGGGCTGCCCAAGGGCCAAGGGATAAATCAGGAATGTTGTATCTTTTATTCCATTATTTTAAGGATAAATTACTGCTTAGTCAAATTTGTTATGTCCAGATGGGATATGCAGAAACCCCTGTATTTCAATTATGGTCAATACTGCATCTCATTTCTAGGATTTAAGTGTAGTTTGAGAACATCAAAATCCTTTTCAAACTCCGGGATTTGCGTTGAAATTGTTAACATCTTTCTCTGTTAAAACAAAAATTAATTTCACTAAATTGCTAAAATAAGCCTGAGGAATCTAGAACCCTGCGGAAGATTGAATAGGTATTGAAATTCATTTTCAGAGAGGCCTGCAGGTGGCGCCATAAGCAAACGGTCTTACCCTCTCCCACCAACCTACTCTCCCCAGAATTTAAAAAGGAGGAAAACAGGAAGATCTTAGCTCACATGATAAAGGGGAGGGGAGCCTACGAAAACTACAGATTCGTAAACTATCATATAGAATCGTGCTGCCATAATAAAAAATTCAATAATTAAAATATTGATTATGGAATTGCCTGCTTCCTTTGTATTAAATATGTGCAGTTTATAGTTAATGTGTTTATAAATAAATATAATTTTCAGTTGAATTTTTTATGATACCATAATAACATCCCAATCCTCATTTGTGTGTTAAACGTGTTCTTTAACAAAATTATACATTTACTATTGCAATGTAACTAGCTGGGTTTTCAGCCTTCATCTAATTTTCCAGAATGGTATTTCTGCAGTCCTAACATTCTTTGCTTAATCACTCCGATAAAAACGGTGGATTTCTTTGTAATGCAATTTGTAAGCAAAAAACATGATTGAGAATGCAGTATTTGCTGTCAACTATGTTTAACACAGGGTTTTAATTTAGCGGGTAATTATTCATTTGGTAGACGCTTTTTCCATTCACATTTATTTTCCCTGCTCTTAAGAAAGTTCGTAAGTTTGGAGAACCTTGGAAAACCAGGGTTGTGGCGTATTTGATGTAAGCCAGAGTTTGATACAGATGTTATCGCAAGAGAACATTTTTTTTATCTGCTAAAGACAGGAGGTCACATTAACTCGTAATACAGACACATAAAAATGTGATTATGGGTTCTAAACAGAACGCAGTAGGCTCCTAGTTAACACAATGAGATTTCTAGGAAGTGATGCATAAATTCTTCAAAAATGACACATTTCTCACGTTCCATTCCAATTAAATTACTGAGGCAGCTAACAGCCATGAGCACAAAGTACGGGATAAAATGAGGGTTTGCTTCTTGTAACTGTGTCTCTGTGAAAGTATATTTTTATGAGAAGCAGTTAATATTAAGCTATTATTTTTCAGCTGTGCTGGAAGGGATGTCTTGAGCCTTTCTTGTCGCGCTCTCCCCAGAAGAGCCTCCCCCTTTGTTTCTTGGGTTTGCTGATAGGAAGAGCGCGTTGCTCCACCGGCTACCGCCTTCACCTGGGGCTTTGGAGTGAAAGGGACCAGCCCAGGAAGGGGTCCCCAGCACCAGTCCCCAAGGGTGGGTGTAATCGCTGCCCAGAGGCCCTCAGCCAGGAGATTCAAAGGTGGGAGGCGCCCCCTCCGCTCCGCTCCCCCTACCCGCAGCGCCCGGCCGGGACGGGAGGTGCGGGGCTGGCCCCCACTCGCGATCCGCGAACACGCGGGGCCTGTCCTCCACGCCCAGCTCAGGCTTCAGGGACACGAGCGCCCCGCGGCTGCGCGGCGTGGGAGGGGGTTCCGACAGCCTGCGGAGCCCAGCCCCACCCTCCCCAGACCCGCTGGCAGCAAGAGGGGTTCAGGGCTGTTGCCCCGGGAAGGAGGCCCGAAGAGCTTGCAGCCGCCGGGAGGGGTGGGGCGGGAGGGGGCGTCGGAAGACAAAAGGATGTGAGGCTTTAAATTCAAAAAGATGTTTTGAAAGCCAAGCGCTGGGGTTTGAAAGGCGCTGGGAGGACGGCGGCAGAGCGATCCCAATCAGAAATGCGATTTGAAGTCCTAATGAACTTGATTGCGTGAACATTTATAATCCCCCATGGCCCTAAATGAAATCAGATATAATCAGAAGATACAGGGAAGGGAGTGTTTACAGCCGACGCCGGGCGGCCGCGGGACGGGGAGATGCGGCCCCGGTATTGATGTCGAAAATGATGGATAACGCGGGAATGGCAAATATACTATTTGTCTAATGGCTCGGCAATTAAATTCCCCTGTAAATGACCCATGCCTCATTTCATCCTAATCTATGGAATTTTGATTGAATTCGTCAGCTCTAATTGAAAAATACTGCACTTTAATGTCTGCATTGCAGTTTCAGGACGAGAGTGGTTTTAATGAGACAGTGCCCCCATGACCCGGGAATATTTGAGACTTTTATTCGGAATTTAAAGCCAGGAGATTGCTCGACTGAGCCCTGAGATTTCCTCTCCTGTATCCACGTCCATCCATCTCCAGACGCGATTTAATAAACGCACTTAAGGATAAATGCGCCCCCGACCCTCGCGCCAACGTGTTACCCCACGGGCGCCCCTCCTCGGAATAAGGGACGGCGGAGGCCGGGGAGGCGGGGGAGTTGGGGGGCTCAGAAGGTCCTGGTCCCTCCCCGGCCCAAGTTTCCCTGCCCTCCCTGCCACCCTGGTCCCCAGGCACTGTCGCGGACCCCAGACTCCGCCTTCCCTAGGCCAAACCTAGGCGACCTCCCTGGACTAGGAGGCCTGGCTGCCTGCCACCCGCGCACCGGAAGAAGGGACTCGCGCACTCGGAGAAGGGGCCGGGCCCCGACGCGCTTTATATGCAAATGGCGAGGCGAAGCCATCCCTGAGAAATTAGCTACTTGCTGAAGCATATTTACTAGATTGAAATGAGTTAAAGAGAAACATTTTAAGTCGTGCAAACGAGATAATTGGGCCGCATTAAAGCTGGGGATGTTTGCTCCTTTCAAAAAAAAAAAAAAAAAAAAAAAACCGCCGGAGGAGGAGGAGAGCAGTAAAAGCACGCGTAGAAATGAAGCCCCAGCTGGTCAGAGACCGGAAATCCGGTAGTGCACGGGACGGGTTCCCTCGGGGATCTCGGAGGGGAGACCCCCACCCGGGAGGACTGGAGGCAGCGCCTCTCCCGCCCCGGCGCGCGCAGCCTATTTCCCTCTTTCCAAGGGGCCAATCCCCACCGCGGCCCGCAGGGGGCGCGCTCAAGGCAAGGTCCCGCGGCGAGAACGGTGCCCAGTGGGAGCGAAGGGCGAGGCCAGCCCTTGGTCCTTGGCCGGCAGTTCGGGTCCCGCCTCCAAATTCGCCCCCCTCCCCCCCGCCATCTCCAGCGGTGTTCAAAACTCTGATGGCATGGGGGGGTTGAGGGGGTGGCCCTGGGGAGACGGAGTGTGGGGGCAAGCAAGAGGTCTAGGTGCACGCGTTGCCTATCCCTGGCCCACGAGAATGTAGCTAAGGTTTTGCACACATATTTAAAGTAAAATAATCAAAAATGACAGAAAAGGCTTCTCCCTGGGAAGGCCGTGCCTGGCGCCCTGGCGATGCCAGACTTGGTGCTGAGAGCAGACGACAGAGGGAGGACTCTCCAGGGCCAGACACGGCCTCCGCACCTCCGTCTCGGTTCGTGCAATGGGGATGGCGCTGCGCCCACCCAGTAGAGGCGCTCGCGAGCTCTCCCTTCCCAGGAGAGGCGTCGTATGTTGTGAAATGTCACACTGCATCCTGTTCCATTGGGTGGCCTCTGGTCTGTTTTTAGATGTTCCAGAGGCCGGGCGCGGTGCCTCACGCCTGTAATCCCAGCACTTTGGGAGGCCGAGACAGGTGGATCACTTGAGGTCAGGAGTTCGAGACCAGCCTGGCCAACATGGCGAAACCCTGTCTCTACTAAAAATACAAAAATGAACCGGGCGTGGTGGCACGTGCCTGTAATTCCAGCTACTTGGGAGGCTGAGGCAGGAGAATCGCTTGGACCTAGGAGACAGAGGTTGCAGTGGGCCGAGATTGCGCCACTGCATTCCAGCCTGGGTGTCAGAGTGAGACTCTGTCTCAAAAATTAATTAATCAATTAATAATAAATAAATAAATAATGCCCCAGAATCTGGAGCCCAGAGGCTGCCCTCCCACGGCTACTCTCACTCCGAGAGCACAGGCTTTCGCCCCTGGCTGGCCCGCGCTCCCCAAGCGCCCTGCAGCGTGCTCGCTCCTGCAGCTGCCCTCCTGAGCATCCTCTCTGGGCCAGGCGCCCGGCCCACGTGTGCTACACGATCGAGTTCAGTGCCCAGTGCCCATATCAACTCGTGCTATATTAATTATCCCCTTTTTGAGACACAGTCAGGCCGCTGGTGGAGGAGAGCGGGGATTCCTGCCCACTAGGCAAATAGAACCGCAGATGGGGAGTGGCCTCAGCTGCAGCCCAGGACCCTCAGGCCCAGACGTCCGACGGCTTCCTATCTATCCCCTTCCGGGACCTGCTCAGGGTGAGGCAGAGCCGGGAGAACCTTACATGGATTCTATAAGGAAGCCGAGGCAGATTTTCTAAGATCACCTCCAAAATCTGACGGTATTTCTTACACCTTCAGCAATCACGGAGGTCTGATATTTTTTCCCCATCGTTTATGACAAAGGCTTCTCTGGTGGCCTGGATGTTTAAAATGAAAAGAAACTGGAGATCTTTTTCCTGTCCAACTATAGGACATACCTCTCAGCCCTTCTGACCCCTGGGGATGGACAGTCCTGTCCTACCCTGGATCAGAGCCCAGCCAGCCTCCACTGCGGATGCCATTACTTACGCAGTGCATAGGGGGCGCTCCGGGTGCTTGAGCGCCCTGCACACCCACGAGGCTCTTCAGGTTAATACTTCAAAAATTGTGAAGGCTTAAATAAAACTGTTTCCTGCCATTCCCTCATTAACTATAAAATCTATAGTACTTATTTGAGTTATGTTTACAGATAGGAAATAACCTTGTTAGACAGCTAAAAATATAATGTAAAACTACATTATAAAGTTCACTTCATTTTAAAGTATAAATTTCCAAATAACTTAGAATATGGGGAATTAAATGAACGTGAAGCTTTTTTGGTTAGAATAAAGTTAAACTTTAAAAAGTCACTCATCTCTTAAGCTTTCCAGGATTGTCTTGTTTGTGCTTTAACTGGGTCTACAAGAAACTTGAGAACGGGGAAATTGATAATAATAACCAAGAGATAGACTAGGAATATCAAGGTAACAATTAGATTCTAAAACACTCACCTGCATAAAATAAGGAGATGGGGAGGGAATGAGGTTGGGTAAGTAGGGGAAGAAGAAAGTCCCTGAACTCAATGGAGGCATCAAAGTTGATCACATGATATCCAGTCCAATCATCGTCATTTTCTGAGCCATGATCAGTTTCAGCTCTTTCTAAAGCTTCAATGTTCATTATTGTCACAGACTTCAGGGAACAGGTTTGTCCAGGTGGAGACAAGCCAGATTAGCTTCTGACTTTGGTTCATTTCCCATACCCATACTAGTTTTTCTCACATGCCCAGAGGGAGAGCTGGGAGACAGAGGGCCTGGAAGAGGCCCATTCACAAAGTCACTGTCAGCGGTGGCTGCTGTGCTGTGGCCTGGTCACACTAGGCATCTGACACACACGGGACCCCCCCAGAACCAGCCCCCAGCTCCTCTTCTGGTGTCAATGGCTATGTCCCCTGCAGATAGCAATTGCCCGCCTCCATGTGTGGGTGTAAAGGAACCGCAGGGAAATGACACATGGTCCTGTGAATGACTTCCCCCTGCAGGGGTGTTTTAAAGTCACTGTGCAGAATAAATACTAGATAGCGAAGTCTGAACACCTTTTCTTTAACTCTGTGTTCATCATTTGGAGAGAAAGAAAAAAAAAACACTTGCTACACACACACACACACACACACACACACACACACACACACACGGACCACATGCCCCATGCAAAATGTTTTCATTTCCTACAAAACCCAGAAATGTCCTCTAGGAATGTCTGAGAGACAGCATTCTGGATTCCAACAATTTTCTGGATTTTTCCCACTGTGACTCAAAGAATTACTCTCTCCTCATTCCCTCAGGTTCCTATTTATTTCACACACACTCTAGCAGTTTTTGGTCACTCGCTGGAAATACTTTGGGATCTTTGGATTTGTTCTCTGACCTCACTCTTGGTTCCCTCTTTTTCTAAAGCTTGGGAACTTCAGGCCACACCCATAGGGAGATGTAATTGTTTGCAGCAAAGTCATGCAAATTGAGTTCTCCGTATTTTTTCCCATGATAAATGGAAGAAACTCAAAGGTTTCAAAGGCCAAGGAGGTCACCATTCCCAATTATTTCTGCAATCATCAAGAAGGGGCTGTGTACTTAAAGAACCTGAGGCACTGGGAACAATTGCAGATCTAAAAACAAAGAGGCTCTCCTTCCTGTGAACTCATCCCGACCTTCTTGGCCAGTGGCAGAGAATGATCAGGAGGTGTGACTTAACTGTGGAACTGTTTGAGATGGCCCCAGCCTACCTTGCATTTCTCATGGCTCAGGAGCTGGCTCAGCCTCTTGTGAGACCATGACCTCACAGCCCACCTTGGAGCCCAGGATAGGTGAGGGTTCCAAGAGCCTGAAGGGGGTGGGGGCAGTTGAGTCTGTCATCACTGGCTCTGGTTCTCCAGGGCTTTCAAGTCTCTCAAACAAGAGCAAAGATCTACCCTAGGATGCTCCTCCGATAAGGAAATGTGTCTGCCCCAGCTGGCTTCAGGGCAAGTGTTCTTTTCTCTGATTCTGTAAGTCTGGTGCCCTACTTTAAGTGAAGTGATCCTGTTTACTTTCTTTAAAGGACGGGAATCTGTTGCCCTCACTTTTTTGTTAACAGAATGGACCCCCCACCACCTCGCATCAGCACACACTCCCCTCCTGTTCTCTCCTGGGAAAAGTCCGTCAGTTAGGGTGATTTCCCTAAGGAGCTTTCTCTGATAGGCACAGGGATCCTTTAGAGCAATGTCAATGGGGCTAGTTGATCAGTTACAGACACACCTACCCTTGAGTTTTACAGAAGACCTTATTTCTGAGTGACGTTTCCCTGGGAATTCCAATGACTTTTGAATGACTTTTACAATGACTTTCGCCTGGGAGTTCCACCTGGGGGCATTTGTTACAAGTGACAGAGGCCATTCCAATTCTCACTCCCCATTTAGCCAACATCTCTCCTTTCCATTCATACCCAACGCCGTGCCCCTGTCTTGTGACATTCTTTTCAGGAGGAGGAAATAACCAGAGGAAATTCAGGCTCTGCTTTGCAGGATTTTCTGGAAGAAGAAACAGTTCTTGCTACAGCAATCACTGCTCATTTGGTCCCGGAAGAAGCTAAAGTTGGAGGGGTGCCCCTGGTGTGCATGGCTGTTGATTCAACACCCTTCTGCTCCCTCCAGCGCGGTTTCTAAAGGGTTAAATGCGTGCCCTCCGGGCAGACCGCATCCTCTTTAAAATACTACTTCCCTGAAGGGGGTCGGGGCCGTCGTGGAGGCAGCGGCTGGGGACTTGGTTTGGGGTGTCCAGGAGTCCCGGGGGGTTCCAGCCTCCAGGGAAGACTCATAGGGTCCATGGCCTGCCTCTCCTAGACACACGGTCTCCTGGCGAGCATTGGAAGCTCATGGGGCTCACAGCTAAGCGCCGGCCATCGTCTCTGGCCTCTGCTTCTTCCTTCTCCGTGTGTTGGACGCTGGCTGCGTCCAGCCCAGGCCCATTGCGACGTGCCCGCAGCCTTCCAGGACGAGGCAGGCGGGATGCGGCGCCCGCACGGTAGCAGACCCGGGCTCCTCAGGAGGGCTGCCCGAGAGGCCATCCCGAAGGTCCCCAGCCCAGGCCAAAGCGCACCCCCTCACCCCTCCGTGCCCTCTGCCCGGTTCCCAGGCCGCGGTTCACGCGGCCCGGGGATTAGCATCTCTGTGAAGTCCCGCAAACAATGCCTGCTGTGCGGGAGATGAAAGCCGGGCACCGGGTGGCAGGGCGCGTTTGAAGTCCCCGAAAGGTGGGGCCTCGGGAATCCGAGGGAGCAGATGGGAGGAGATAAACCCAGGTGAGAAGCGCCTGGCGGCCGGCGTCTCCCTCCCCAACACTCCAAGGGCTGGGGTTCGCCGACGGACGCGGCCTCCAGAACCCCGGCCGGAGCCAGACCCGGGCAGGACACAAGGGGACACCACTCCCGCCCGCACCCCCGGCCTCCGCCCGCACAGCTGCAGCCCTTGGACCCGAGCCCCCAGCCTGGCCTTCGCCTGGTGCTCCCTCTTCCCAAGCCGGGAGCCCCGGGGCGGGCGTACGCCTCAGTCCCCACGGAGAATCCCCCTTTGCCTGGCTAGGTGCTCCCGGAGAGACGCGCGGTGAGCGCGGGCGCTGGGCTTCCAGGACGAAGGGCGATGGGCGATCAGTTACCCCCAGTGGTCTTGAACTCCCCAGCCTCAATCGTTACGGCTGCTCTGAAAAAGAACTAGGACACCCGCAAGCGCCCTCGGACATCTGGATCCCGGCCGGGGGAGCCGAGTTCCGCGTGGAGTTGGGGTAGTCCCGGGCTCCAAGCGCACGCAACGCTCGCCGGGTGCGCCGTCGGCGCGACAGCGCCCGCCGCCCCAGGGGCTCCGGGGCTGTGTAGCATTCCACCCCCACCCTCCCATTCCCAGATGCCACGAGGGCTCGCCTCGCGGGCCGAGCGGCTGTGGCTCCTCCTGTTCCTCGTCGCTGGAGTGGAGAGGGCGGCGCAGGTGTGAAGGGTCACGTTTCCCAGCCTTCAGGCCTGCGGATAACATTTTTCAACTCCCAGGAGGAAATGAAGAAGAAGAAAAGCCCCTCCCCTTCACATTTCTATTTTGCGGTTGTTTTGTTTCTGCTACTTTGAGGGTGGGGGACAAAAAGCAAAGTTTCTACATAAGAATGTCGCAGCACACACAGTCCCGCAAAGTGTTTCTTCTTCAGGGAGCTTTAGAAAACCCCCTGTCCTGCTTTCTGCATGGTCAAGGAGCAGAATAATGAAACCAAAGACTTTTATTTTATAAACCACTTGATCTTTGCTTGGGAAACTCTATTAATTGAATGGGTTTGCCTTTTTTGCCAGTCCCCTTTATCATTATTTATGGGCTTTAAATTGTTTAAAGTTCCCTTGACGTTCAATTTACAAGTTTGGGGACTTTTTTTGTTCTGCCTTTTGTCCTGGAGAAAGACATCGTGTTGGAAGTGCTTTGAAAAGCCAAACATGAGAGGTTGGCAATGAAAGGGAAGCGGGCGAGATCCCTTTTAATTCCGTCCTGTTGGTGAATGGCTCTTTTACATAATTGCAGGAGCTATTTCAAAGCCAGCCAAGGGCTGACTTCACTTAGAACCACATGGAGTCTATTTTGGGCTTTCAGATTAAAAAAAAAAAAAAGCTGAATAAAATGTTTAAAAAGATGAGGCTTCAATGCTTTCTGCTACTTGCAAATTAGTGTGTCTGATGGGGAATTTTACACAAGCGCCCCTTTGTAAGTGCGTCCTGGGCTCGGGAGGGACTGTTCAGGGTTAGCTGGGTGTGAATCCCAATTGCCCTTCCATAAATAAAACCCATCCCAAGTTATTTCCCAACTATTGCCAGGAGCAAGAGCTGCGGCAATGACCAAACGATCGGGCTTCTCAAAATCCCTGTAAATAAAAACAACTCGGTTGCCCGAGAAACCAGCCTGTCGCCTAGGACTGGGCGACTGGCGGGAGCGCCAGACCCTCGAGGCCCGCAGGATTCCCCGCGTCCTCCGAGACCACGGGTGGCCACACCGTACCCTCTCCACGACCACCCGTTACCTCGACTCTGGCGGCGGCAGCGAAGCGCGCCATTCGCGGTGCTTCCTCCTCCGGATTGGGCTGGGCTGGGCTGGGCAGGCCAGCACAAGTTTGCTGCATGAATATTCATTTACTTGTGCGTTTTCTATTTCACCCTCAACCTTCATACATCTGCATGCAAGCGCAGCCTGGGACAACCCCGAAGCGAGGGGCCAACTTAATTACCATCACTTTTTCGGAATGTCTGAGGTTTTAAGTGGCATCATCTGAACCTGACACTAGCCTAGCACCTGTCGAGTGAAGTGCCCAGGGGCTGAGCTATCTTCATCTAGGGGGGAAGAGGGGAGGGAAGTTCACGAAGTTAACTGGAGTTGGAGGACCCAGCTCTCCCTTCGGGTGCGCCCTTCATTTTTCCTAATTGGAGGGGGGAGGGGACCAAGTTGCAAACATCTGTGCCCGGTGATTTTCCCGCGTAGACTGGGCCGAGCTGAGTCACGGAGGACTCTGCAGTTTGAGGCTGTTACGAGCTAAGCAGGTAGGAATCCGGAGGATGGATAAGCCATGCATCTATCGCTCCTGTCCATAAATCTATCCGAGGAGCCGAGGAAAAACTCTAAAGGCTTTTATTATCCGCAGTCCCCACGCTCTGAACGCTTTGCAGGTAGCTGAGGTGCCCCGAATGCATCTTGTTAATCACGCCGAAACACAAGGATCCTTTTATGACACGAACAGTCGTTTTCTAAGCAGCTAAGCATTAGATGAGAAAGTATTACTGCATTGCATTTGCGAAAAAGGCACTAGTAAATAAAATTCATATTGATGGGAATTATCTGAACTCACTAATAAAAGATTAGTATTATAACCCCTGCAGTCAATACTTGCTATGGCAATTTATGGATGCAAATAACATGCCATCAAATTATTTCAAGTGCAGCTATAATTCGACGGACCTAAATCTTCTTGCTGAACTTTAAATGTAGAATAATCACCAAAATAATCAAAGGAATCCCTGCCTCTCAGAGGGTAATCAGGCGACAAAAGTCCCTAGAACAATATTTTTGCGGCGAAATAGCAAAGTGCATGGCAAACCTGCCTAGGTAAAATGAATAACAGCTTCCCCCGGCATGTCAGTGGCAAGCCGGAAGGGCCCCGGCTGTAGCCACGTAAATCAAGGAAGGAATGGAGCGTTTCTTAGTATTCAAAAAACAGGGTAATGGCACCCAAGGCTGTGTCACTGTAACTATCTCATAATGAGGGGGAGTATTTATTATGCTCATAAAGATATCAGCCTTTTGCCCTGGGCTTCGATTTTTTTTTTCTTTTTCTTCTTTTCTGGGAGTGAAGAAGGAGGGATAGAGCCTGGAGATCCCACAGACACCTCCTTCTCCATGGATCCCAAAGGGAATTCATTTCCCCTCACACTGCCTAAGCCACCTCGGGGTCTGGGCGTGAAGTCAGGGGAGGCAATCCAGGCAGCGTCCTAATGAATTCCTTTCAAACCGCCTGCTGCCGGAGCGATCTATTACTGCGGCCTGGAGTGGGGAAACGCGATCGAGACGTCTTTGTCCGGGTGGTGGTAGGGAGGGAGGAGGCGAGGAGGAGGAGAGGGCTGGCGGCGGACCAGCGAGTTTTCCCAGCGTCCCGGGGCGCCAAGGACACACCCTCCCCTCTTTCCTCCAGGTCTGCTGGGTGGGCAGTGGGTCTCCGGCGGGACTCCTGGCAGAGGAGCTGATCTGGGATTAAGACGTCCCCCGGGGGGCCTTGGGGCTAGAGCGAGAGAAAGAGGAAGAACGCGAAAAAAGAGCTTCAAAGAATCGGGTCGATAAATTCATAAAGATCGATTTATCTTTATCTCCCAATTAAATGTGCTTGTAAGTGATACATAACACACGTCCAACACGGGCCAACTCCCCAACCACTAGCTCCTCGGCGTGAGCTGATTTTTAATGACCGAACTAACAATGCCCTTCTTTCCTTCTCCCCAACCCGGTGCTGTTGGCGGTTCAGGGCTGACGTCTAGACCCGGGAAGTTGAAGCCCGGGCCTTGGAGACTCGAGGAAGCCCCGCTCGCGCTGGTGCGCTCTGCACGGTCTGCCGTTGTCAAGAAGTGATTCCATTTTTAAAGGGAAGACAAGAGCTGAAAGTTTTTTGTTTGAAAATGGAAGAGGGGATAAGTACGTCCCTAGTTTCCCTCCACCCCAAAATTCCCTTACTTTCAAATTTGGGGGTCTTTACCGTTGTCGAGAACAGGGGAAACATCCTGAGGGGATCGGCTCCATCCTGCAGTTAGCAAAGAGGAACCGCGCGCCCTCGAGTCCTCGCGCTGGAAACCGGGCGGCGGCGCCAGGGTGAGCACTCCTTGCGTTCGCAACGTGCTTAATTAGCGCCTATTTACAAAACGCAGCTTTTATTTGAGCAAACATCATAAAGCTTTCATCAGGATAATCTCACGTTATACAATCTGGAGGCACAGCAACTCCCCCCTTCCTCCCCGAGGATGGAGCAGATAAAGGACTCTCTTTATTATCATAATTATCGTGGTTGTTATTTTGGTGCGCGCTGGCAAAGTGTGTAAATAGGTGCGATGATTAAGAATGTCATGAAAAATGAGAGACGGGATCGCTCACGGGAGGGCCCAGCCCGGGATGGGGGAAGCAGCAGCCTCCCCGCCCCACCCGGTGCGCGGACCTACAGCGAGCAACCCGGCGGGTTTCTGGCGGCGGGCAGGCGCTGCCAGCTCCCAGCCTTCGCCCCGGGGGTGGCTCCGGAGGGGCAGGACCCTGCCCCCAACTCCAGGACCCTCGCCCGGACCCCAGGCGCAGCCGGAGCACCCAGCGCTGGAGTGAGCCGCAGGCAGGTTGGTTCCATGGCAAATACAGTAAAAGAAATAAAGCGCCCCCGGCCCAGCCGTGGGGGTGCGGGCCCCGGAGGCTACCCTTCGAGGTGGCCTCGACAAGGCTGCAGGGCCCCAAGGTCCGAGCCTTGGAGGTGCCATCCGCCCGTCTCAAGTTTGCGCGGCACGGGCTAGGCATGCAGGCTCCGGCTCCCCGGCCCGCGCGCTCCGACGGTGGCGCCCGCAGCCCGCTCGAGGCCAGCTTGGGTGGAAAGGGCGGGGCCCCGCTTTCGCCCCACCCCCGCCCCGCTCAGCCAATGGCCAGAGGCGCCCAGCCCCACGTGAGGCGAGCCGGGCCAGGCGGCAGGCAAAATGTGAATGAGAAAGAGGAGCGCGATTTAAAGGTGCTGGCTGCGCCCGCCGGAGATAAGTACGCCGGCTTCGCGCGCTCCCCAGCGGCCCGCGGGAGGCGACGGACGGCGGGACGGACGGACGGACGGCAGCTTACCGGGGCCGAGGGCCAAACCCGCGAAGCGCGCGGGCTCCGACGGGCAAGCGGCGGACGGGGGCTCCGGCGAGCCCTCGGGGCCCGGGCGCCCTCTCCACTCCGGGGCGCACGGCCTCACCCCGCACACCCCCTGCACCCGCCCGGCATGCAGCGGGCCCAGGACTGAGGGGCGGAGGCGTCTGCTCTCCGGGTCCCGCTCGGCCCCTGCCCGGCGCTCCCGGCGGTGCTCCCGGCGTCCGGCGGGCTTCCCGGCGGCGGCGCGGCGCGGGGACTTTTCGCCTCTCGCTGGCCTCTACCGAGCGCGTCTATGAGCGCAGCGTTCCCGCCGTCGCTGATGATGATGCAGCGCCCGCTGGGGAGTAGCACCGCCTTCAGCATAGACTCGCTGATCGGCAGCCCGCCGCAGCCCAGCCCCGGCCATTTCGTCTACACCGGCTACCCCATGTTCATGCCCTACCGGCCGGTAGTGCTGCCGCCGCCGCCGCCGCCGCCGCCCGCGCTGCCCCAGGCCGCGCTGCAGCCAGCGCTGCCGCCCGCACACCCTCACCACCAGATCCCCAGCCTGCCCACAGGCTTCTGCTCCAGCCTGGCGCAGGGCATGGCGCTCACCTCTACGCTCATGGCCACGCTCCCCGGCGGCTTCTCCGCGTCGCCCCAGCACCAGGAGGCGGCAGCGGCCCGCAAGTTCGCGCCGCAGCCGCTGCCCGGCGGCGGTAACTTCGACAAGGCGGAGGCGCTGCAGGCTGACGCGGAGGACGGCAAAGGCTTCCTGGCCAAAGAGGGCTCGCTGCTCGCCTTCTCCGCGGCCGAGACGGTGCAGGCTTCGCTCGGTGAGTCGGCGGCGCGCGCAGCCGGGACGAGGGGGCGGGAGGAGGCGGGGGCGGGCCAGCGCCGGGTTCCCGCGGGAGACCAAGGGGGCGAGGCCGCGCCCCCGCTCGACCCCCGCGGGAGGAGCTGGAGGATGAGGCCCGGCTGTGCCGCTGGGCCTCCGGGGGACATTCAGAGCCACCCAACAAGCGGGGTCTCGGGAGGGGGGGCGTTTAGCGCCCGGCGACCAGCTGCTGCCCTGGGCCACATATCTATCTGACGATGCGTTTGGCCGAGGCCGCCTCTGCCGCTCCGCGGTGACCTGGGGTTCCGGGTAGGTTGCAGCCTCTAGGGGAGACGGGTTGGGCTGCGCGTCTCAGCCGTGCGTGTGCCCAGGGGCGCCCAGACTTTTTAAACCCCTTCGCTGGTCTTGCTACTTGTCTGGGAGAAACGGACTGCTGGGAGGCTGTGCCTGTGTGTTTGTGTTGGGGGTGTCTGGTGGGAACTTATAAGGCCACAAAACATCCCTTTGACCAACGTTGTCTGTCTCAAAAAAGATGGTCTGGGATCTGCACGTCCCTACGCCTCCACTCCGGTTAGGAAGCAATTGAGGTTCACTACATTTTCATGGTGGCGGTGGGGGGAGGATGAATCGTGAATCCCCCCATCAGTCCTCAACCAGTCCCCACCCCAGGGACAAAGCGGGCAATCTCTTGGGCCTCGCGCCTCCTGCTACTTCTCCTGACGCTGCCGAGGCTGGGAGGGTGCGGGGGAGGCATGGCGGCCCTTTGAGTGATGGTTCTGGGCAAAGGGCCGTCGCCTGTACTGCCTCCTCTCCTTTGAGCTTTCTCACGCTCCCCCCACCCCTCCTCTACCCCTCAAAGGCCAGGAAATCACAATGTGTTAATGTCATAGAAAGACAATCCGCTAAAGGGTGGGGGGCGGGGGGCGCGGAATGTCCAAATGACGGTGGGAAGGAGAAAGGAAGGCCAGTGTGCGAAATGTAATAAAATGCCGTTTGGTTTTGCTTTCAGTCGGGGCTGTCCGAGGGCAAGGGAAAGACGAGTCAAAGGTGGAAGACGACCCGAAGGGCAAGGAGGAGAGCTTCTCGCTGGAGAGCGATGTGGACTACAGCTCGGATGACAATCTGACTGGCCAGGCAGCTCACAAGGAGGAAGACCCGGGCCACGCGCTGGAGGAGACCCCGCCGAGCAGCGGCGCCGCGGGCAGCACCACGTCTACGGGCAAGAACCGGCGGCGGCGGACTGCCTTCACCAGCGAGCAGCTGCTGGAGCTAGAGAAGGAGTTCCACTGCAAAAAGTACCTCTCCTTGACCGAGCGCTCGCAGATCGCCCACGCCCTCAAACTCAGCGAGGTGCAGGTGAAAATCTGGTTCCAGAACCGACGGGCCAAGTGGAAACGGGTGAAGGCAGGCAATGCCAATTCCAAGACAGGGGAGCCCTCCCGGAACCCTAAGATCGTCGTCCCCATCCCTGTCCACGTCAGCAGGTTCGCTATCAGAAGTCAGCATCAGCAGCTAGAACAGGCCCGGCCCTGAGGGTCCAGAAGGGCCAGGGCCTGGCACCCACCTGGAGAAGCCCCCGCACCCGAGGGAACCCATGGTGGACTCCACTGTGTTTGAAGCAACAAAGTCACAGCCCAGCTGTGGCCATCCCAAGCAAATTGAGAATATATTCACTAAATGGGCTTAAAAGACTGCTTTTGAAGGGGCTTACAGCCACACCAGAAGACACGCTAAATATTTATTATACTATCCTACTTTGTACATAAATATCTCTATAGACTGGATCTCAGCTGCAGTATTTTGAAAGTTATAGGACTTAATTACCCAGTAATTTCTCCACTCATTCCAGAAGAAAACAAAACCTCTGCTGTAATCTGCGCGGTTAGCAGCCACCTTTCCATACTTTTCCAAAGGTAAACGTGAAACCCAAGAACAAGCACTGGGGTTTAAACTGATTTTGGTTTGCGTTCTGGCTTTTTGAGTTGACTGAAAAGCAGACATTGTTAGGCAGCCTGGAAATTCGCTTTGCTTTGCTTTGCTTTTGCCTGGCTTTGGTTTCCCCTGGGGTTGCCTATCCTATCTGAGCCATGTGAAGCACGTCTCCGTTGTGTTAATTTATTTCAATGTAGC
Source organism: Homo sapiens (assembly GCF_000001405.40). NCBI lineage: Eukaryota > Metazoa > Chordata > Mammalia > Primates > Hominidae > Homo > Homo sapiens. The sequence goes on along the minus strand of NC_000002.12, from coordinate 236,165,316 downwards.
TTATTTTCTTATAAGTTATGACATTTAAACAATTTCAGTCTTGTGAATAATAAAAAGGAGAGAGGGGGGGAAAAAGACCAATCCCTGGGCCTCATAAGTGTGTCCAGAATTTGACCGTCCCGGGCACTGCCAGGGTGTGGCCGGGCAACTGGTCTGGGACCAGTACTGGAGAAACGTCCCCTGAAACAGGTCTCCTTAGGCATCCTGGACTTGAGCCACCCAGCACTTTGCCAGGTTTAAAATAGGAGGGCAAGAGGGCCGATAGGATTACGAATTTAAGAAAACCTAATTCTCACCTTAGAAATCTATCTCCCCCTTTTGCACAGCCTAATCGATACCTAGTAGGCCGGCAAACTTCGGCCAGAGGAGGAGGTGGGTGCCCGGAGGAGGCAAGCGAGTGCGGGTATTGGTGGCTTTGCACAAACTCCTGATGCTCCAAATCGACTACAGCCAGGGAGGAAACGTCTTTCCTTTACAAATATCTCCGGCCCGAAAAGAAGCGGTGCTCGCCTGCCGGCAGAGTGGAGGGTCCATAAATCAGGCTCCGGGCGTTATCTGGCGACAGGAGCAAAAACCCAGCGAGCCCAGCCGGCTTCCCGGCAGCCCTCAGTCGGAGGCGGAGGCTGGCTGGAGCGCCCCCGGCCCCGGCACCTCCCCCTCCGGGCGGGGTCGAGGGGGCGGGACCCGGGCACCGCCCCACCCCAAGGACGCCCCGGTAGTCCGCACCACAAAGGGGGAAAACGGGAGAGGCTACGCAGGGGAGCTGGGAGTCGGTCTGCAAGGGACGGGGAGCTGCGCGCCTCCCCATCTCGGTGGGGCGTGCCTGGTCCCCAAGCCCACTCCTGTCCCAACCCCGGCCCTGCGCTCAGAGCCCTGTCCGCTCGCTGCCGGACCCCGAAGCGCGCCGCCAGATACTGCGGCGGACAGGCCCAGGGGCGTTCAGCGGGCCAGCGAGTGTGAGCGTGGTGCCACCAAGCCAGCAGCCCGAAGCGCGAGAGAAGCCGGGGCTTCGCCAGCCTCAGCCTTTCGAGTGGGGGAAGGAGGGGAGGCCGGTGAGCCGCTGCGATGCAGCGGCGCTCGGCCCTCGGCGAGGTTCTCAGCCGAAGAAGGGGAAGCGCGGCCCGCCATGGGTTAGTACTAATATTGACTTAATTTTTACTACTTACAGGCCGTCACCTCCCCACGGCGGAGGGGCCTGGGGACCAAGACCTCCACCCAAACTTCAGGCGCAGGGTGAAGGCTGGGAGCGACCGAGTCACCCTTTCCCGCCGCGTTCCCAACAGTTCCGGTGGCGGAAAATGGCCCAGACTTGGTTTTCGAGCCCAATAAAATAGAAGGGCCAGTCCTCCGAGGGCGTCGGCCGGCTCTGCGGGGCGCCGAGAGCCGCAGAGGCTCCTGGCCGCGCCCCGCCCAGCGCCATGAAGCCTGGCAGGGAGGGGATGGCGCCCGGGTCGCGCCCTGGCCTGGCGCGGGGGCCGCAAGGCCGGGATCCCGCCCGCCAGGAAGCGCTGAGTGCAGGTTGCCGGTGAGCGCCTGCTGCTCGGGGCAGGTACCCACTGGCCACACGACGCTGCTGCAGCATTCGAGGCCCGCAGGGACGCCGTCCCCCGACCCACACACCTGAGCCAGTCTGCGCGTGGCTGGGGGCGAAGAGTTTACCCGGGAAGGTTGGGGAGCTGCGGCCTCTGCCCCGCCGGCCCTGCGGGTCGGGGGAAGAGACCCTGGCACTCCCCGCAGATCCTGGAGTGCCCCCCATATCCCCTTCCACCATAACAGGTGTAACCCCACCCGCCTTCTCCAAAAGCCCATGGCAGGGATGAGGGGCAGAGGGACCCGAAGCTTTGACCGCACAAACCCGGCGGGAAAGCGAAGCCCACTAGGAACCGGAGGCCGCCGTCAGGAAGCCCCGCTCCTGGGACCGAGCTCCGGGCCCTCCCAGCCTCGAGGTCCTCGCCCTATGGAGGCACGAGGAGGAGAGGGCCCGAGCTCCCCAAGCTGGCCGATGCCGCCCTCCCTCCTGCTCCTCGGGGCGCTGACCCCCTCCCTCCCTAACCCCTGAGCCCCGGGGCGCCCCCGAGAGCCCGGCAGGGAGGCCAAGGCCCGGGAGACAGGCCGAGGGGAGGAAGATAAACAAGCAGCGCTTGATGGCCGCTGTCATCATGGCCGTCATCATGGCTTTCATTTGGCTGCCTAATGAGTCACATCACAGGCAGAGAGAAAAATTGTCAATCGCCCGGGCCCTAATGAATTTTTTTGCAAATTGTAATCAAGCCAGGCCGTCTCAGCTGGCTGATTAATGAGACCCACGAGGCTCGGCCAGCACCTCAGCTTTTTATTCCATCCCGTCCTCCCTGCACTAAATTAACAGCAACTTGTCTGAGCTTCAAATTAACTCCCAATGATTAATTCTGATGGGGGGGCCTGAAGAATAGCTTGTTCTAATAGGCTCTGGCCTGAGATGCTGTTGGAAATTAATACACTTCCCCTTTGGCTGCCGGCTTTAATCCAAGGTTGGGTTTTGACATCACTATATTTGTTGTTACAATAAATTCCACTTACATCTGCAGATCAAATAATTACACTTGGGAGCTCCTTGGACCTGCGCCCCCCAGCCGTGCACTGGGACGCCTCAGGGCTGCCTGCACCCCGCAGCCACCGACCCAGGCAGAGGTCGGAGGGGGGCCACAAGAACAGTCACTCCACCCAGTGACTGCCTTTGCTCCCTGGCAAGCCAGGCACCCCTGCCCCATTGGAGAACCCAAGGTATGCTGAAAATCCGCAGCCATCTCCCTGTTCTTGGGGCAGGACCCTCTTTAGTTTGGTCCTGGGCCTCAAGCAACTTCCCCTTCCAGAAGGAGCCCAGGACTACCTTCCCAGCAGCCGGGACCCACCTGCACTGGAAGCTGCTCAAATCCCAACCTGCGCTGGAATTTTCGAGACTTAGTGCATGCTTGTGCATCCAGCCTTTGCTTCCTGTCTTCAGCCCCCTGGGTGGTTCTTTCACAGATGCCTTGTCAGCTAAATGGAGAGCAGGGAGTGGCCCCCCCAGGCTTTTTTGAGCCCGGGTTTGCCTCGGAGGACATCCTGACTCTATGGCTGTCTGTGCGTCTGGCCTTCAGCCTAGGTGCTTGTACAAGCCTGGGCACATCGCTGGTACCTGCATTCCAAGACACCCTTTCTCTCAGGGTCAGCACCCTCTCCCTCTTGTTTCTGTTTGTTTGAGCTTAATGGGCTTAATTATTTCAGCTGCATCTGGTGAAGCTCGCACAGGGCTTCCAAGGCTGCTCCCTCCAGCCCCAGACCTGTCTGGAACAGAGTCCCATGTTATGCCCCATGGCGGGTGGTTCTAGGTGCACTGAAAGCCGGGAGTGACCTTCTAGCTTTCCGGCCTCAGGAGCCTTTGGATCACACTCTGGTTCTCACCTCGGGGCCTTCCTAGTCCCAAGTGGCTGGAGCCCACGCATTCAGCAGCGCGGGCAGCAGAGACCCTCTCGGGGCCCTCTTCTTTCCCCTGCTGGACTTCAGTGGCGGTGTGGCAGAGTGGCTCGCTTATGCCCAGCCGTGGCTTCCCAGGGAAGGAGGCTCCAGTGCACACACCTATTTCTGTCCCCAGAGACCCCAGGCATCTGCCCAGGCATGCACAGCCAGAGCAGGTGGCCTGCTCCGACCTTCTGGCCGCTGGGTCCTCCCAGGCAGCTTCAGCGCAGTGCTCAGGGCCCAGTTCCAGGGTAGCAGGGCTCTGGGGTCTTGGGGGAAGCTAAGGCCGGGGTTCTACAGGGACAGCCCAGACGAAGGGAGGTGGCATTCATCTTCATTTTAGGCCCTTAGGGTGTAAACAGGAGAAATATGATCTTGGTAACCAAACATGAATGCAAATCACACCGGCAGAGTAATAAAGCACCTGAAACCCCAACGCACATAAGCAACACCATATGTATGTAGACAACCTGCATAAATTATAAATTACATCATCAAAACCGATTGTCTATTTGAACAGTTCAGAAGTGGGGGCCTAAGCCGACTTCCGCCCTGCCCTCCGTGGCTTTGGGGAAAGGTCAAGCCGCAGTTCCCCTGGACAGGCGGGACTCCCGGCAGCGCTGCGCTGCGCTGAGGCCTGGCTGGCACAGGGGCCTGGGAGACAGGCAGCACACTTTGTCACTGCAGGCGGCAGGCTCTGCTCCGCTGGGGCAGAGGGAGGGTGGGGGGACAGGCCCATGCATTTGGGAGCTGCGGGAGGACCCAGGCTTCTTGGACTGGGGGGCCAATGGCAGATCATGGCTTGGTGGGGGTCCCACCCCCAGAGAGGCTGCCCCTTGACCCAGGCCCTTGCGGCCCATGCCTGGTGCTGCTGCCCTGGAACCCGCTCAGATTTTCCAGCTTGAACTCAAAGGTCCCTGTGAGCGCCTCCTTTGGTCCCCACGGAGTGGCTCTGTGATGAGCAGCGGTGTGAGTGTGCGTGTGTGGGCGGGTGCGCAACTGCTTGAGTCTGTGTGGGTGTGAGCAGGTGACAGTGGGAGTGTGTGTGTGCATGTGCCATTCCCTTTCACGTCCAACCCTCGCTTTGCCGGGTTTCTCCACATTCCCAATAGCCAAGGGTCCGACCCCACTGGGGGAGCCAAAAATGCTGCCCCCAGGCACCCAGCAAAGCTGAACGCCCCCTGTGCCCCTGAGCCCGTCCCTGTGGACTGCTCCCTCTCAGTGTATCCATGCAGCGGCGGGAAGCCCCTCCCCCCATTCCTTCTCCTCTGCCTAGAGGACTCTCGCACCCCCCACCACTCTTGTCTGTGACTCCCACCCGGCATCCTGCAGTCCACTTTCCCCCCACCGCCAGGGTTTGGCCTCTGAGCTTTCTCCACATACCCCAAACCTCCAACGCATGGAGCACCCCCCGCTTTCTGTCCCTGGGTTGACCCCCTCCGCAGTTCACACTGCCCCCACCCCCACCTGGACCTCAGAGCTCTTCCCGGGTCTGGCCTATGGGCTGTTCCGGCTCCCCACCTCGGCAGCCCACCATCAACACCCTAGCCTCCACCGCGAGGCCCCCCTACACACACACACACACACACACACACACACACTCTTAGGGCTCCTAAACTGACTCCCAGCACCCCCCTCCCCAGCCCACCCGCTTCGTGCCGCGGTCGGGTACACCCTCATCCCCTCTCTGGAACAGGCACCGAAGGACGCCAGTGTGCGGCCCAGAGCTGCACGTGCTAGGCTAGGGCGAGGGAAACCGAGGCCAGGGTAGCCCAGGGGTAGGCCTCCAGGCCTGGTCCTGCAGGAAGCCGTGCACCCCGTGGGCCTCGAGGGAGAGAGGCAGGAGGCCCGGCTGCGCTACCAGCCTGGCGGCTCGGACACTCAGGGAGGCAGGGAGGCCGTCGGGGGGCGCGGCGGCCCATCTCGGGCGACCTTGTTCTCCTGATACTCCCGGGGGCCTGAGACCGAAACCGGGGGCCGAGCCCCGAGGGCGCGCCCACGGCTCGAGAGCGGCCTGGGCCCGAGGCAAAAGCCTGAGGCAGGGCCGGGCCCGGGGTGGGGGGGCGGACGTCACTCCGGGCACCCACCCCCAAAGCCTTCATCTCTTTATTTCACAGCCACTGGGTCCCTGGCGGCCTTTGTCATGCCGGTGCGTCTCTGGTGTGGCCGCCTTCGTCCTAAAGGGCCCGGCCCCCCAGCTTCTGCCCCGCGGCCTCCTGAATGACAATGGCTGAAATGGGATTACACCGACATGATCCTATTAAGCCTGACCGCTAGCGGCCGGGCCCCCAGCCAGGGCCCGGGAGAACACGGATCTCCCACCCCCACCTTCTCGCGTTCCCCTTCTCCCCGCCCCCCATCCGACTTGCCCGATGCACCTGGCTCGGCGGGGACCCGGCAGAGAGCTGAGCGCCATGAGGGTTTGGAAGTGGCCGCCTGACCCCAGGAAGAGAGTGGCACCCCGGCTCTGAATAACAAAAGCCGAGCCTGACCAGGCCGAGGAAGGAAAGAAAGGAGGAGCAGACCCCACCCCAGCCTGGCCGGGCCTCCGAGCGTGCAGAGGTGTGTGCAGTCCAGACTGCCAGAAGCCATGCTTGGTGGCTCTGCGTGGCAGCCTCCGAGGCACCTCTCCCACCGCGCCAGCTGGGGCCTGGGATGCGATAGAAATGAGAAAGAGGTGTCCCTGCACCCAGCACCTTACCTGCCCTCCGGTATGGCACAGCCGCCCAGAGGCAAGAGTGAGGGTCCCTTTCTGCAGACAGAGCAACCAGACCTGGGCAGGGGACTCGGGCTGGGCCGCACTTGCAGCGGGAACCGGCCTGGATCCCTCCAAATCCTGACCTCGTCCCCTCCCACAAGCCTTGGGTTCTGAGCCAAGGCCACTGGCACTGACTTCTTTCCAGGGTCAGGGGCCAAGGCAGAGCCCCTGGCCTGTGGGGGAAGGGTGGGACAGTGGACGCCTGTCCTGGGAGAGGGGAGAGGCAGAGCTTTGACCACCCCTGCTGTTGGATACCGGACAGTGCTGGGGGGAAGCTGCAGATGTTTGCTCTTGTTTCAAGTTTTCCTTTTCCTTCTCTTCTCAGCTGAGTTCATCATCATTATCTGAAGTTGGATAGAAATTGTGGGAGAGGTGCAACAGCTGGGTCCAGAGGCCAGAGAGGCGTCTGCTCCTGGCAGAGGCTCCCCTTAGCTAACCCGATCAAAACACTCCACCCAGCGGAACCTGCACTTCTTCCCCTTTGCTTCTAGGGCACAGGTGTACAGCCTTCCAGACAGCTTGGTTTCTGGGGAGGGGAATGGTGTAGTAGAGATGAAGTGCATGATAACATCACACCACACGAGCGGCCCACTCAGGCCTAGGTGCACAGCTTTGAACTCAGACCACCTGACTTTCCATCCTCAGGTGATTAACTCTCCAAGTCTCAGTTTCCTCCTCAGCACCAGCTGGTCCAATGCAAGCAAAGGGTGCCGTGCCAAGCTGGGCACACAGTGAGTGCCGGTCACCATCAGCCACTGTTTCTCTCGCCACCCACACAGAGGCTGGCTCTTCTGCTGAAGAATGAACAGAAACAAGGCTCCAGGGCAGTCCTCCTGTGTGGCTCCACCTTGGTTAGGGTTTGCTGTGTGTCTGGTTCAGGTTCTCCCATGACAGCCCCTCCACCTGCTCAACCCAGGTCTGTCTTGCCACATTTTAAGGCCGTGTCATTCAATCCTATCCTTTGTGGAGATGGTTTGGAATTCATAGTAGCATCTTTACTCACTTGGCAAACAGGCTTCAGATCCTCTGCTGGTGCCCTCCGCCTGAGGAGCCTGAGGTCTGTGGAAGGAGATGGCGCTGTGGGCTGGTGACCCGGAGGTGTTTCCGTAGGATGGCTACGCACCTCTTTAACCCCTATATACCATCTCAGCTCAGTTTCCCCCACAAAACCAGAGGGTCTCAATTATCTTCATGTTCTATCTTATTGGACCTACTTTGATATCTTAGATTCAGAGGCAGAGGGGTCCCTGGGGTTGGCACAGGGTAGAGGCAGGATTCAGGCTCTGTCTTATTCTTAGTCCTGGCAGGGGAGGTCTCAATGAAGGTATCAATTATGAATAATGAAGTGTCATTTCAGAAAGGCCTTTTCCATTCCTAGTATTTGCACAAATCCTCCTTTGCACAGGGTCACCCACCTCCCTCAAAGGTGCCTGGTGGATTAGTTAGAAAGATGGCAGGAGCCCAAGCATTGCAAAAGCTAAGATAAGAATTTCAACCCTGTGTTGTCACCATCCTTAGTCAAAGAATCTCCAAACTGGGTAAGATCCCTCCAGATGAATCATTTGATTTTCCGGTAACTTGGGGCTCCGAGCCGCCTGGATGCAGAATGTCGACCCTAATGTGATCATTCAGAGCGTTTCTATTACCAAAGCAGTCACTTCACACATATGTATGTGAGTATTACTTTTGAACCTGAGGTTATTGATCATTTCGAATATGTTTATCAATTGTCTTGAAGTGGATTTCCATTTTCTATGACCACAGCTGGAATTTTTCCCCCAATAATTTTCACATTTCAGCATTTTGAAAGCTATAAATTGCCAGAAAAGAATGATAATCACCCATCTTTAAATGAGAAATTGTTAATTTGGGATTTATAAAGGACTTTCTTTAATGAATAGTAGTGAAGACAGATTTGTCTTCCCGCCTCATTTTGCAAAGTCACATTTGTGAAGTCAGGAGATTTCCATTCTTCCTCTAATTACTCTCTCCCTCCAGCAGGCCTGCAGCGAAGGAGAGGCCACCGGGGGCGAACTGGGTGGACTGTGGCAGTGCCCTTGGTCCCGAGTGGGTGGCAGCCATACAGAGGATCGGGGGCTGTCCTCTGGTTACCCCCACACCACCTACAGGCAGGGTTTTACCACCGGGACTGTGGGCACTGGCACAGGACAATTCTTTGTGGTGTGGGACTGCCCATGACTGCCAGAGGGGCACCCTGTCATGTGACAGCCAAAAGTGCCCCAAAGGAAAGCAGACCTGTCCCCAGTTAAGTGTCCTCTGCTGGCACTGTGCTAGGCATGAGGGGCTGACAGGCGCCTGTGTGCAACACATGCCCTCAGGCGTTCAGAACCCACGGGGAAGACAGGTAGAACCCAGTGTGAGGAGACCAGTATGCCCTGAGTTCACACAGGGGCCTCATCCCCAGCGTGGATGAGAAAGGTGCTCAGGGCCAGAGAGCCCTGGGTGGAGGCTGTGGGATGAGCAGATGTCACCCCAGGGAATGACTTTGCAGTGGAGATGCTTTGGGACCCCATGGCCTGGAGTCAACATAACGGGGTTTGCGTTCAGGCCTCAATCAGACTGGCCACCTGGAGCTCTGTGCCCAGAGGCCTCCAAGTTCACCGGTTCCTCCCCGCAGGTGCCCTCTGGGCTCTGGCGGTCCTGCTCTCCCGGGGATCTTCACTCTGCCTCTGAAGCTCTGGGAGTGATTTGGCCCATTTGAGCTCAGTGATTGCAACCAACCAGAGCTGGGGCAGTGGCTGAGGGATCCTGGCCCTGCGGGCACCCGGGTTTCACAGCTGACACTGAACGCAGGGCGAGTCCTCAGGGCTGGGCCTGGCCAGTTCTGTGCAGCGAGGCCCTCCCTCTTTTCTCAAGGCTCCTCCTCTCCTCTGCCAAGGTTGGACAGCACTTACTTGGTTCAAGGGCCACTTCCTTGGGCTCAGGACCCTCCGGTGTGTCAGGGGCATGAGGGCCTTCCTGGGGGTCTGCTCTGGTCACCCAGAGCTCTCGAGGTGGCTGTGCTGACCCCACAGGCCTTTGGAATGCTTTCTCAAGATGAATGAATGAATAGTAGATGATGATGATGATGATAATAAATTTTAAAAAATAATAATAACCCTTCCTCCCCACATTACCCAGCCTCAGCCACCTGACAGCTAAGGAAGCAGTCTAATTTGGAGTCATTTAGCGAAGTCCTTGGTGAGGGCAAGTCTACAATTTCTGAGTAATTCAGCACATTAAGCCCACAGGCTGCCTGCACCCTGGCACTCCAGCGCTCCAGCTGGAGGAATTAGATGAGGTTTTCTGGAAAGTTTCTCATTGACATGATTTCTACTTGACAGAGATGCCTTGGTCTGAAAATCCTGATTTAGTAAGATGAGCCCCCTTCCTTGTCCAGCCCTCTGTTAGACCCTCCAGATGCAAGCAGGGAGTGGTTCCAGATGTTCAGCCCTGTCCACCTTCTCCCTTCCTTTCCCTTCCAGAGCAGATGAAACCAACTCTGCTGGGGCCCTCAGAGGAGACTGGAGTCAGCAGGGAGACCAGTGGGCACGGGGTGGGAGGACAAGGATCGCAAAGATGTCAGCGCTCCCCAAACTCATTTATTAGTTCAATGCAATCCCAATCAGATCCCAGTAGAGTTATCTTGGAAGCTTGACCAAATGGTTCTAAAGCACGTCTGGAAGAATAAACATATGAATCCAGCTGGAGAATTTTTAAAGAGACACATAATGAAGAGGGGCATTTGCTTCAATAGGGGTGATTGCCCAGTGTGCACGGGTGATGGGCACTCTTCCTAGCACTTGACCTTGAAGCTCACAACAACCCTAGGAAGTAGGTATTACCTTTAACCATACAAAATTGCTGGTATTTGATGATTTTGAGGCCTATGAAATGGCAATTTTCTATTATTGTCATCTAAGTTTTGCAAAACCAAGGCACAGAGAAAATAAGAACTGGTCCAAGGTCTCACAGCGCCATTGGTAGATCCGGAATTTAAACCCAGATAGGTTGGCTGCACGGCTTGTGCTCATAAGATTACGTTATATAATCAACAGATTATGTTACTCAGAGATAGACTCTAGAATAGATGAAAAATTAATCTATGATAAGGAAACCTCTGCAAATTTGTGGAAAAGGAAAAATTGTTGCATATATGATATTTGGAAAAACTGGCTAATTGGAGGGAAAGATGGAACAATCTTCACCTCCCACTTTGCCGCAGATCAATTACAGATGGATTAAAGTATTCAGTGTATAAAAGGAAACCTTTAAAACTATGAAAGAGGATTAGCTGGATAATTATCTGCTGTGTGGGGATGACACAAGGGAAGAATAGCAAAGCTGTCTACATAAAAAACAGAGGTTTCTGTGCATTCCAAAGATCAAAAACAATGAAAAATACAAGGAACAATTGGGAAAAATGCTTGTCAGAAACATGACAAGGTGAATTAGTATGTTTCTACATAAAGAGCTAGAATGAAAGAGAAAGAAAATTGGGAAAGGGCATGGATGGCCAGTTCATGGACGGTGAAAAGCAAATGCATTGATTCCACAAATATATGTGGGGCGGTCATGACTTGTCAGATACCGTTCTGGTCTTGGGGATGGAGCTTGCATTCTATGGGGTGAGGCTGATGCTAAACAAACCAACAGGTGATATGTGATATAATGTCAGGTATTATGAAGACATGTAAGTGACAGGAAGGAGAATAAGGCACAGTAAGGGGGTAGGGAGTGGAAGGGGCTATTTTAGATGAAGAGATCAGGGACCATCTTGCTGATAGGGTGACTGTTGGGTAACTTTTTGAAAGAAGCAAGGGGCCGGGCACGGTGTTTCACGCCTGTAATCTCAGCACTTTGGGAGGCCGAGGCGGGCAGATCACTTGAGGTCAGGAGTTCAAGACCAGCCTGGCCAACACGGTGAAACTCCGTTTTTACTAAAAATACAAAAATTAGCTGTCTGTGGTGTCACATGCCTGTAGTCCCAGCTACTCGGGAGGCTAAGGCAGGAGACTAACTTGAACCTGGAAGATGGAGGTTGCAATGAGCCAAGATTGCCCCACTGCACCCCCAGCCTGGGCAACAGAGTGAAACTTTGTCTCAAAAAAAAAAAAAAAAAAAGAAAAGAAAAGAAAAAAAGAAAGAAAGAAGCAAGGGCTCAGGAAATGCACAGATCTGGGGGAAGAACATTCCAGGCAGAGGGACAGGCAATGAGACTAATGTGACTGGGTAAACTGCGCAAGGAGGAGAGTGATGAATGATGGGTTCACAGAGGTAGCCAGACACTTCATCATGTTTGATCCTGAGGAGGTTTGGAGGCTCTGCAAAGAAGTTTGAATTTTATTTCAAGTGGTACAGGAAGACATTAGTGGAGTTAGAGCAGACGAGTGCATTTTTTTCCTTATTTGTTAATAAACATATAAAATTGTTCCAACTCAGACAGATAAAAATTAAAACCAAAATGAAATATCAAAAAATTTTAAGACTGGACACTGAAATGGTGCAGTTAGATGGACACTTGTCCATGTCTGGAGGAAATACATCTGCTTACTAAATCAATAAATAGTCATTGAGCATCCATCATGAGCCATGAGCCAGATAATGTTTTGTTTTGTTCTTTTTTTAGAGACAGGGTCTCACTCTGTCACCCAGGCTGAAGTGCAGCCATATGTCAAACTTCTGGCTTCAAGCAATCCCCACCTCTTCACCTCCCAAAGTGCTGGAATTACAGGCATAAACCACCATGCCCTTCCAAGCCAGATAATCTTTGGGGGGTTTGGGGAGGCAGCAACAGACAAAAGAGACAAGGGATCTGTGTTCAGAAGGTAGAGCAAAAAATGTTCTCTCAGTCTATTTTATATTTGTTAAACAATAAGCAATATACTTTACTATCAAAAACAGTAATGGGGTGGTCTGAGTGCAGTGGTGTTTACAACTAATTGATCACAATGAGTTACAGATTATTTTGTTCCTTCTCCATTATGACTGCTTCCCTTGACTAGCCTTACTAAAAAGAAAATAGGAAAACTATTATTACTTTTATTCAGCATTGTTACTATATATCATAACCAAAGCAATAAGATAAGAAAAATAAATAAAAGGCATAGGATGAAGAAGGGGAAAGTCAAAGCATATTAATGAAAGATACATTTAAAACCAACAAAAATATAAAGCGCATAGGAAAAATTATAACTTTTTTTCAGTGACATGAAAGAACATCAGACTAGATGGAGAGAGACACCACAGTTTTGGGCAGAAAGATGCAATGTCATAAGCATGTCAGTTATTCCTAGACTGGGTTATAACATTCAGTGGGATACCAATCAAAACCCCTGAAGGTATTCGAGGAGCTTGGATTAAGAATTACCTTGACCTGGCTGGGAGCTGTGGCTCAGGCCTGTAATCCCAGCACTTTGGGAGGCTGAGGCAGGCGAATGAGGAGTTTGAGACCAGCCTGGCCAACATGGTGAAACCCCGTCTCTACTAAGAGTACAAAAAATTAGCTGGGCATGGTGGCAAATGCTTGTAATCCCAGCTACTTGGGAGCTGAGGCAGGAGAATTGCTTGAACCCGGGAGGTGGAGGTTGCAGTTAGCCAAGATTGTGCCATTGCACTCCAGCCTGGGCAAGAAGAGCAAAACTCTGTCTCAAAAAAAAAAAACCAAAAAACGAATAGCCTTGACCCATGAGAAGAGGAAGATAAGATGATGAAGGATGAAATATCCTGCCAGATATCAAGACTTGTAGGCCGGGCGCGGTGGCTCATGCCTGTAATCCCAGCTCTTTGGGAGGCCAAGGCGGGTGGATCACGAGGTCAGGAGATCGAGACCATCCTGGCTAACATGGTGAAACCCCGTCTCTACTAAAAATACAAAAAAATTAGCTGGGCTTGGTGGTGGGCACCTGTAGTCCCAGCTACTCGGGAGGCTGAGGCAGGAGAATGGTGTGAACCCAGGAGGTGGAGCTTGCAGTGAGCTGAGATCGCGCCACTGCAGTCCAGCCTGGGCGACAGAGCGAGACTCCACCTCAAAAAAAAAAAAAAAAAGACTTGTAAAGTTCTCTTAAGGAAGAAAGTGTAGTATTGACATGGGAATGAAGAAACCAGGTAAGGAAACAGAAGGAAAGGGCCAATATATATACCCCATGCATCTCTGGAAACTTGATTTATGACAGAGATAATGGATTACCTTTTTTGTTTGTTTGTTTTTTGAGATGGAGTCTCACTTTTTTGCCCAGGCTGAAGTGCAGTGGTGTGATCTCGGCTCACTGCAACCTCCGCCTCCCAGGTTCAAGCAATTCTCCTGCCTCAGCCTTCCAAGTTGCTGGGATTACAGGCATGCACCACCACGCCTGGCTAATTTTTGTATTTTTAGTAGTGACAGGGTTTCACCATGTTGGCCAGGCTGGTCTCAAACTACCGACCTCAGGTGATCCACCTGCCTTGGCCTCCCAAAGTGCTGGGATTACAGGCATGAGCCACCATGTCTGGCCGTACTGGATTATCTTGCCAGGAAAAAAAAAACTCAACTGGAGGCTTCCCTCATACCACACACACAAATTAATTACAAGTAGATTAAAGACATCAATGTAAAAGGTAAATTTTTAAAAATTTTAGAAGAATATATTTTCTAGAGGAGAGGATTTTTCTTTCTTTTTAGAGACAGAGCCTTGCTCTGTCACCCAGGCTGGAGTGCAGAGCACTCTTGGCTCTCTGCAGCCTCGATCTTGCAGTATCAAGTGATCCTCCCACCTCAGCTTCCTGAGTAGCTGGGACTACAGGTGCGCACCACCACATCCAGCTAACTTTGTTCATTTTTTGTAAATATGAGGTCTCACTATGTTGTCTAGGCTGGTCTTGAACTCCTGGCCTCAAAGGATCCTCCTACCTCAGCCTCCTAAAGTGCTAGGATTACAGGCATGAGCCACCACACCTAACTGGGAGAGGATTTCTTAAACAGGATGTAAAAGCACTGTTCATCAAATGAGGGCAGTAAAAAAAAAAAAAAGCCACAAACTAGAAGAAAATATTTGCAAGGGGTTGGTCTAAACAATGATAAAGAACAGCTACTCATGACAAAGGAACAAATTAGTCCATATAAAATAGGAAAAAAAAAAAGTCTACAAATAGGGATTTCACAAACGAGAAACCATGCTTGGCAAGTACATTTATGAGTATATGCTCAATCTCATTTGTAATCAGAGAAATTCACACTAAAGCCATTTAATGAGATACCTTTATACATTCATTCATGGTATATACCATTATACATTCATCAGATTGGCAAAGATTAAAAAGCCTGACAATACCAAGTGATGGCAAAGATATGGAGTACCTGGAACTCTCATACATACTTGGGGATGTCAATTTGTACAACCACGTAAGAAAACAGTTTGGCTTTTGTACTGTGAAGTCAAACACATGCATATCCTACCACACAGCAACTCTACTCTTAGGGATGTATTCTAGAACAATGGTTTCAAACAGGGATGCACACAATGATTTTCCAAGGAGTTACAAGAAACTGACAGTCTTCAGGGAATCTATTCAGACAAACTTCCAAATGTCCTCTTCTCTACATTTCCCCTTTCCCGCTTCCCCTTTCACAAGTGATGATTTTCCTACCTTCCCTTTCCCATGCCTAAATCTTTTCTTTGATGAGTCAGCGCAGGTTGCAGAAAGTTCTAGATTGTCAGATTTAGGTGCACTGAGACATATTGATGTCAGAATTGAAAAAGTGAATGACTAGTGATTGCTTTATAAACCTATTGCAAGTCAGGTGGTTTTCAATGCATTGTGCTCAATGACATGGAAGAGGAAATAAGAAAGTTACCAGCTGGTATAATTTTTTTTTTTTTTTTGAAGTAGAATCTCACTCTGTCACCCAGGCTGGAGTGCAGTGGCATGATCTCAGCTCACTCCAACCTCTGCCTCCCAGGTTCAAGTGATTCTCATGCCTCAGCCTCGCGAGTAGCTGGGGCTACAGGCACAAACCACCACGCCAGCTAAGTTTTTGTACTTTTAGTAGAGACGGGGTTTCACCGTGTTGGCCAGGCTGGTCTCTAACTCCTGACCTCAGGTGATCTGCCTGCCTCGGCCTCCCAAAGTGCTGGGATTACAGGTGTGAGCCACCACGCTTGGCCAAAAATATTGTTTAATAATTTGAGAAATTAGGTCAGAGAAAGTTAAAATAAATTAAAAATTAATGCTATGAATTTTTTTCATAGCATATTTCCAGCATAGAGAATATGAGCAATAAATGGACTTTAAGGAAACAAATATTAAAATAAAAATTTGGGCCCGGCGTGGTGGCTCATGCTTGTAATCCCAGCACTTTGGGAGGCCGAGGTGGGCGGATCACTTGAGGTCAGGAGTTCAAGACCAGCCTGGCCAACATGGTGAAACCCTGTCTCTACTAAAGATACAAAAAGAGACTCTCTCCAAACAAAACAAAAAAAAAAAAAAAAAATTGAGGGAAGAATAAAATGAATATACAATTTCAAGAAAAAGAAATGGAGCAATGTAAGATTTCTGAGTGTTGAAGAGGCTGCTCATGAAGTTTCAAATTGGATACCAGGGACACTGCATTGGTGGCATTTGTATTCCCGCGTCCACACTTTAAAAAACGGTGTAGTTTGCTGGGCACGGTGGCTCACACCTGTAATCCCAGAACTTTGAGAGGCCAAGGCAGCCAGATCACTTGAGGCCAGGAGTTTGAGACCAGCCTGGCCACATGGTGAAACCCTATCTGTACTAAAAATACAAAAAAAATTAGTGGGGCATGTTGGCAGTTGCCCGTAATCTCAGCTACCTGGGAGGCTGAGGCAGGAGAATCCCTTGAGCCTCGGAGGCAGAGGTTGCAGTGAGCCAAGATCATGCCACTGCACTCCAGCCTGGGTGACAGAGTGAGACTCTGTCTCAAAAAAAAAAAAAAAAAAAAAAAAAGTGTAGCTTGAAGAGCTGTATTGCTGTGAAGAGGCTGGGCGTGGTGGCTCACACCTGCAATCCCAGCCCTTTGGGAGGCTGAAGCTGGAGGATCTCTTGAGCTCAGCAGTTTGAGACCAGCCTGTGCAACATAGTGAGATGAGACCCTATCTCTACTAAAAATAAAGATAAAAAAAATAGCCTGGTGTGGTGGCATGCACCTGTAGTCTCAGCTACTCAGGAGGCTGAGGTGAGAGGATCGCTTGAGCCTGGAAGATCAAGGCTGCAGTGAGCTATGATTGTGCCACCACCTGAGTGACAGAGGGAGATCCTGTCTCAAGATAAAAATAAAAAAGCCACTAAGAGAGGCAAATCGTATTTATTAACAATCAGGACTGGGCGCGATGGCTCATACCTGTAATCCCAGAACTTTGGGAGGCTGAGGCTGGTGGATCACCTGAGGTCGGGAGTTCGAGACCAGCCTGGCCAACATGGCGAAACCCCGTCTCTAATAAAAATACAAAAAATCAGCCAGGCATGGTGGTATGCGCCTGTAATCCCAGCTGCTCAAGAGGCTGAGGCAGAAGAATCGCTTGAACCCAGGAGGCAGAGGTTGCAGTGAACCGAGATCGCGCCACAGCACTCCAGCCTGGGCGATAGAGTGAGTGAGACTCCGTCTCAAAAACCAAAAACCAAAAACAAAACAAAACAAAACCTGATTAGGCCATTTCTTGCTTTAAATATTTGACAAAATTCCTAATACTTTGGTATTCCTAATTTTTTGTGTAGTACACTTGAAATATAATAAAATAAAATTATTTTATTTCAAAAATTAAAGGTTTGTGTAATTATCTTTAAATGTTAATATTTACAATGTGCCAAGATTATATATTTTTCAATGATTACAGGTATGATTTAAAAAACTGAGATTTCAACTTTAAAATATGAGAGTAGATACTCATTTTTCAAATTCTTTTAGGGAGTCCATGAGGGGCGAGTTGGAAGACCATAGACTTAGGGAAACTCTTGCACACTAGAAAAGTGTGTGAGAACATTCCTGGCAGCCTGGTTGGTGATGGTAAAAACTGGAAACTCGAATTGTGCTGCATTCTGGAATGGTACAAATGAATGAACTCCATTCAGTAATACACAACATGGACACATCTTGGAAAATCTGTTGAATGTAAAAAGAGAATGCTTCCAGTTTTATAGAGCTCAGAAATAAGCAAAAGTACTTGTTATGTATAATAACTGAACTATCTTTTAAAAAGCAAGGGAACAGCCTGGGCTCAGTGGCTTATGCCTGTAATCCTAGCACTTTGGGAGGCCAAGGGGGAACAGATCACCTCAGGTCAGGAGTTCGAGACCAGCCTGACCAACATGGTGAAACCTCGTCTCTACTAAAAATACAAAAACTAGTTGGGCGTGGTGGTGTACGCCTGTAATCCCAGCTATGTGGGAGGCTGAGGTAGGAGAATCACTTGAACCCAGGAGGTGGAGGTTGCAGTGAGCTGAGATTGTGCCCTGCACTCCAGCTTGGGCAGCAGAGCAAGACTGTCTCAAAAAAAAAAAAAAAAAAAAAAAAAAGGAAGGGAACAATTAGCACAGCATTGAAGATAGAGGTTACCTCTACGGGAGAAATACTCAGGGGCATTGGTAACTTTCCAGCACTTCAGTAGGATGGTGGGTTATTTTGTTATTCACTGTCATAGCTTATATAAATCCCATTCTAGAATCACACCTTATCCAATGAAATCTATTTCTCAAATTTAAATATATAGGAAAATTAAAAGAATAGCATGTGAACTCCTGTATACACATCACCTACATTCAATAGTCGCTAATATTTTGTTGTTGTTTGTGGTTGAATCACTCTAAACCCTTCATGCATCTTCTGAGAATAAAGACATATGACTAGTTTACTCTGAAATCATCACCCACCTAAAAATATTATCAGTAATTTTACAGTAGCCTTCAATTCCCAGTCCATATTTGGATTTCCTCAGGTGCTTCATATGTTATAGCTTAAAAAAAAAAACAGCAATCAAGGTTCATAAATTGCATTTGATTATTATGATTTTTAGTCTGTCTTCCAAGAAAAATTTTTGCTGGGTGCCGTGGCTAACGTCTGTAATCCTAGCCCGTTGGGAGGCCAAGGCAGGCAGATCACTTGAGGTCAGAGGTTCAAGACCAGCCTGACCAACATGGTGAAACCCCATCTCTACTAAAAATACAAAAATTACCTGGGCATGGTGGCAGGTGCCTGTAATTACAGCTACTCAGGAGGCTGAAGCAGGAGAATTACTTGAACCCAGGAGGTGGAGGTTGCAGTGAGCCGAGATTGCTCCATTGCACTCCAGCCTGAGCGACAGAGCGAGACTCCATTTAACAAAAAAAAAAAAATTTTTTTTAATTTTTAAATTTTTGTTTGTAGAGATGGGATCTCACTATGTTGCCCAGGCGGTCTTGGACTCCTGGCTTCAAGCAATCTTCCCACCCCAACCTCCCAAAACACTGGTATTCCAGGCATGAACCACAGCGCCCAGCCGAATTTGAGTCGCTCTTATTCTAGAACACCTACCTCCCCTTCCATGGCATTGATTTTTTGAAGGCTTCATGCAAGTATCCTCATGAATGCTCTCCTGACTAGATTTGTCAAAGTATTATTTTCTTCTAACCTTTGTATTTCCTATTGCTGATGCCTTGCTTAAAGTTCTGAGGGGTAAAAAGCCTCTAAGAAGAGACAAATGATGCATTTTACTGTATAATTTTTATGTAAGCAAAATCTGTCCGTTCTTCTAAGATATTGATTTTTATATTTTGATGAGGCAAGCCTTCTTCAGTCCAGAATTCTAAAAATATGCCATATTTTTCTAATACTTTTGGATTTTGCATTTGCTAGATAAATTCTATTTGGAATTTATTTTTGCCTGTGGCAGGGTAGGAGTCTAAGGACACTTGTCCCTGAATGGTTGGCTAACTGTCCCTCCCTACTTATAAATAATTCATTTTTTCCATTGATGTGATGTGCTACTTTTATGGAATTCTGAATTCCCATATGTTTATGGTCCACCTTCCAGAACCTAGATATAACTCTCATCTATTTGTTTGTTTGTTTGTTTGTTTTTGAGACAGAGTCTCGTCTTGTTGCCCAGGCTGGAAGGCAGTGGCATGATCTCTGCTCACTGCAACCTCCTCCTCCCGGGTTCAAGTGATATTCCTGCCTCAGCCTCCTGAGTAGCTGGGATTACAGGCATGCATCAACACGGCCGGCTAAGTTTCATATTTATTTTATTTATTTGTTATTTATTATTATTATTTTTTGAGACAGAGTCTTGCTCTATCACCCAGGCTGTAGTGCAGTGGCGAGATCTCGGCTCACTGCAACCTCTGCCTCCCGGGTTCAAGCAATTCTCCTGCCTCAGCCTCCTGCGTAGCTGGGACTACAGGCGCTCGCCACCATGCTTGGGTAATTTTTGTATTTTTAGTGGAGACGGGGTTTCACCATGTTGGCCAGGCTGGTCTTGAACTCCTGACCTCGTGATCTGCCTGCCTTGGCCTCTCAAAGTGCTGGGATTACAGGCGTGAGCCACCATGCCTGGCCAAGTTTTGTAGTTTTAGTAGAGATGGGTTTTCACCATGTTGGCCAGGCTGGTCTCAACTCCTGACCTCAGGTGATTCGCCAGCCTCGGCCTCCCAAGGTGCTGGGATTATAGGCATAAGCCACCGCGCCTGGCCTGATTTATTTGTTACTTCCTGCTCCAACGCCACATCATCTTAATTTTTCTAGTTTTGTTATCTGATGTGGGGAGTTCCTCCTTGTTCTTCATTTTCCACTTTTTCTTAGCTAATTTTTTGCATCTTCTCTTCCAAATGAATTTTAGAATCATCTATTTGAGTTGTTTTGAAAAACCCATTTGGACTTTTGACTGCCAATGTGCTGAATTTATAGGCTACTGGAGGGTAAGTAAGGTGACATTTTCACAATACAGTCTGGTTGCGTGCGATCACGGGCCAGCTCTCCTGTTGTTCAGGTCTCTGCTGTGCTTCTGGAAAGATTTAGAATTTTGCTCATGTGAGGCTCACACATGCCTTCTGCAATGCACGCCTAGGTGCTTAACAAATATCAGTTGCTATTATAAATGGGAACCTTTATCTTACACGAAAATTTCAGATGTTATCAGTGTGCAGTTGATTTTTTTGTGGGTTTTCTCTCTCCTTTTCCAATATTTATACCCCCTTTTATTCTTGTCTGTTGCACTGGCTAGACCCTCCAATATAGTAATGTGTGGTAGTGGTGATAATCTGCATCTTTGCTGTGTTCCTGACTTTGCCAGGGATGCTTCACTTTGCTTTTTAATCTACGGCTACATCAGGTTTCAGTTTAGCATGTGTACACACATGCACCCCACCAAGCCAGGGCTTAGATCCCTCACCCAGGGATGTAGCTAGTAACATTTCAAGGGGTGCTCAGGCCTCAGCTTTGCATTTTCACACAGTTGTGTGGCCTTGGGCAGGTTCCTGACCTCTTGACGCCTCATTCTGTTTTTTTGTAAGATGGAGACATTTATGAGCTCCTAGCTAGGGGATGCTTAACTGCTTCGTGGCTCTGCTACCCTGGCTTTAGATCATGGCTTTAGAGTGGATCATGGCTTTAGAGTGGATCATGGCTGTAGAGTGGATCATGGCGTTAGAGGGGATGGCACGCTCTATAGGCAAATGGGTCTAAATAGATCATGAAAGATTTTAACTCAAAAAACTGTGTTTTCCTTAGGATGTCCTCAAGAACACAGTAACAAAACATGTATCGTGTAAAAATCAGTTAGTTACATTAGACCTCCTTGCTCAACCTCTTCTGGGAGGCTTCACTATGCTGATGGGGGGCCTGAGCCCCCAGAGGCTGTTTGAAGTCCCATATTCAGCATTTTCCACATATGTATGTGACCACAAAGTCCTCTTTGAGGTTCCATAGAGCAGAACACTTTATTTCAGGTGTGGCAGTAAAGGCTTAACAACCGGCTCTGGGGGTGGGTGTCTGTGGCGGGGAGGACCTTGATTTGTAGCATTTGCCAATTTCCGTGGTGTAAATACTCCCACCATGGCCCATTCCCAGCTACCCATGTGATGTCACGGAACACAGAATTGGGAAGAGGTACTCAAGAGCAGCTCGTGGGAGACGGTGAAAGCCACCGCCAGCACATCACTGCTCAGGTAACTGACATCTCACAGGACCTCTGCTCCCTGAGCGCTAGATGGTGACGCCACTCACTGTGCTCCAACATAGGTCACAGTGGTTTGTGTTTCTTCGAGAAATTGTTTCTGTGCATGCATCAGTATATATAAATGGGTAAATGGTATGTTTATGTGTTGCATTTTATACTAGCAGAGATGTTTTAGTCTGTACCTTGACTTTTTAAAAATTACTATATCATGGTCACTTTTCCATAATCAGAATACACAGAACATATGGAAGGGCCTGGCTCTTTTGGCCCATTTGGTCCCTATCTTCTTTTTTTTTTTGAGACAGAGTCTTGCTCTGTCGCCCAGGTTGGAGTTCAGCGGCGCAATCTCGGCTCACTGCAAACTCTGCCTCCCGGGTTCAAGCAATTCTCGTGAGTAGCCGAGATTACAGGCTCCCACCACCACGCCCAGCTAATTTTTTGTGTGTATTTTAGTAGAGATGGGGTTTCACCATGTTGCCCAGGGTGGTCTCAAACTCCTGAGCTCAGGCAATCCTCCCGCCTCAGCCTCCCGACACCCGGCCGGTCCGTAGCCTCTAACCAGCGCCCTCTATTGGACAATTCAGTGATTTCCTTTCCAGGCCTCTCCCGGGATAGTCAGGGCTGAAGGGAACAACCCGGTTCTCCCCAAGCACACATTTCTGGGGCCTTGAGGTTCCAGTCTGGGCAGCCTGGCTCAGTCCTGCCTGCTCCCCATCGTGGACTCCTGCAGAGTGGCTGGGAGCTGATTTATCTGGGGTGCTACTGCCTAATAACGAGCCAGGAAGTGCCCTTTCCTGAGCTCTTGGTGCTTTCCCCTCCCCCAAACCCACAGACAGGACAACTCTCTGGTGCGATGCAGCCGGAGGAGGTGGAGATTCTCAGGACCTTGGAGCAAGGAGTCTCAGGCTGTGGCTGCTGTGTCCCATCTGTCTCCATCTCCAGATTCTGGGTTCTTGGCAGAGCAGCTGTTTCAGAGACCGTCTGAACCTGGCTCAAAGCAGGTCCCAGGGCACACCAGGACACTGCAGGCAGAGAAAGCCAGCAGCAGCAGCAGCAATTGTGAGTTCCTCCTCGCAGCCACTCGGAAGTCCACACGGATGGTCTGTCCAGCTGCTTTCCACCTGGCAACTCTGCGTGGCCAGGGCTGGGAGCCGGGGCAGACATTTCAGTGTAATTACAGCTGATGAGTTTCCAGAGCAGTGAGGGGAGGGCAAAACTGATTTATTCAGTATATTGACTAAACACTATATGCAAGGTGTTGTTTTGGGTGCTGGGAAAAAGAGGACAGTGAGGTAGAAGTGTGGCCTGTCCTCCTGGGATCCATGTTCTGGAGAGGATGTAGACTCCAGCAGGTAACAGTGAAGGTGTGCGATCGCTCAGTAGCGGTAAGCGCCCCAGAGACAAAGAAAGTGGAATAAGGGAAAAGGGAGTGTTGGAGGTAGGGACTGAGTTACAGGGTCAGGCTGTGCTTCTCTGGGGAAATGAGCTTTGAACCTAAAGAAGGCAAAGGAGGAGCCACGGGAGGACTGCATGAGGAGCTAACGGGGCAGGGGCCGGGGCGGGGGCGGGGCGAGGGGGGACCGCAAGTGCAAAAATGGGAACTTATTCAGATTGTTCAGAAAAAGCAAGGCCGGTGTGTCTGAGGGTGGGGGGCAATGCACAGGGTCGGGGGGGGAGCTTGAGGAGGAGACATCAGAAGAGGAGGCAGGCCAGATCACGTAGGACCTTGCAGGGCATGGTAAGTGTCTTGCTTTTATCCTAGGGGTGCCAGGAAGCCGTCCGTGTGGCGAGCACAGGGGTTTCATGAGCCGACTTTTTTTTTTTTTTTTTTGAGACGGAGTCTCGCTCTGTCGCCCAGGCTGGAGTGCAGTGGTGCGATCTCGGCTCACTGCAACCTCTACCTCCTGGGTTCAAGCAATTCCCCTGCCTCAGCCCCCTGAGTAGCTGGGACTACAGGCACATGCCACCATGCCTGCCTAACTTTTTTGTATTTTTAGGAGAGATGGGGTTTCGCCATGTTGGCCAGACTAGTCTCGAACTCCTGATCTCAGGCAATCCGCCCGCCTCGGCCTCCTGAAGTGCTGGGATTATAGGCGTGAGCCACTGCACCCAGCCGACTTTCACTTTAAGAGGGTTATTCTAGCTTCCAAGTGAAGATGAAACCCAGGGGCAGCAGGAGCAGCAGGAAAGCCAGCTTGGGGCGACTGGAGTAACGCGGAGCTCAGATTTGCGGGGGAGATGTGGTCAACTCTGGGATGGATCTTTGGAGACAATAGGACAGACTGATAGGAGGGAGAGAGAGAGAAGTGTAGGATGGCTCCTGAGCATTTGGGCCAGCATCTGGGGAGGGTGAGTGCTGCTTCCCAAGATGGGGCATATTTAGGAGAGTCGAACTGGGAAGGAATTGTGCATTTCCGTTTGGGGAGTTACACCTGAGGTGACTATTCGCCATTGGAGACACTGTTGCTTGGCGACGGCAACACCTATTCCCGGCTCCTTTTTCTCTTTCCCACCAACAGAACAGAGGCTGGAAGGGATAGATACTTGCTTTTCAAACCTCCCTTGCAACCAAACATGGCCATATGACCAAGTTCTGGCCAATGAGAAAGTCATAGGGGAAAGTTTGCTAGAAGATGCCGAAAATCTAGGAATGTCTTTACTCTCCTGATAGAAATGATAGATGTGGCAAGTTCCATCTCTTTATCCCATTATTCTTGCTTTGGACATGAATGTAATGCCTGGAGTCATGGCAGCCATCTTTTGACTGGGAGGTGGCAACCGGTTTGCCAATGATAGTGGAGCAAAATGAAGAAACTCAATTTAAAGAAATAACATAGCTGAGCCACAGACCAGCTCTGGACTGTCTGCCTTTAAATATATTATGTGATAGAATTAAACATCTTTAGTACAAGCATTTGTTATTTGAGGATTCTATTATTTGCGGCCAAAAGCATTCCTAACTACATTGAATACCTACTCATCAGTGGATATGAGTCTAGAATCCAGGGTGGCAGCAAGGCTAGAGATAAAAATTTGGAAGTCACAGGCAAATATTGGACCCTTTGGGACTAGATGAGATTGCCTAGAAAGTACCATGGATAGAGAATATCATAGATTGAGGACTGAGTCCTGGGGCCTCCAACATCTGGAAATCAAAAGAGGAGGGGGCAGACAGGAAACCAAGAGGGACAACAGAATGTGTTGTGTATGTGTGTATGTGCATGTGTGAGCACACACGGCCTCTGCTTTGAGGTCCTATGCTACATGTCTATATACTCCTCTGCAACTTGAATTTTTTTTTTTTTTTTTTTGAGACAGGGTCTCACTCCGATGCCCAGGCTGGAATGCAGTGGTGAGATCATGACTCACTGTAGCCTCAATCTCCCAGGCTCAGGTGATCCTCCCACCTCAGCCTCCTGAGTAGCTGGGACTACAGGTGCTTGCCACCACACCTGGCTAATTTTTTGTATTTTTTGTAGAGACGGGGAATTGCCATTTTGCCCAGGCTGGTCTCAAACTCCTGGGCTCAAGTGAGCCACCCGACTCAGCCTCTCAAAGTGTTGGGATGACAGGCATGAGCCACCACACACAGCCGAATGTTTTATTTAATAGTATATTCTGGACATCTTCCCATGTCAGCACATGTAGGTCTACATGATTCTTTTCAATGGCTAATGCTAACCTATCATGTGGATATTCCATAATTTATGTGTCATCCATTAAAAAAGCCTTCCATCCTATTGTTTAATTGGCACAAATAGCTAACCATTTGGAAAAAGTAAAAATTTCGCAAATGAACAATGAATGAAAATTTAAATGTAATAAAATGCCATAAAATAATGGAAGTCTACTAAAGAGAAACTGAGTTTTGGATACTCTTGAGCAAGGAAGAAGTTTCTTTTCTTTTCTTTTTTTTTTTTTTTGAGATGGTGTTTTGCTCTTGTTGCCCAGGCTGGAGTGCAATAGCGTGACCTCGGCTCACTGCAACCTTTACCTCCCAGGTTCAAGCAATTGTCCCTGCTTAGCCTCCCAAGTAGCTGGGACTACAGGCACCTGGGACTACAGGCACCTACCCCCGGCTAGTTTTTGTATTTTTAGTACAGACGGGGTTTCACCATGTTGACCAGGCTGGTCTCCGAACTCCTGACCTCAGGTGATCTGCCCACCTTGGCCTCCCAAAGAGCTGGGATTACAGGTGTGAGTCACCTTGGCCAGCCGCAAGGAAGGGTTTTCTAAGCATAGCACCAAAGGCAGGAATCATAAGGGTAAAGACTGATTTGAGTTCATAGTGTTAAAATTCTGCACATTAAAAAATCGTAAGATTAAAAAGGAAAAAATGAGATAAATGTTATAACACATTATGTTATATAAAGGGTTAGTATCCTCTAAGTTAACACATCGGTAACAAAAATATTGTGCCTAATGTCCCAGCTACTCTGGAGGCTGAGGTGGGAGGACGGCTTGAGCCCAGGGGTTCAGACTGCAGTGAACTATGATCACACCACTGCACTCTAGCCTGGGTGACAGAGCGAGGTTCCAGCTCTAAAAATAAAAAATAAAATAAAAATAAAAAGATAAATACAAAAGTGAACAAAGAATATGCAAGGGTAACAACACAAAATAGAATTTGCCATTAAACATAAAAAATTCTACCCCTAATGGTAATAAAATGCAGATAAACTAAGAGAACCTATTTTTGGCCTTTCAAATTGGAAACAAAAGTGACCCCATATTGGTGAAGTATGGGGAGCCAAGCAGCCTGATTCCCAGTGGTAAGTGTTTCGATCTTGTTAGAGAACTTTTTTTTTTTCTGCCATGAAAAGTTGTTCATGCTCATTTAAGTTTTAAGAAGTAGGTTTCTCATGACAATTAAGAGCTCTGTGTGATTATTGATTGGATCTTGGATAAGGGGAAAAATCAGCTGAGAAAGACATTACAGGACAATTGAGGCAATTTGAATAGGGACTGCATATTATATCATACCAATGGTACCCATCCTGGGAGTCATCATGGTCTTGTGGTTACAGAGGAGAAAGTCCTTGTGCTTATTTATTTATTTAAGGCTGAAAAGTCCTGCTGTAGCTCCTTTACTTTAAAATGTGGCTGGGCGCGGTGGCTCACACCTGTAATCTCAGCACTTTGGGAGGCCGAGGCAGGCCGATCATCTGAGGTCAGGAGTTCGAGATCAGCCTGGTCAACATGGTGAAACCCCCGCCTCTACTAAAAATACAAAAAAAAAAAAAATTAGCCACGTGTGGTGGTGTGCACCTGTAATCACAGCTACTCAGGAGGCTGAGGCAGGAGAATCATTTGAACTCGGGAGGCAAAGGTTGCAGTGAGCCAAGATTGTGCCACTGTACTCCAGCCTGGGTGACTGAGTGAGACTCTGTCAAAAAAAAAAAAAAAAATTCAACATAGTGTGTGTCAGTCTGTCTATCTAGAGAGATGGCCGTGTATTAAAATGTTAACAACTAGTGCGTAGAGATGGGCATCTTTGGGTGTTCACTGAACGATTCCATTCTTCAACTTCTTTGTTGGTGTGACATTTTTCAACACAAACATTTGAAGGGAAGCATAGGCTAGAAGATGGTTTGAAGAATGCTATTTTATTCTTAAAATAAAAGTACAGTGGGGCACAGCAGCTCACTCTTGTAATCCTAGCACTAGGGGAGGCCAAGGCAGGAGGATTGCTTGAGCCCAGCCTGGGCAACATAGTGAGACCCCCCCTTCTCTACAAAAAATTAAAAAATCAGCCAGGTGTGGTGGCACATACCTGTAGTCTCAGCTACTCAGGAGGCTGAGGTGAGAGGATCGTTTGAGTCTCAGAGGTCGAGGCTGTAGTTAGCCACGATTGCACCACTGCCCTCCAGCCTGGGTGACACAGCAAGACTCTGTCTCAAAATAAAATTTAATTTAATTGAAAAGTACATGTGGCCTGGCACCATGGCTCACACCTGTAATCCCAGCCCTCTGGGAGGCCAAGGTGGGTGGATCACCTGAGGTCAGTAGTTCGAGACCAGCCTGGCCAATATGGTGAAACGCTGTCTCTACTAAAAATTAGCTGGGTGTGGTGGCATGTGCCTGCAATCCCAGTTACTCAAGAGGCTGAGGCAGGAGAATCATTTGAACCTGGGAGGTGAAGGTTGCAGTGAGCCGAGATTGTGCCACTGCACACCAGCCTGGGCAAGAAGAGCGAAACTCCGTCAAAAAAAAAAAAGTACATGTATATTTTAAAAAAGATGCCAGAATGCCAGAACACATATCCACACCCTAAGATCGCCTGTCTCTGGGTGGTTGGTCATTGTTCATTTCATTTTGTTTCCTTCTTTTAAAAATAGTTATAGAAATAATAATTTTTCAGACAAGTAATTCAAATAAGCAGAAATAACAAATTAAAATCAAGTTTAATCTCAGGCTGGTGTGGTGGCTCACACCTATAATTCCAGCACCTTGGGAGGCCGAGGCGGATGGATCGCTTGAGCCCAGGAGTTCAAGACCAGCTGGTGTAACATGATGGAACCCCATCTCTGCCAAAAATTAGTCTGGCATGGTGGTACGTGCCTGCGGTCCTAGCCGAGTGCGGTTTGGCAAAGGCAATTTGCCATACATTTGGAAAACCCACACAAGTGGGGTGCAGTCCTGGGCTACTCCATCTCCTCGGGCTGCTCCATCCCCTCAGCCTCCTCCGGGCAAGAAGGCTGCTGCTGGCTGCGCCGGCACAGTCACCTGGACAGGTTGCATCTATTGAGTACTTTGTAAGATATTGACAGGACCCTGCACACAAGTGAATCACTGAATCCCTTTAGCCAGAGGCAGTGCGATGCCAAGTTCCCATCATCCCTGCTAGTGGTGTGTGTGTGTGTGTGTGTGTGTGTGTGTGTGTGTGTGTGGTAGTTCCCCTTGTAGTGCAGTAAATGAGGGCTTTTTTTCCCCTCCAGCTTTAAAAATAAACAGATCTTGAAAGTGAGTGCAGCTAGCGCATTGGTCAATACCATATGCAAATAAATAAGTGCTAATTGCCTGCAGTGTCTTTGGATGTCAGGCGCGGTTATTGGACCACATTTATGGGCCAATTAGGAGCCTTACTGGACTCTAGTGGTGATAAATTGCGACTGAGTAGCTTCTCGGAACGTGCTGGAGACAGTAGGGCTGATCGTAACTCCTCCCCACTCGCGGCTGGCGTGGACTGCCAGGCTTTTGTCCATTGTACAGCCGCACTGTCATCTTCGCTGTCACCACGGGCAGGTCCGGGTGTAGCGAGGGTGGGGTGGGGAGCCCTGTGCGAGCCCAGGCTGGGGGAGAGCCCGCAGGTCAACAAGGGACCCGGCCCCTGAGACACAGGCCATGGCTGAGATTCCACCGAAGTGCCATGGGCAGCAGAGGAGGGAGGGCTGAGCGAGTCTGGCCCTGCCTTCCAGGGGAACTGGGCGGGCCTGGCTGGAATTTGGAAGGAGGGTCCCTTGGGTGCATCCCCCCCAGCCCATGTTTTGTCCTCACTCCTGTCACAGTTATAATGAGGTTTGGTTTCCTTTGACCCAAAGAAAATTGCTGCTGCAGCTGGACACTCGACACTCAATTGCGCCAAGGAAGGCAAGACCATTGATGGGCCAGAGCTTGTTCCTTCCTTCATTCACTAGTTGAGTCAGTGGATATTCATTCAGGCTGGTCCCTGGGCCCTGGGTGTAACTCACACAGATCCATGGCCTTGGAGCTCAGGGGAGGTGAATGATCCCACAAGGAAAGGCCTGTGGTGAGCACCATGGGGAAGGACTGCCAAACACAAGAGCAGGGAAGCCTGATGGGGCCAGGAGCCAGGGGCCAGGTGTGGAGGCCTCTTTGAGGAAGGGACAGTTCATCAGAGACCCCAGAGATGACAAGGAAGAAGCCACAGAGAGCAGGGCCTTCCCAGGTGGAGGAAAAGGTGAAGAGCAGGATCCGATCCCCGGGAGGGACAAGAAAAGGCAAGGAGAGAACATTCAGGAGTCAGCATGGTCCCCTGGTGGGAGAGGAGGGGGCTGGGAGGGCAGCAGGAGGCAGGGTTGGCCTTCTGGAAGGTTCCCAGCTGTGTTCGGATGCTGTGGTCAGGAGTCAGTTTGAACTTTATTTCTTCAGATTCTGTAACTTACAGTTTGGTTTGCTCCTTATTGCAATGCTTCCTAATTTTTAAAATTTTTATTTTTCTTTCTTTCTTTATTAGAGACAGGGTCCCGCTCTGTTGCCCAGGCTGGAGTGCAGTGGTGCAATCATAGCTCACTGCAGCCTCAAACTCCTGGTCTCAAGCGATCCTCCCACCTCAGCCTCCTGAGAAGCCGACTACAGGTGTACGATGCCACGCCTGGCTAATTTAAAAAAATTTTTTGGCCAGGTGCGGTGGTTCACGCCTGTAATCCCAGCACTTTGGGAGGTCGAGGCGGGTGGATCACAAGGTCGGGAGATGGAGGCCATCCTGGCTAACATGGTGAAACCCTGTCTCTATTAAAAATACAGAAAATTAGCCAGGCACGGTGGTGGGCGCCTGTAGTCCCAGCTACTTGGGAGGCTGAGGCAGGAGAATGGCGTGAACCTGGGAGGCGGAGCTTGCAGTGAGCTGAGATTGTGCCACTACACACCAGCCTGGGCGACAGTGTGAGACCCTGTCTCAAAAAAAAAAAAAAAAAAAAAAAAAGAATTTTTTTTTGTAGACTTGGGGTCTTGTTATGTTGCACAGCCTGATCTTGAACTCCCGGCCTCAAGCGATTCTCTTGCCTCAGCCTCCTAAAGTGTTTGAATTACAGGTGTGAGCCACCGTGCCTGGGCTGCTTCCTAACTTATAATCAATTTGTTTTCAGGATCAAAGTAGTTAACCAATGGTTTTTCCAATTTCAGCATGAGAACAATATATTAATAAAAAAACCCCAAACACTTTCTTTAAAGTCTGTGGCAAAATGTGAGCTTCAAGATATGCCTCAATGTAACTTTTTACAATACAGGATGAGCATCATTTATCCAAAATGTTTGGGACCAGAAGTGATCTGGCTTTTGACTTTTTTCAGATTTTGCAATATTTGCAATGAGATATCTTGGGGAGAGGACCCAAATCTAAATACAAAATTCACGTGTTTCACACATACCTTGTACACATAGCCTGAAGGTAATTTTATGCAACATTTTCAATAATTTTGTGCATGAAACCAAGTTTTGACTGCAACCTGCCACACGAGGTCAGATGTGGAATTTTCCACTTACGGAATCATGTTGGTGCTCAAAAAGTTTTGTATTTTGGAGTATTTTGGGTTTCAGATTAAAGATATTCAACCTGTACATGCTAATGGAGAAAATGGGAACAGTAAAGTAAAAGAAAGAAATAAAAACCACCCAGGATTCCCCAGAGAAAGACAGCACTGTTAACATTTTGTATATTTTTTCCTGGATATTAAAATATCTTTAATTAGAGATCACTCCTGTAAATACTTTTTTTATATCCTAATTTTTTATTTATATTATTTCCCCATGTGATAAACACAGTTTGAAATGACTAAATCTTCCTCCCCTTTACAGATGCATGATGATTTATTTAACTCTCTCCCTGTTGGGCTTTGACCTTGCTTCCAATATTGTTACTATAAATACCATAGACATGAACATTTTTAGGCACATGTCAAAGTATTCCCATTATCCCCTGGCCAGATTCGTGGGCATTGAATTCATTCATGTGGTCAATAAACACGTACTAAGCCTCTATCGTGGTGAAGGTGTGGTCCAGGTTCTGCCTTCCTGGGTCATGAGGGAAGCTTTTCAGAGTCTTTGTGCACAATTCCATATGGCTTTGCAGGGGCACTGCTTCCACCAGCAGCGTGTTTGGGTTCGCCTCACCTTGGCCTTGCCAGCACTGCGTGTGATCACAATACAAGTCTTGGCTATGAAATCTAAACATTCAGTCTTGCTTTTGTGACCTGAGAGCTTCCCAGAGCACCTGGCTTAAGTACCTTGGTCTGGGAAGGTGATTCCGTTTCCCACTCCTGGGGCCCTGACACCTCCTAGGAGGGTGACAGATACTCTGAGGTTTACTTAGAGCCCTGGAGGGAAGCTGGGTGTGGACAATGCTATGGACAGAGGAGGAGCCACTGAGCAGCAGCAGGGCAGGCACGGCCTGGCCCCCGGGTCTCTCCTGGGGAGGGAGTGTTCTGTGTGCTGACCGAAGGGTGCGTGTGAATGGTGGGGAAACAAGGTGGCTGGGCAGGGACGTGAGCCGCCTATTCAAAACCTGCTCTCCCCATCCTTCCACATCACCCCTCCCCCCATTTCCCAGCATCCCTTGCAGCCCTGAGGGACCCCGCCCAGTCTGGTCAGTGGTGTGTAAGTGGAGGCATGAGGGTGGCTTCTGGGGAAGCTGGTTAAGAGGGACCGACTCAGCTGCCTCTTCTCTCACCTTCTCTCTTCTTCTCACTGGAATGCAGATGCTGGAGATGCCCCTCTCGGGGGTGCCCAGAGGTAACAAGCACCTGGGAGCCATGGTTGACCAGACGGCCGGGAGGAGGCTGGGCCCAGCAGACTCTGCAGCTGTTGGCCAGCCCAGGCTTGCCTCTCTCCAGGCTTCTTCTTTTGGGAGGAAAAAGAAACCCTTCATTTATTTAAGCTGCTGTTTTGTAAATCTGTTATTAAATTCATCAGATAAGCAATATGCATTTTTTTTTTTCAGACAGGGTCTCGCTCTGTCACCCAGGTTGGAGTGCAGTGGCATGATCTCGGCTCACTGAAACCTCCACCTCCTGCGTCAAGCAATCCTCCCACCGCAGCCTCTCAAGTAGCTGGGACCACAGGCATGCGCCACCACGCCTGGCTAATTTTTTGTATTTTTAGTAGAGACGGGGTTTTGGCATGTTGCCTAGGCTGGTCTGGAACTTCCGGTCTCAGGTGATCCGCCCACCTCGGCCTCCCAAAGTACTGAGATGACAGGCGTGAGCCACCGTGCTCGGCCATCTATATGCACTTAAATGGCATTGATTCCTCCTAAAAGCACCTTTCCTTGTGCTTTTTCTTCTTCCGCATTTCTTAGAAGACAAGTCAGCCCAGTACCCTTGTGCATGAGGCCTGTGGGTGTCCTGTGACGGCAGGTGACCAGGTCTCTGTGCTGGGTGAGGGGCTGCCCTCGCTGTGGCCTCACATTCCATGTTGTGGCCGTCCACGAGGCATTTTGTGGCACTATGGGCTCCCACACCATGGGAAAACTTCAACAAAAAATGTCACTAATGTGTCATGAGATCACGAGGTTCTCTATTTCTTGAATGGAAGAGTAGGGGGAAGAGGACACCCCTGTATTTGCAGAGAAGACTGTCTGGAAGGCATTCCCAAAATTAGTGGTGGCATTTTTTTTTTTGAGATGGAGTCTTGGTCTGTCGCCCAGACTGGAGTGCAGTGGCATGGTCTTGACTTGCTGCAACCTCCGCCTCCTGGGTTCAAGTGATTCTCCTGCCTCGGCCTCCGGAGTAGCTGGGATTACAGGCATGTCCCACCATGCCCAGCTGATTTTTATATTTTAAGTAGAGACGGAGTTTCGCCATGTTGGCCAGGCTGGTCTTGAACTCCTGACCTCAAGTGATCCAACCGCCTTGGCCTCCCAAAGTGCTGGAATTACAGGTGTGAACCACCAGGCCTGGTCAGTTTTCTCATTTTTTTTTTTTGGAGGGGAAGATATAATGTAGTTTGTAGGCAAAAATTACAGTAATATTAATGATAATAACGGTCTTAATAATAGAGTCCTGGGATGGTTCTACTGCTAGCCACCTGCTGGGAATAGTTCTTACGACACACCTGGGGCAGTGTGGCACAGTGCAAAGATACAGAAGCATCTGGAAGTTCTGGGCCCAGTCAACCCTGGCTGGGCAAAGAACATTCTCTTGGAGTTTCTGTCCTTGTAAAGGAAGAAGTCAGAAGAGACACTCCTGGTCTCTTTCTTCATTCCGTCTGTGAACTCGTGTGCTGAGTCCCTCGGGCCTGGGGCAGCCTGGGCCTGGGGCAATCCCTGCCCGCAGCAGACAGAGCCCCTTTTCTCTCTGATTTACCTTTCCTGGGCTTAGAAACACAATTAGTTGTGACAAATGACCAACGCCACCAAAAAAAAAAAAAACAAAAAACAAAAAACAACAACTCCACGGAAGCGGTGTAGACATATTTTCATTTCTTTATTAGAAAGAGGTCTCTACACCATAGCCACCTCTCTCTGTTACTTTACACATCTTTCTTTTTCTTTTTCCCTTAGAATACTGTACAGCGGACACAAAAAAATCCCAAGGCAGGAAAATACAAACTGGCATATTTAATCAAAACAAGATCATATGAAATAACAAGCAAAGTGAAATGTCTGTCAATGGTTTTAATTACAGTACAAACAATATAAATAAAGCATCATTGAGTCATTGTGAAACATAAAGTTGCTGAATGAGGTAATAGAAAACATCCAAAAAAAAAACCTAAACCCATCTGTGGATACACCCACGCTGCCCTTCCATCTCTATACACTGCTATTTACAGAAACAGAAAACTGGCTGCAAGGTGGGTTGGCCTTCCCTGCCCCTGCCTAGAAATGCATCTCAGTTGTCACCTTTGAGCTGCTCCGGCTGCCCTTTAGGAAACGCACCCCTGTGGCAAGATGAGAACCAAATTCCAAGCTGGCAGAAGGGAAGAGCCAGTGCAGGAGACCTGCCCCCGGGACCCGTGCGACCCTCCCCTCTCCAGGCTGAGCTCAATAAGGGCCTCCCCAGCGCTCAGGTGCTCGGGGCTGAGAGGGGCTGCAGTCTGGAGAATTAGATGTATTTCAGACACAAAAACCCAGCCGTGGGAGGGAAACTGATGCTTTTCAAGTCTGCAAGAAGGAATTATTTCTAACGTTACAGTGCTGGTCCCTCTCCCCCCGTTCTTAACGCCACGAAGCAGCTTCTAAATGCACACTTTGCCACCCACCATGCAACTGCCCCACCCCTCTCCAGCCACCTGTGTACCCTCAAAACAGCCATGCTGAGAGCCCTGCTGGGACCCTTGGGGCTGGGTTGGGATGGGGGAGGTCCCTCGTGCCAACCTGAGCAGTGCGTGAGACCCACTCCCCAGACCAGCCCCTGGCTCACTCCCAACACCCTTGGAGCCTTCTCTGTTCTCCTACCCTGAGAACCCAGGCAGGAAATGCATTTGCCCAGGGACCTCCAGGAATGTCAGGGGACACCCCAGGGCTGTGGTATTGGGCAGGGGGCTGGGCTGCTTCCAGTGTCTGCATGAGGCCCATTAGGATTCCATGCACCTGGACTGTCCTTCCTCAAGTCCAAAGGCCCCTGACATCCTCATGCCCAGCTGCTGACCGAGTGGGCTTCCAGTGTCTTCTGTTTACCAAAGCTCTCCAAGCGGCTCAGACGTTAGCTTCCTGGGCCAGTGTAGACTGTTCAGCACCAGGGAGATGAGGGTTTAATTGGATTTAGGGGCAGCTGTTCCCAACAGCTGGTGTGTTAAGGGGGTTTGCTCCACTGGGAAGATTCCCCAACACACTCATGCCTTGTTTGGTTCCTTTCTTTCACCTGCATCTCAAGGCAAAGGCCATGCAATCCCCCCACGGGGCATTCTAGATCAGTCCGATGTGGACTTCGACAAGGAGTCTCTATCATATGGTTTCACCATCCTCAGGTTGGGGGAGTGCTCCCTACAGGTACCCTGTGCCAGGCCAAAATGAAAACCAAGCCCTGAGCCAGCCTCTCCTCACATTCATGAGGATATCCTGTTTGGGGCACATGGAGCGGCTGCCCAGCTTGGGCGTCCCAAGGTCGGATGCCACAGCTGCCTGCTGGTCTCACCTAGCAGCCTTAGGCCTGAGCTCTGGGGCTTTCAGAGCCCATGCAAGTCTCTGCTGGCCACTCTGGCCCCATCTGCCCACCTCCAGGCCCTGAGGCCCATCTGTAGAGGGTGAGGACCTCAGACAAGAACAGTTCTACCCAACAGGTGCAAAACCCCAAACCAAGTGCTGTCATTTTACACCAAAACCAGCATCTCATGGTGAAAGACAGTAAGAATGGGTTTTCAGATTTAGGTTTGCTTACCGCTGCTCTGGGGTGGGTGTTTACTACACTGGTGAACTTAAATACTTTCTCATACAACTCAAAGATTTAAAAAAGACTTGTTGGTTTCCCAGAATCCCTTTCCAGAATCACCTGCCAATGCGGACATGTGACGCGAAGAAAGCCGCAGACACACTGATTAAATGGGGGGGCCATTAATATTTCAACAGTCTATTTAAGGGCAGTATTTCTTCTCTAAGGGGAATAAAGTTTGTGTTTTGAAACAGTAATATCTAAGTAAATATTTCTTTCTTCATGGAGAGGGGAGGAGTCTGCCACAGGGGTTTCTGTCTAATCACAGACGGGACACTGGCCACTTCTCTCTAATCACAGACAGCGCAGCATCCCAGGGGCCAGCGATCCAGTTCACTCTCTGCCTGTGTCGGAAGGACCAGTCTGAGGACTGTTTCTTAGTGATCCAGCTCCAAGGTGTACTCTAAGGAGATACACCTGCGCCCCTTCTCTCTCCTGCATAATGGGAGGAAAGCTGACATTTTGCTGAAAAGCAACCTAATGTATGTGGTTAAATGATAGAGGGCCCGTCCCCACAGCAGGGCTGGGGCAGATCTGTCCACTGGGCAGGGCAGGGGGGTCTCCTGGCCCCACTCGCTATCACCTGAGCGTGCTGGCCTGGCCTGGGGGCATGGGGAGCAGCATTAAAGACACATGACCACAAGGGCTCCCTGAAGAAAGCCACTCAGAAATCCAAGCGCAAGCCGCGGAAAGGTGGAGAATGCACGCATTGATGCCAAAGGCCCTTATTTAGCTTTTTGGGGAAGGATGAGGGTGACAGTCATTCAAGATGTGACTTCACAACATGTGAAACCCCCGTCTGAGGCAGCGGTTGGAAATAAATTACATTTCCTTTGAAGGAAAGATGTGTATCTCCAGCACTTTTCTATCTGAACTCCTCCTTGACTGCTTTTCAATTTGTTTGCTTGAAGGCCATAAATACAACCCCGGGGAGTTCTAGAAAAGTCTCAACGACCTTGTGCAGGCGGTGAGGGACGGAAGCAGAGCACATGCCGTGCCGGGAGGTTTGGGGTTTGCTTTCCAAACACCTTTGCCTCCTGAGTAGTTGCTGAGGCCTGATCATACCGCATCTCAGGGGAAGCTACATCGTTGCCAGGCTTCCCACCTCCTGGGGCAGGAATGTGGATTTCCTCTCATTTCCAGAACATCCTAAGTGCAGGGAGGGAGAGTTGGTGTCCTGGGCGCCACGGGGACCTAGAGCGCCTACGGCACATTGGAGGCTGCAGGTTGAGCAGGCCACTCTTGTGGGGTAAGATGAGTCCACCAAGTTCAAGCACAAAACACGCTGGGAACCCGAGGATGGGGAGAGAGGGACGGGCCTGCAGCCAAGCACGGCGACCTGGGGTGCTCTCCAGCAAGCTCCGATCTCAGACAGGAGGAGGAGGGGAGCACCAAGCAAGGCCCAGTGCACGCGTGAGTCACAGCGGCTCATGGCAACGGCAAGGGGGCATCTTAAGGGAGGGGCGCTGTCCACGTCAACGGCACCTCAACAGGCTGTGGGGGAGAGGGAAGGGTCGTCTTGGCCCTGATCAGCACCAGCGAACAGCACGAGGGCAGAACTCAGCCCCTTCCTCGCCTCTAGAAAATCAACCTCAGACTACAAAGCAGAATATACATGTTGAGAAAAGTGGGCAGGTTCCAGAGAGGCTCTCAGGGAGCAAGGACCTCATTGATGCTGTTCCCCGCCATGTGGAGGGCAGGGCACTGGCAAGCTGAGAGAGGAGGGTCCTGGGCTCTACTGGGGGGGGGGGGTTGGCAAACGTGCCCATCACAGCCTCCCCAGAATGCAGGCTGGAGGACAGTGTCAGCCACGGGCAGGTTTCCTGGTGTGTGCACTGGCTTCGGTCCCATCAGTGTTTCTGTTATTAACAAGTGCTCCTGTTCTCCCAGCATCCCCTGGGCCAGGTGTGAGGCCAACACTTATCACACTGGTTTGAAACCTCACTGCACCCTGCAAGTTTCACAGATGAGGAAAAAGAGCCCAGGAAGCTGGGTGCTTGCCTAGAGTTGCAGAGGAATCCTCTGGAAGGATGGCAGGGCCAGCTGAGCCTAGGGGTCTGTCTTTCTCATTAGACCATGTTTCTCCCTAACAAGGTTAGCAATAGCTCCTATGCAGATATAGGGAATGACCCCAAATGTGCAGATGTCACAAAAATAGGAAGACTGGTATCTACACTGGATGACGAGGCCGGAACCATGCAGGCCTCATCAGGCTGGGTGAAATCTCAGAAGAGGGAGCTTCAATGCAAGGCCCTTGTGCTGAAAAGCCACTGCCGAGAACTGGCCTGTGCACTAGAGGCTCTGCAGGAAATGCAATTCATTAAGATCCCGCTCTCTCCTGTGTCTGAGAACCCTGCGATTGGCGAGTGACCCGCTGCCTTCTCCCTCCTTTCCAGTGCATATATACATTGTGCACACACTTGGGAGACAGGACACTGCACCTGGTTTTGGGGCCAGTGACTCAGGAACTTGTCACTTGCTCACCCTCGAGCTGCTCATTTCCTGGGATGAAACAGAGAGAGGGACCAGGGACCAGGACTGGGGTGCTGGGCGGGGGAAACCATCTGCCCGTCCCAGCACCTGAGGTCAGAATCACAGAGTACTGTCCCTGCGGGGTGTTTCTGCTGCAGCCAGGTCTGCACCACACCCCTCCACTCCCCGCCAAGTTCAGTCTCCGCGAAGCTGAACGCGGGGGTGCAGATGTGTCCAGATCACCCATGGGGTTACACAGGCCGCTCGTGGGCCTCCCTCAGCTGGCTGTTTCTCATCAAGGGAGAGTTTTAATTCTGAACAGGAAAGGTGAGGGGGATCCTGCAGTGGTGATCTGTCATCGTCACGTCACAGAACTGAACATGGAAATGAACAACGAAAACTCCACCCCCTTCTCAAACGAGTTATTCCTAGCTCCGCCCCCAGTCCTTGCCTCTCCCAGCCTTGGTGGTAATTAGCTTGAAAGTGGGAACGAGAGTGCGGTCCGCAAAGAAAGGACTTCTGGTTAGACACTGAAATACAAACAGACTGCCAACGAGCTCTGGGCAAAGCTGCCCCGTCTTCTTTTTTTCGAAAGACCCTCAAAAACTGCCTTTCCTTCTGCTACCAAAACTTGGGCCCTAGAAAGTGGCTGCGGAGTGGAGCAGATGGACATCACTGAGAATGGTAGAGGAGGGGCTGTGTTTTCTGAGGGGGAGTCATGGCAGCTTGTGCTGGGGGCCAGGAAGGGAAAAAACCAATCTGGCATTCAGGTTGTGGAAGGCAAAGTGAAACAAGAAGTCATTTGGGAAAATATTATATTATAAACACATAGAATAATATGTACACGCTCATATACATCCCAAAGAGAAGCCTCAAGGAGTTCCGTTTCTTCTCAAAAGAAACTTCACTATGATAAAGCATTCCTATAGTGGGAATTAACTACAATGAAATAATTTAACAATTTCATTTATGCTATATCTGTGTCCACTACAGAGTCTACGGTGAAGGCTGTGTGGAGCGAGTGTGTCTAGTGGACTCGAACACCAACGCGTTCTTCAAAAATAGGCAATGACCTGTTTTTTTCTATTCACATTTACAATAGCTACACAGTGATGAAACGCAGACTGAAAAATCAAATGGCAGGACGATGGAACTGTCGTCAAGGTTCTCAGACTTGTGGCTTCTGCACCTGTTATACTTTTGGATACGAGTGAGCTCCACTTAGCTTCGTTAAGATTAGAAATTTCCATGAAACACTTACCCACATATAAATTCTGTGTAAAGCTTTATTTTTTTCCCCACCTACTTTAATTTTTTTTAAAAAGTGAAATAAGAGGAAAAACTCTTATAAAATATAAGGTTTAACATACGAGAGAGCGAGGAACACCCCGGAGGCTGCCGGTGCGTGTGGCTTCATGTTTCTGTGCTACATGAGTCTAGTGTCCTCATCTTCCATTGTGACAACCCTTCTCCCCCCATCACACTGTCAATGAGCTCTAGGCAAAGCTGCCCCGTTTGCTTTTAACCTAAGGGATGCTGTGGTTTGGTTGACTACATTTGACTACCACCACTGAAGGCGGCGGACGTCTGAAGCGGCTGGATACCGCAACGATGGAAAATCAGGCGAGGTACTAGCGTGGAGGGCCGGGCTGCCAGGTCAAGGTCGTCTGGGTTCTCAGGAGCCAGTCTGTGCCACAGAACCATTGGCAGCTGCCTTCGTAAGGCACCTCGGTCTGGCATTCGGAAAACCACCCCATCTTGCCAGAGTCCCTTGGTCCTTGGTTAGCAAAAGCCGTATCCGATCTAAATCATGCTTTCAATCATGAGAGACCACATTCCTTCTTTTTCCTTTCTAATATACTCCAGTGTGTCTTTTTTTTTCTTTCTCAATTTTAATAAGCAAATTGTACCACCATCTTATTCTGAGATGCTCCTTTTCAAAAG
The DNA here is from genome assembly GCF_000001405.40 of Homo sapiens. Taxonomy (NCBI): domain Eukaryota; kingdom Metazoa; phylum Chordata; class Mammalia; order Primates; family Hominidae; genus Homo; species Homo sapiens. The sequence continues at coordinate 236,125,411 of NC_000002.12, read as the reverse complement.
CCGTAGATCACATTAATGGAAGTGTTTACTGCTGGGAATATTTTCCATGTACAATGATCTGTAACCCTCTTATCTCAACTAGTTGCACATTATTAGTTCACATCCAGTTCAATTTATAAATTAAGAGAGGTGCCATTTGTCTGTACAAAAATCAATGCATATTTATGAACTTCTTTTATTCAAATATATTTTCACACATCTTATCTAAATACATAACACAGAAGCCTGTGTGACTTGGGCAACGTGGTCCAGGAGGGCCTGAGACTAACACATCCACCTCGGCAAAAGGACATCAAATATCTCTTACAGTCGGAAAAAACAGCCTTTTGTGTATTTCCTTAGTTTACGAAATATACTCGAAATGCTATTATTAGCTGAATTTGTGGTTTCCTTTTGAGTTTCTGAGTTATTCTTATTTATTTTTCCCATTTTGTTTTTGCACCAAGGAGACCGGAGTCAAATAATACTCAGCGACTGATTTCCTCTCTTTGGACTGAAAAATTAAACAGATACTAAATGATGACAGTGAATTTAGAGAGGGCTCCAAGGGCTTGAAAGAACATGTCTGGGATAATATGGTGCTTCTAAGAGTATTGCAATCACATCGTGGCAATCACCGGCGCGTGCCGCGTGACTACCTCCTCGGCTAATATGCTTTCTTCTCGGCGATGACTAATCACGTTCTATTAAACAGCAGTAATGCGGGAAGAACTCGGCTGTACAAGTGTAATGAAGCCAGTATTCTCCCTGGACAGATTAGCTACAACTGATTTGACACACACCATCATAGGGGCTTCAAACCTGACAAACTCTGTGCTTGCTTCTGATTTATGCCGTCGAGCTCCTCAGAGAAGAGATGGAATCCAAGTGTTCCGTTTGGTAGAGGGGAAATGTACTATGTGCTCAACTGCCAGTTAAGGAAAGTTGCCCCTTCTCCTTGTTCCTCGCCTCCCCTCCCCCTCGCGTCCCCATCCCTTGTGCCACCAGGACAAGGGTCCTGCGCCATGTGCTATCATCAAAGGGCCGAGGCCCGTCGCTCTCTCCTGTGTGTGGTTTAGGGGAGTTTATGAAAAGGAGCCACTTCTGCAGTCTCCCGGCCGCCTCTTCGCCCCTTGAGGGATGTCCAGGTTTTGTGATTTTGTTTGGGGTGAGAGTGGGTGGGCGGGAGGGAGGTGGCCACCAGGAAGAGGGAGGGGATGCGACGGGACTCACGTGCTGCGACTTCTGAGCGAGAATGCGGCGAGGCTGCCGCGTCCCAGGTGCGGCGAGCAGGCGGGCACGGCTGTTCCTCAGATGATGGTGGGCACCCTCCCACTGCTGTTGTTCCGGTTATTGTTTCTCCTGGACAGGTTAGGGGTGGCCATGAGCACGAAGCGCTCGTCGGGGCAGCCGTACTGCAGCAGCACGTCGATGCACTCCTGGCTGGAGGCCTGCCGGGCGTAGGCCAGAGCTGTGTTCCCGTGGGCATCTCGGGCCGTGACGTCCACTCCGTACTGCGGAGGTAAGGGAGCCCACATTAGTATCATGGGGGATGTGATGGAGGGAGGGGGCAGGGAAGCTTTCTCTCAGCCCTTGCATGTGGCTTGTGCTTGGACAGCGGGGCCAGCTACACAACTGGCTGGGGTGCCAGGACCATCCAGTGCTGGTGGCACAGCCTGCACCCGTGGCCAGCGGATTCTTTTAAGGAAAGAACATGTCTTTTTTTTTCAACTGAAAGCCCCTCCTTTGTGCAACATTAAGGAATCAAAGATAACTTTAGTTTTGCTGTTTCTATTTTGACTTTCCAATTGCACAAAGAAAATCATTGTTTTGATCTCAGAATTTTCATTATAGGAAATACACAAATAACACATAACAGCTCAAGAAGAAAAAAAATCACCCATAATCTTACTACTTAGAGATAACCTTTGTGAATTAGTGTATTTCCTTTCAATGAGTTTTCTTTGAATCTACATGTATATGTACATAATTGAGATAAGACTGTACAAATAATTTGTATTTTTTTCATTTTTTATTGATTACTATACTGTGATCATTTTCTTACATCATTAAAAATTACTCAGAAGCACAACACAAGCTGGGTGCGGTGGTTCACTTCAGCCCAGGAGTTCAAGACTAGCCTGAGCAATACTGGGAGACCCTGTCTCTAGAAAAAAACACATTTTAAAAAAATTAGCTGGGCACGTGGCATATGCCTGTGGTCCCAGCTATGCAGGAGGCTGAGGTGGGAGGATCGCTTGAGCCTAGGAGGCAGAGGCTGCCGTGGGCCGACATCACACCACTGCACTCCAGCCTGGGCAACAGAGTGAGACCCTGTCTCCCCACCCCTCAAAAAGCATGACATATGCAAGTCATACAGTATTCCACCACATGAACAGAATTCAGAACTCTCCCCTCAACTGTGCACACTTTGTAAAAATTGTCACTGGAGCCGGACACGGTGGCTCATGCCTGGAATCCCAGCACTTTGGGAGGCCGAGGAGGGCGGATCACAAGGTCAGGAGTTTGAGACCAGACTGACCAACATGGTGAAACCTCGTCTCTACTAAAAATACAGAAATTATCTGGGCATGGTGGTGTACGCTTGTAATCCCAGCTAGTGTCAGGAGGCTGAGGCAGGAGAATTGCTTGAACCCGGGAGGCAGAGGTTGCAGTGAGCCGAGATCGTGCCACTGCACTCCAGCCCGGGAGACAGAGTGAGACTCTGTCTCAAAAAAAAAAAAAAAAAAAATTGTCACTGGAAGAAACAGTGCCCGGATGTATGTCCTCACATAGAATCTTTCTTAGGATCTGTGATTGATTATTAGAGTGATGATCAGAAGGGGGAAAATATGAGGTTAAAGTACACAACGTTTTTAAGCTTTTTGCTCATGAAAAAGAGTGAATTCACTTCCACTTCTGCCAACTCACAATGTGTGGGAGTCTGAGGCCACTCAACAGCATGGAACCAGCGCCATCAAAGGAATTTTTGCTCAATTGGAGAAGCAAAGATGGCCTGTAATTTATAACTGTGTCCCCCGCTCCCACCAACAATTCACATGTTTAAGTCCTGACACCCAGTACTTTAGAATGTGACTGTATTTGGAGACAGAGCCTTTATGGTGGTGTATTAGCTTAAATGAGGTCACAATAGGGTTAGTATCTATATGAGAAGAGGAAAAGGCTGGGCTGGGAGGCTGATACCTGTAATCTCAACACCTTGGGAGGCCGAGGTGAGAGGACTGCTTAAAGGCAGGAGTTCAAAACCCATGGGCAATATGGTAAGAACGTAAGTCTACAAAATTTTTTAAAAACTGCCATTCATGGGGGTGGCATGCCTGTGGTCCCAATTACTTGGGAGGCTAGGGTGGGGGGATTGCTTGAGCCCAGGAGTTTGAGGTTACAGTGGGCTATGATTGTGCCACTGCACTCCAGCCTGGACGACAGAGCAAGACTTTGTCCCAAAAAGAAGGGGGTGGGGGGAAAGGAGAGAGCTACCAGGAGCGAGTGCAGAGGAAAGGCCCTGTGAGAACATAGGGAGAGGGCGGCCGTCTACCAGCCGTGAGAGAGGCCTCGCCAGGAACCATTCCTGCTGGCCCTTTGATCTTGTACTTCCAGCCTCCAGAACTGTGAAAAAATAAATGTCTGTTGTTGAAGCACCCCTGTCTGTGGTATTTTGTTATGGCAGCCCTAGCACACTACACACAACTCTTATTTAATGTGCATTACATCACATGTATGACTCATGAGCAAAAGGGAGTATCTGTGTGATTTTGGTGTAGTGTCTATATCTCACTCATTCACCAACTGCACCCATCAAAAAAGTCAGATCAAGGCTGGGCGTGGTGGGTCATGCCTGTACTCCCAGCACTTTGGGAGGCCGAGGCGGGTGGATCACGAGGTCAGGAGCTCGAGACCAGACTGACCAACATGGTGAAGCCCCGTCTCTACTAAAAATACAAAAATTAGCTGGGCGTGGTGGTGCGCACCTGTAATCCCAGCTTCCTGGGAGGCTGAGGCAGGAGAATTGCTTGAACCTGGGAGGCGGAGGTTGCAGTGAGCTGAGATCGCACCACTGCACTCCAGCCTGGGTGACAGAGCGAGACTCTGTCTCAAAAAAACAAAAAACAAAAAAGTCAGATCAAAAACATGCAGAAACCTGCTGCACTCTACCCATGCTGCTGTAGAACGTGCTGCTGTGCTGGACTGACCCATCCTGCCTTGCGGGTGGAGACAGAAGAGCCTCCAGCTGGGTGTCCCACCTCTGGGTGCTGTCTCCACTTCTGGGCACACACTTGCCTTCCCTATCTGGGGAGCCTCCCTGCCGGCAGCTTTCTGCCTGCCTCTGGTGGGAACCTGCCTCAGCAGAAGCCCCAGGGGTCCACAGGCAGCCCCTAAGTGGGCGTGGCTTCTCAGACGTAGCTCCTGGGTGGCACAGGCAGGGCCTCTCTGCACAACCACTTTATCCTTCTCTTTCACTCCTTCAAGCATTGTGACACATGCTTCAATAGGAATGTAAATAATACTTTTCCCCAGTAGAAATTAATCAGAATGGTTCGAAAGAAGTCCTTTGACAAACTCCTGCCACATCAGACCTCAAAGTTTAGGGTCCAGTATTTCTGTGTTAAGTGAATAAAAACACCAAAGGTTTGGAAATGGGGAAACCCTACAAGCCATCCCGTTAATACACCGCCTTCTCTCCAGAAGATGATGGAAATGAAAAAAGAGGGATAGCACCAACCCTGCTTGATAAGGGGCAATCACAAAGTTGCAATTTTCAGAAACTCTAGCAAGTACTGTACAAGGAGGACCGGCTGTCTCTCCGTAAGGCCCTCTGCTCTTCAATCAGAGTTTCCCATTAGGAACTGTTTCCACTTGCAGATCGAGAACAACAGCCTTCTGCCAGAAAGATGCCCACGGAAGCAGAACAAAGCAGAGAGTGCCTCCTGTGGCCCCGTCCTCTGCCAGGCGTGCCGACCACCTACCCAGATCAGGAGCTGCGCCAGGACCACATTCCCCTTGCGGCAGGCCAGATGCAGCGCCGTGCGGCCGTCTCCCTCCCCGCAGGTCTCGTTCACCTCGTCCCGGGAGCCGTGTGCCAGCAGCAGGATGGCCGTCCGCAGGTCCTCGTCGGCGGTGGCCCGCAGCAGGTGCTGGCCCAGGGACAGCTCCGTGCAGGGCAGCGGGGCCAGGAAGAGCTTCTGCTCGTACTTGGCACGGATCCACCGTTCCTTCTCTTCCCTGCAAAGAGCCACCAGACAGGTGCAGTCACGATCAGGCCCGAGAACACAGGCTGCCAGCCCCTGCCCAGTGTGGTCGGGAGAAGCCGAGAGGGAAGTGAAATAACAGAAAGCAAAGGTCTTCACTCGGCACAAAGCCCCCTGGGGGAAACGTTTATCCACCTTCACAAAACAGTATCCTCACCAGCAGCATCAGCCCAGAAATGCAGATTCTCAGGTCACGCCCCAGACCCCCTGAATCCAAACCTCTCGGGGTGTTTTAAGAAGCCCTGCAGGGGATTCCAATAGGCCCAAGGTGTGAGAGCCGCTGATCTCAGGCTCATACACTGCCTTGGTGCTGCTTCTGTCACTTTTAGTGTAGAAGCTGTCCTTGGAAAGAAAACTACCAAGTGAGGGCTCAAGGCCATGGCCTTGGATCAGTGGCTCTCACACACCGATGCACAGGGGAAACCACCCTACTGCCTGGGACCAGCACGATGGAAGCACGGTCTCCGGGGCCGAGAGCACGGACCGCACGATGGAAGCATGGTCTCTGGGGCCGAGAGTTGCTTTACTGTAAGCAGGACTGTAAGTGAGGGCTATAGGACACTTGGCTGGAGCTGGGCCGGGGGTGGGGGGAAGGGACAGCCGGTGCGCTCCCCACACCTGGGGGTGACCATGTGCTTTTAGCTTCAAACTCCGAAATAGGGGGTGTGTGTGGACTCCCCAGGGTCTCCAAACCCTTTCAGCTGAGGAAAACATGGCAACAGACTCACGCAGGAGAGGGTGGAGACTCCAATGAGGAGGTTTAGCAGGGAGATGCAGCTTTTGGAATCTCCAGATACTTGGGGAAGGCTTAAGTGGAAAGGACAGAATGTCAGGAATGGCTGAGTTTTTTGGGGGAAACTGTTCCAGGGCCTGGGAAACAGGCAGGTAGCTCCCAGAAGCCAGAGCTGAGCCCAGAGGCAGAGGAGAGGACAAAGCTGGGGAGGGGGTGGATGGGGTCGGAGGTGTGGAGAGTGGATGATGCTGATGCCTGCCCGCCCCGGCCCCAGCATCACAACCTGGCTGAGATGGGGCTGCCCGACCTGGCCAGTGTAATACATGGTCTCCTCCTGGGGGGTCTACAGAGGATGGGGACCCTGCTACACATCTGTGGGGAGGGCTAAGAAGGAGAGGACAGGATGAGATGAGAAGCTTAACAAATAGAAGAGGAAACCAACAGTAAGGCATGTTTATGTTGACCCAAAGGAAGGACCCCAGGCGAGCAGCTCCTGTACTTTGTGGCTACTGATGATGGTTTCTGGTTTCTCAAAAAAGAGCGTGACAGATACTGAAAACTCAAGACTCTGCAGCACCGCTAGAGGGGAAAAAAAAAGGTAGGGTGGTGGGGGACAAGAAATTTACAAAGAACAGTGTGAGATTTTACAAGTAGCTCTTGAAATTTTACAAGGATCCCAGGAGCCAAGCCCAGCCAGGGAAGTGCTCCCTGCCTGCCTTTTTGATGAGGATGACAAAGAAAAGAGGCTGGGCGCAGTGGCTCATGCCTGTAATCCCAGCACTTTGGGAGGCCGAGGTGGGTGGATCACCTGAGGTCAGGAGTTCGAGACCAGCTTGGCCAACATGGTGAAACCCTGTCTCTACTAAAAATACAAAAATTAGCCGGTGTGGTGGCAGGCGCCTGTAATCCCAGCTACTCGGGAAGCCGAGGTAGGAGAATGGCTTGAACCCGGGAGGCAGAGGTTGCAGTGAGCTGAGATTGCGCCACTGCACTCCAGCCTGGGTAACAGAATGAGACTCCATCTCGAAAAAAAAAAAAAAAAAAAGAAAAAGAAAAGAAAGAAAAGCCCTACATGTAAGAAGGGACTGCAGTTACCCATAGAGACTTTAATAACGCACTGATTCACAATCGCCCTCTCCAAAATTCAGGTTTCTCCAGGGGAATAATCAGAGTACACAGTTACAAATGACACGGAGAAATCACTCAGGGCTTCCGCGAAAGTCTAGAAAGAAAACTCATTACCCATGACATTTCTGCTTCCGAAGTACAGAGGAAAGGCCTTGTTTACACCTTTTACCCGTGTTTACATTGCACCTAGTGATCTAGTGTCGGGTTAGCCCTAATCTGTTTTTAAATACTAAGGCAAACAAATTCTTCCAGGAGTAAATCTGGATTAGTTTTGCTTCACTTCCTGGTACATGTGAGTGACCCCAGAGTGACCCCCGACTCTTTTCATTTGGAGATTTCCAGGACAAACACTTGGCTACAGCTGAGAACTGACACCGGCCCCCACAAATGCAGCGGAGGCAGCCCCTGCACCCCACTCGGGCAAAAACACAAGCACAAAAGCACTGACAATGTCTGGGAAATACGGGTTCAGGAGACAGACAAAAAGAAGCAGTTCTGATACTATTTTAAAGGCCTTATTTAAAATGTATTAAACGTTTGTTGATGCATTTCATAAATCACAAAAGAGAAGGAGCAAAACGTCAATTAAATGAAAAGGGATGACGGTGAAGGATGCGTCCAGATTTTCCAGTTCCAATTTGCTAACTCTCATTTTTTGGTAGACATTAAAATCCCACAACTATTTGATTCCGCTCCGATTGACTTTAATAGTCATTGCCAAATCACCCAGGGATAAACCACATAACTGAACTAGTAGCTACAGTGCTAACTGCAAGTATTCAATTTCTTTTTAATATTCCCACACCCCAGCCAAAGAATGAGTACGAACCTGCGGCTCCTGAACCCTTCGCTGTGTCAGTATGTTCTCCCCGGGAACTGCTGGAGTGATTCTCTGTCCTCACATCTCACCTCATAGGCAACCTCATCCGAACTGACAAGCTGATACACATTTGAATGAGCTGTTCTTTACTTTTAAAAATCAGCATTGTTGATACCACCTTCATCCTTCAAGAATGGCCATAATCAAAAAATCTAAAAACGGTAGATGTTGGCGTGGATGTGGTGTACAGGGAACACTTCTACGCTGCTGGTGGGAATGTAAACTAGTACAGCCGCTATGGAAAACAGTGTGGAGATTCCTTAAAGAACTGAAAGTAGAACTGCCATTTGATCCAGCAATCACACTACTGTACCCACTCAGAGGAAAAGAAGTCATTATTTGAAAAAGATACTTACACACACGTTTATAGCAGCACAATTCACAACTGCAAAATTGTGGAACCTACCCCAATGGCCATCAATCAACAAGTGGATAAAGAAACTGTGGTGTATATACATATACGACGGAATACAACACAGCCATAAAAAGGAATGGGTTAACAGCATTTGCAGGGACCTCCAATGAGACTGGAGACTATTATTCTAAGGAAAGTAACTCAAGAATGGAAAGCCAAACATCGCATGTTCTCACTGATACGTGGGAGCTAAGCTATGGGGACATAAAAGGTGTAAGAATGATACAACGGACTTTGGGGACTTGGGGGGAAGAGTGGGAGGGGGGCGAGGGATAAAAGACTACAAATAGGGTGCAGTATATAGTGCTCGGGTGATGGGTGCACCAAGATCTCACAAATCACCACTAAAGAATTTACTCATGGCTGGCCGTGGTGGCTTATGCCTGTAATCTCAGCACTTTGGGAGGCCGTGGTGGGTGGTTCTCTTGAGGTCAGGAGTTTGAGACCAGCCTGGCCAACATGGTGAAACCCTGTCTCTACTAAAAATACAAAAATTAGCCGGTGTGGTGGCAGGTGCCTGTAATCCCAGCTACTCAGGAGGCTGATGCAGGAGAATTGCTTGAATCCAGGAGGCAGAGGTTGCAGTGAGCCAAGACTGCGTCACTGCACTCCAGCGTGGGCGACAGAGCAAAACTCTCTCTCAAAAAAAAAAGAACTTAATTAACCAAATACCACCTGTACCCCAATAACTTATGGAAAAAAAATCAGCATTGTTTAAACTATGTAATAAAAGGTAGGTCCAGGTTTTGTGGGCCCGAAACCCACAAAAGGGAGGCTGAGATAGGAGAATTGCTTGAACCTTGTGGAGGGTGGAGGATGCAGTGAGCCAAGATTGCGCCATTGCACTCCAGCCTGGGTAACAAGAGTGAAACTCCATTTCACAAACAAAAAAACAAAAGTTTGCAGCCAGGTGCAGTGGCTCATGCCTGTAATCCTCACACTCCGGGAGGCCGAGGCTGGGCGGGCCACCTGAGGTCTGGAGTTTGAGACCAGCCTGGCCAACATAGTGAAAACCCGTCTCTACTAAAAATACAAAAATCAGCCTGGCATGGTGGCACACACCTGTAGTCCTAGCTACTCAGGAGGCTGAGGCAGGAGAATCGCTTGGATCCAGCAGGCAGAGGTTGCAGTGAGCCAAGATTGCGCCACTGCACTCCAGCCTGGGTGACAGAGCGAGACTCTGTCTAAACAAAACAAAACAAAAACAGAAGCTTTCAATGCTGACTTCTGAGTCCTTTGGGACTGCTATATTTCAGTGTTTTCTCGGACAGTAGGAGGTGGCCAGGGAGTTGGGGCAGCCACTGGGCTTTGTGTCTGCATCAGACGTGATTCTTGTTAGCAGCTGAAATTTCACTAGTATGAAAACAGGACTCAGACAAGGGCACTGGGTTTTTTGGTGCTACTTCAGCAAACTAATGCATGTCAGCCACCTGCTGTGACTTGAAGGCCACCTCCTGTGGATGCTCCCATCCAGATACCAGGGGGAAAGCTTAGCTCCCTGTACTTTCTGCAATGCCCAAAGGCAGGGAAAAGCCAATCTCCCCACCAACACTAAGCTCACAGGCTGCACTCTTAAGCATTAGAGAGACTGTGGCTTATGTGCCTTTTCTCGACTTAGTGGTGTAGACGTTCGCCTTTCTAATAACTTCTTGGACCCTCTTTTCCTCATCTGTCAAATGAGGACAGTGACATCTACACAAGGCAGGGCTGTTTTGGGATTTGGGATCACGCATTTGGATGACACCATGGCCACAGTGGTTCCCCTGCAAACAGCGGCTGTCACGACTGAAGAAAACAACCTCTCTGATAATTCAATGTTATGTGAGCACACAGGAGCTCACCCGTGGAAGCGGCACGTGTGGGGGAAGTGCTGGTGGCACGGGGCCGCGGGTACCGAAGGCCTGCTGGGCACGGGAGGCTTCTAAATCACGGCTGTGTGTACATACGAGCTTCACGCAACTCCTCATGCTCAGCATGGTAGGGGGGATGCTCTTGGCCAGAGGTCTTGCCAAGCCTGCTGGCATCTTGTGAGCTCCCCCGAGGGTGCAGAGGATCCTGAGACTCTGGGGTAAGAAGGAGTCTGGCTGGTTTAAATGACCTCATAGCTGTCAGAGTTGCAGGAGCAACATCTGGTTGGCTCCTGCCCATAGCCTTGAGATGTTTAAGGGCTTCTTGGATGTTAGAGGCTGAGTCGTATCCCATAAAATTCACATGCTGAAGCTTTAACCCTCAATGTTGCTGTATGTGGAGATGGGGTCTTCAGGAAGAGAATTAAGGTTAAATGATGCTATAAAGATAGAGCCCTAATTCAATAAGCCAGGTGCCCGTATAAGAGGACGAGACACTGGTGATGTCTCTCTCCCTCTGAGCACACCCGGAGGAAAGGCAGGACACAGGGAGAAGGCACCATCTGTCAGCCAGGGAGAGAGGTCTCACCAGAACCAACCCTGCGGGCACCCTGACTCCAGACTTCCAGCCTCCAGAACTGTGAGACGTGAATGTCCCGCACTTAAGCCACCCAAGTGTAATACTTTATTTTGGCAGCCTGAGCTGACACATACTCTGGATAGCATCCTTCATCTTTCTCACTAGCGTCTCCATACGCAAGTCACATATGACCAAGGGACACGCTGACAATGGCTTCTTCTCGATGAGACTATTCCGTCTAGAGGCATTTGCCCTAAGAAGCCATGATGTCAAAGCACACAGACTCAAATGGTCACTCGGAGGCCGCAATTCTACTTCTGGGATCCCTGGCTTGTCTTGGCTGAGCCTTTCATTTTCCCCAAGGAAGGCCAGTTCAAGAGCAGGCAGCCGGCAGTAGATCACCTCCCCTCATTCCAATCCCCGGGAGGATCACCGTTCACAGCCTCCGTTAGCTAATGAGCTAAAAAATGAATTATTGGCGCGGCCGGCCGTCAGCAGAAAGGAGGGGGCCCAGTTCCTCATTTGATGTGGTGCTGACACACCTTTAAATAAATCAGCCGCAGGAGAGTGAGGGAAAATGAGGGAATGGGCGACTCATCAGAAGAAAGGCACTGACCCAATCCCCAAAATAAAAAGAAAAGGTACATTTCAGGCGCCATCGTATTTTATATTTGCTTCTCTTCCTGCCTAAAAGAAGAGGTAAAGGTGGCTCTTTACCTCTCTCTGGGCCATGACAGGAAGCCATCCACAGGGACAGCCAGGCACTGAGCACAGGACATAGGAATCACTGGGTAGGTTGCAGGAGCCGTGAACCCTCTGGATTTTTCGGGGTCTGCCAGCTCGGAGACAGACACTCTAGCATTGCTGCCTGACGGGCTTTGCCGCACCTGACCTTGAGGGGTGGTGACTTGGCCAAGGTGGCTTCCCTGTGTCCATCCCAAAGACAATTCTCTTGGACACTCCCCACCTGCTACCCGCATACTTAGTGCCTGCCATGCCAAATCCACTGCATGACTCAGCTGGCAAGGTGTAATCTCCATGTAACCGGAGCACTTAGTGTGGGCTTAAGGATGACAGTAACTGACTTTATTGATCATTCCTGGTAACACCCTCAAGCATGTACACATTTTAAAAAACAAACTCCAGCCGGGCATGGTGGCTCATGACTGTAATCCCAGCACTTTGGGAGGCCGAAGTGGGTGGATCACGAGGTCAGGAGTTCGACACCAGCCTGGCCAACATGGTAAAACCCCATCTCTACTAAAAATACAAAAATTAGCCGGGCATGGTGGCGGATGCCTGTAATCCCAGCTACTCGGGGGGGCTGAGGCAGAGAATTGCTTGAACCCGGGAGGCGGAGGTTGCAGTGAGTTGAGATTGCACCACTGCACTCCAGCCTGGGCAAAAGAGCGAGACTCCGTCTCAAAAACAAACAAAACAAACTCCATATCTAATGTGGAACAAGATGCACACGTGACGGCAGAGTGGTGGCCGTATTTTGGGAAATCGTGGGAAAAAAGAAAGGCTGCAGGAAAGAAGAGACAGGTAGATTTTATTGCAAGTTTCAAAAGGGGAAAAACAGTGGAGAGCCTAGAACTGACAGACCCGGCTTTTCCTTCTTTGAAACACAGCAAGAAGGAAGGAAAGACTTAGGGAATTTTACACCATTCAGCCAGACAGGGCTGCAGAGCGGAAGCAGGGGGGCTCCCAATCTGGCCCCCGCCTTCAGGACAGGCCTGGGGCCATAAGGTGGCCGGCCAGCAACCTAGCAGGGCCAAAGTTCTCTTCTCTGGAAAAAGATGGATGCTGAGCTGCCTTCAACCTGCCCAGGGACCAGACTGAGAGAGCGGGAGAGCGTTCTGTGCGTGTGCGTGTGAATGCGAGTGCCGCCTCCTGCCTCCTGAGCCCCTGAGCTTGGGCCGGGATGCCCACGCTGCTCCCAGTTTGCCCAGCGTCATACAACTCCCAGCACCTGTGAACAGAAAGCAGGTGCTGCACAGACAGCAAGACAGCCAACCCAGCGACGACAGAACCAAGGCAGAGTGAAGAACAGATCAGGAGGGAGGGAACGGGGGATGGAGAGAAGCATTTATGTTTACAGAAGAAAATGTGCAAGTCAGGGTTGTGGGGAGAGAGAGCTTTTCTTTCGTTTTCCTTTTTTTTTTTCGAGATGGAATGTCGCTGTGCCACCCAGGGTGGAGTGCAGTGGCACAATCTTGGCTCACTGCAACCTCCACTTCCTGGGTTCAAGCGATTCTCCTGCCTCAGCCTCCTGAATAGCTGGGATTACAGGCACGTGCCACCACGTCCGGCTAATTTTTGTATTTTTAGTAGAGATGGGCTTTTGCCATGTTGGCCAGGCTGGTCTCAAACTATGGACCTCAGGTGATCTGTCCTCCTCGGCCTCCCAAAGTGCTGGGATTACAGGTGTGAGCCACCACGCCTGGCCTCCAGAGAGCTTTTATTTCAATCTCTGTGGCAAGGACCCAGGGTGGGGGCGAATCATCACATGCAGGCTGCACCGGGCTCTGTCTTGGTGTTACAGGTCCTGGGGTAAAAGCCCGAGGGAAGACCACGTGGGAGCCGTCACTGCAGTGCCCACTGGAGAATGCACCTGAGCAAGACCAGTCGCGTGACAACACTGCCGATGACTCCAATCAAAAGGCAACAACCAACTGTGATGGTTTATCTGTCCTCAAGTGACTGGGGGATGCCATGGGCAGGTCTGTGTGTTCCCAGCACTTCACATTGCCTGATACCGGGATGGACCCTTTCTTTTTTTTTTTTTTTTTTGAGATAGAGTCGCACTGTTGCCTAGGCTGGAGCGCAGTGGCTTGACCAGGGCTCACTGCAGCCTCGAACTCCTGGGCTCAAGCAGTCCTCTCAACTCAGCCTCCCAAGTAGCTTGGAATACAGGTGTATACCACCATGCTTGGCTAATTTTTTGTACTTTTTGTAGAGACGGGGTTGCACCATGTTGCCCAGGCTGGTCTCAAACTCCTGGACTCAAGTGATCCACCTGCTTTGTGCTGGGATTACAAGTGTTGAGACACAGTGCCCAGTCTTCTTCTCTCTCTTTTTTTTTTTAAGACAGGGTCTTGCTATACTGCCCAGGCTGGGTTTGAGCAGGCTGGATTGCTTTGGGCTCAAGTGATCCTCCTACCTCAGCCCCTTGAGCAGTTGCAACTACAGGCGTGTGCCACCATGCCTGCATAATTTTTTTTTTTGTAGAGATAGGGGTCTTGCCATATTGTCCAGGTTGGGATTCAAGCAATCCTCCCACCTCAGCCTCCTGAGTAGCTGGGCCTATAGGCATGCACTACCACGCTCAGCTGGGATCGGCCCTTTCTCATCCCAGTGACTGGAAACACTGCAGTGAGGGTGCCTTCCCTGCACGGATTTATCAACAAAGTCTGCTCTTTTATCACTGCTGTGTGTTTGTGTCACCCCAAATCCATTTGCTGAAATCCTAACTCCCCAAGGTGATGTTATTAAGAGGTAGAGCCTTTGGGAGGTGACTAGGTGATGATGGCCCTGCCCTCATAAATGGGATTTAGTGCTCTTATAAAAGAGGCCCGAGGGGGCTGGTTTGCCTCTTCTATCACGTGAGGACGTAGCAATGAGGTATTCTCCATGAAGCAGAGACCGAACCCTAACCAGACACCGAATCTGCCGGTGCCTCTATCTTGGACTTTCCAGCCTCCAGAACCGTGAGCAAGACACTTCTTTTGTTTATAAATTACCCCATTTAAGGTATTTTGTTATAGCAGCCCCAGAGGACTAAGACAATAATAAACAAAGGCCTTTCTGCATAATTTCTCCATCTTTATTTACAATGCTACATGAGCCAAATGGTGGGTTTTAGGTGATTGATCATGGACATATATTTATATAAATGTAGAGTCACTATTAGACAAACTCTGTTATGCAGACTAGGAAAAGTATCAGTAATGTTCACAGCCAATGCTTATCAAGTATTTGCAATGTGCCAACCACTGACTTGAGGCTTTTTTATTTTTTGAGACAGGGTCTGGCTTTATCACCCAGACTAGAGTGCAGTGGCGCAATCATAGCTCACTGCAGTCTGGAACTCCCGGGCTCAAGTCATCCTCCTGCCTCAGCCTCCCAAGTAGGTGGAACTACAGGTGCACATCACCACGCCCAGCTAATTTTCAATTTTTTTTTTTTTGTAGAGAAGGGGGTCTTTTTCTTTTCTTTTAGAGACAGGGTCTTTCTCTGTTGCCCAGGTTGGAGTGCAGTGGGTTCACCAGTTTGCCCAGGTTGGTCTTGAACTCCTGGCCTCAAGCAATCCTCCCACCTTGGCCTCCCAAAGTGCTGGGATTACAGGTGTGAGTCACTGCACCCAGCCCAGGCTGAACCTTTTACACAATTACCTGGTTTAATTCTAACAACACCTAGTGAGGAAGGTCCTATTCTTACCCCCATCTTAGAGGAGAAGGTCAGTGATACAGAACACTGCCCAGGGTCCCCAGCTGGGACACCCGACAGACTGGCTGCCCTGGCACTGTCTGACCTCTTGCTCAGGGATCTGATGCCTCCCAAATTAGGAAACATCTTCCCATCTGTACAACCAGACTCTCTGGGCTTTGAGAGTCTAGGTGGATCCACAGCATCATTTTCTCATGCTCTCCCTTTGGCCATCTTAACACTTGGTTCTGGTCTCTGACGAAGGGTTAGGTAGGGTTTGCTTCAGAGGAAGAATCTAGAGGTGTGCCCCCCAATGGGGCAGCTGTAAGCTGCCCGTGGGTGTTGACGTGAATTGAAACAAAATAACATTAAAAACACAGTTCCTTTAGACACATTTCCAGTGCTTTACATAAGTATGTGGTTGGCAGCTGCTACCCTGGGATGCTCGGATCCAGAACGTTTCCACGGCTGCCGGTCCAGAGCACCGACGCTGCCGCCGACTAGGACGTTCCCACGGCTGCCGGTCTAGAACACCGACACTGCTGCCGACTAGGACATTCCCATGGCTGCCGGTCCAGAGCACCGACGCTGCCGCTGACTAGGACATTTCCAAGGCTGCTGATCGAGAACACTTCTGCCATTACAGAGGATGCACGGATCTAGATCATCTCAGTTTTTCCTTCCTCCTCTTCTTCCCTATCAAAACTATCTATAATTTATTATTATAAATATTTATAATAATTACAAAGATGAATAATAATTCATGGAATTTTAGAATGAAGAGAAAGGAGATCACTAAAAGGAAAAGGCAAGTCATATAGATACCAGTACCCAAAACAGAAGTGCTGCCCGGGAATGAGGTGCTCGGCAGGGCGGGGTCAGGCTGACCAGGCAGCTGAGTCCCAGAGGTGAGCTTGGTCACTGCTGGTGGCACTGTCATCTATGCACTGGCAAATCCTTGTCAGTGATGAGCAAAGCATAGACCAAGACCTCTGGGGACACCTGGAGAGCGCGGGGAGAGTCACACCTACACACAACTACCTTCAGAGAGAAATGCTGTCTTCCTGCAATGCCCCATTCTCTGTTCCTCATGCATTTGAGAGCTGCAAAGATGAGGTCTCACACAGCCACCATCAGCTGTGTTTTGGTCCTGGCAGGGAAGGGTCAGCACATTGTCAAGGGGTAATAAGGTTAATGGGTTGGATTCCCAGAAAAGAAAGTTTTAAGCAAATAACCACAAAGCTTCTGACTGCCTTTCAGCACTGTCTTGTGGCGGGGTCTGGGAGATGAACGGGACACAGACAAGAGAGCGGGCAGCCAGACGTCCACCTCAGTCCTCACAGGGGCCGCTGTGTGTGGCAGGGCTGGGGCGCTCTGGGGGGCTGTAAAGCAGTCTCTTGGTGGTTTCATCCTCAGCCTTCAAATCTCACAAATGTGGCTTTCTGAGCACGTCTACAAAACACTGAGCAACACCCCTTCCCGAAAGTGCACTCCAGGTCAAGTCTAATGTGCTCATTTTTATTGGAACCCCCTCTCTCTTCCAGTGCGAAAAGGCCAAAAGAAGAATTTGCGTCTGTGTGCCCGCCACTTGTCACAGTCTTTCCTTTGGAAACAGCTGCCCTGCCCCCGCCAACAGGTGGGAGAGGAGTTTGGCAGTGATTTTCAAGGAGATTCTGTAGCAGAGCGGGCTGGCGTGGAGGAACACCCTCAGGGTGAGGAGCAGACACTGGAGGGGACCCGCCCGCCTGGTGTTGAAACTGACAAGGAGGAGAGGAAGGGCAGAGGAAGGAGAGAAAAGAGGGCTAGCAGCAAGGAATTTCCAGAGTGCTTCCTGCCTCAAGCAAAACAGGAACTGGGAGGGGAGGCATGGAAGAGGGGGCTGGAACAATACGTGAGGAAGAGAGAGGGGCTTCCTTTCTCGGTAGGGGAAGACCCCGGCCCACTGCGAGCGGGCGCTGACAGCTGCCTCCCCCTTGCATGCATGCCTTCTCCCTGAGCTGCGTTGCTAGGGGGTCAGGCGGAGGGACGGAGCACAGCCCACAAAGGCCAATGGATATTTATTCCTTAATTACTGAATGCTTTTAAGAAGCTGGCCACTGTAAATCCCGCATGCGGGGAGGAGGAGGCAGTGGACAAGGATTTATGCTAGTGGGGCAAAGACAAAATAAATATCCCGCCTGACTTCTGATCAATATTATGAGTGTTTTTGCCAACCTGCAGGGTGTTTTATGAGCGCAGAGGAACAGAAGAGGATCATTATTAATTAAATAAAGTCAACCATATTAGGCTTATTACTTCTGCAAGTCACAGTTAAATGTGCCCGGCCGCAGGTATGGGGGCTGGCA
Organism: Homo sapiens; assembly: GCF_000001405.40. NCBI lineage: Eukaryota > Metazoa > Chordata > Mammalia > Primates > Hominidae > Homo > Homo sapiens. The sequence goes on along the minus strand of NC_000002.12, from coordinate 236,107,809 downwards.
GATCCCCCGGCAGGTGCAGGCCCCAGGCGGCCCAGGAGAGCGAGGATGTGCCCGGGTACTCTGGCCCCAGCCAGGTTTTCCTGATTCTGCACTGCCCTGTGCAGGCTGGCACAGCCTGTGTTGTTCCAGAAGGGATTGAGGCAAGGGGAGGGCCAGTTACTGGGAGCTGAGCTTAGTCTTGTCCCCAAACCTTCGCCTGAGGTTCGGGTTGAGACTTGGGGCACTCGTGGCTTTGCTGCCACTAGCGCTCCCTGCCTGTTGAGTACCTGACCAGCCTGAGTAGGATAATATTCCTGGATACAAGTCACAGTGCATATGCAACCTCATTCTTCCAGAGTCTTGAGGCAACCTATGGAGACTGTCTGAGGAATCATGAAAGCGCGCAAAAAGGAGATGTGGGACCAGGACAGCAGCCCACAGCAGCCCGGCAGGGAGGATGCGTGAGGCTAGCTAGTGAACCCAGTCAGCTCAGACCCAAGGGTCTGTTTGGTGTCTAGATGTGCCAAGCACTCAGGAAGCACCCAGCACAGAGGAGGAGGGACCCAGGCCTCTCTGGGCAAGGACATGGTTGGCTGTGGGGCCCTGGGCAGCCACCCTCTCCCAGGCTTCAGTTTTCCCTCTGGAGGCTCAATGATTCAAGGCCTGCTGCCTCTGAAGTTTGAGGTTCCGCAGGAGAATCCGCTGGCGGGGGTGGGGCGGGGGGGAACGGGTAAAGAGAGGACAGAAAGCAGCTGCTGCAACCTCGGGAACAGAGAGCTGCCTGCCAGCAAGAGGCCCACACAGCAGGTCCAGACCCTACCCAGGGTGCTCTCTCATTGAGCCTCCGCACAGGATGGCCTTGGCCCAGCTTCCCACGTTGACACATCTGTAAAATGCACCATAGGCCAGGGCAGCCACCCCCTTGTAGACTGCAGCCACCTCCACGGGGCCCAGCACACTCTGTGATATGCAGTTGGGTAAGGAGGCAGCAGGGGTTCTTGGCTTCTCTCTCCTGGGTCCCCATCAGGAAGCCAGACCTTGCCTGGTCCTCTTGACCTACTCCTGCGAGACCTGCAGACCCCATCCTGCTACCACCAGCACCGTGACTTACGCAGGTGGGAAAATGAGCCCATGGCCTGCAGAGAGCCCTGCCCACCAGCTGGCTGTGCGTGACTCCAGCCACCTTCTCCAAATGCATTCATGGGAGCCCAGAATGAAAGAATTGGCTTACGTGAATTCTCGGGTTCCTGGAATCCCAGCATGGCCCCCAGAGCCCACCCTTCTCGAAGCTTTTCACTGCCTACTTGGGATGCCACAAGGCTGGAAGAAGTGTGGTGCCCATCACACAGAGGGCAGGGGCTAGCCGAGTCACGCACACGACAGCCCGGGTGGCACACAGGTGCCCGCCCAGGGGTCCTGAGCCCTGTGCGCTGCCGCAGTGCCTGCACATCAACCCTCCTTAGGCCGGCTCTGGTGAGCTGCATATGGACATCCGCTTCCCACTCAGGCTTGGATGACATGCTAGGAAAGGCCAAGAGAGGCTTGGTCACTGCTGCTCTGCAGATGGACCAACGGTCCTTAGGCTTCAATCAAAGTTCTAAAACCAAGGTCCTCTCCAGCTCCAGCCACACTGATTCCGGTATGTGCTTTGAAATTGGCAAACAAACAGAGCAGACATCCTGATGCCTAGGGCCCCAAAGGCTGCCAGCCAGCCAGCCAAGGGCAGCCAGAAAACAGTGATTTGCTGCAATGCAAGGTGTCCCTGGGAGGGGCAACAGGAGCACTGGTGTGTGTGTGCTCCGGAAAGTCAGTCGCTGAAGCCCTAACCCCCTGTGTGATGGTGTTTGGTGACAGGACCTCTGGGAGGTGATTAGGTCAGGAGAGTAGACTCCCATGAATGGGATTCTCACTCTTATAAGAAGAGGCACAAGAGGGGCCGGGCACGATGGCTCACGCCTGTAATCCCAGCACTTTGGGAGGCCGAGGAGGGTGGATCATGAGGTCAGGAGATCGAGACCACCCTGGCTAACATGGTGAAACCCCGTCTCTACTAAAAATACAAAAACAAAATCAGCCGGGCATGGTGGCGGGCGCCTGTAGTCCCAGCTACTCGGGAGGCTGAGGTGGGAGAATGGCGTGAACGCGGGAGAATGGCGTGAACGCGGGAGAATGGTGTGAACCCGGGAGGCGGAGGTTGCAGTGAGCCGAGTTCACGCCACTGCACTGCAGCCTGGGTGACAGAGCGAGACTGTGTCTCAAAAAAAAAAAAAAAAAAAAAAAGACACGAGAGATGCCCCTCTCCTCTCTCCTCCACATGAGGACACTGCAAGAGGCATCTGTCTATAAGCCAGGAAGAGGCCCCTCACCAGAAATGAATCAGCCAACACCTTGACCTTGGACTTCCCATTCCTCAGAAGTGTGAGGAATACTTTCTGTTGTGTATTTTGTTACAGCAGGCACAGCTCACAGAGCCTTTGTCTTCCTCTCTGTCCTTGGTCCCCCGCTCCGCCCATCTTTCCCCCTTACCTGGCTATCGTGTTAAAACTGAAGTTGACGCAAGACTGTGTGCATGCAGGGTTCTTAAAGTGGGATGTTTTGGATTTTTCCATTCAGACCAATTCACCACTTTGCTCGAATCTAACTGCTTTTCCTTGTAGGTAGCCTGAATGCATGTCTTGCTGGCTTGGAAAGTCAGCCCTGATCTCTGCTGCCCTGGGTGAGGGCCGTGCCTTCTCTCACCGAGACAGACAGAAGGAACTCAGCTTTATCTTCCCACCCAGCAGCCAGGACAGTGTCTCTCCTGATGCTAACCTGCCAGAGTGGAGTTGGTGAAATCCAGTCAGAGCTATGGGCACAGGCTTAGACGGGCATCCACAGCTCTGCTCTGGTACCTCGAGGGCTCTGTGCACGCTAGTCCTTTTTTTTTTCCTTGAGACAGAGTCTCGCTCTGTAGCCCAGGCTGCAGTGCAGTGGCATGAACTTGGGCTCACTGCTACCTCCGCCTCCCGGGTCCCGGTTCAAGCGATTCTCCTGCCTGCCTCAGCCTCCCGAGTAGCTGGGATTACAGGCACGCATCACCATGCCCAGCTAATTTTTGTATTTTTGGTAGAGACGGGGTTTCACCATGTTGGCCAGGCTAGACTTGACCTCCTGCCCTTGTGATCCACCCACCTTGGCCTCCCAAAGTGCTGGCATTACAGGCATGAGCCACCGCGCCTGGCCTGTGCACGCTTGTCTTTGTAACCCAAGTTGGATTCTCTAAGAGGCCAGAGGGCTGTGGCTTTGTAAGGGATTCTGATGGTGGTCCTGACCCTCACAGCCCTGTGCCCCCAAGGAATCTGAGAAGGGACAAGGATTTTGTGAGGGGCAGACAGCACAGGTGCTGGTCGAGGGGCAGGATCCACCCCTGTTGGGGAGTCATTTGATGAGGCTGCAGGATTGAGGTCTCCACCTGTCTAGGAGCACCGCTGGGGGACTTCTCAGCCCCGTGCAGTCAGAGGGCACTGGGGATGGAACAGGATGGAGTGCTGGAGGCTGGACTGCCTTGGGAAACTGGAACTGCCCATGTCAGCCTGGCCTGGTGGCGTATCTCTCACAGCAGCCAACAGGCCTGGCCCTACCAGCGCCCCGGCTGCTGGAGCGGGCCCTCAGCCTCTTCCTGCAGGCCTTTACACAGGCCTCCCGCCTTGCGGGGCTCCTGGGGCAGACCCACTGCCCAAGGCCCCCCACCTAAATGCAAGTGGGAAGTACCTAAGGTTTCACATTGCTGCAGGCCTGGGTTTGAATATTCAATTTCCCTACCCGCAAAAAGGGGATAAAACCCTCCACATCTCAGGGACATAGTAAGGACGTAAGGCGGTTGTGCATGTGGCTCAATGCCTGGGTCAGCCCTTGGTAAACGCACAGGGCAGGGTGGGGACAGGAGCCAGACAGGATGGCGGGGTGCCTAGAAGGGGCCCAGGAGAGGCTGGGCATGTCGCTCACGCCTGTAATCTCAGCACTTTGGGAGGCCGAGGTTGGCAGACCACGAGGTCAGGAGTTCGAGACCAGCCTGACCAACATGGTGAAACCCCAACTCTACTAAATACAAAAATTTAGCCAGGTGTGGTGGTGGGTGCCTATAATCCCAGCTACTTGGGAGGCTGAGGCAGGAGAACTGCTTGAACCCAGGAGGTGGAGGTTACTGTGAGCCGAGACCACGCCATTGCACTCCGGCTCTGGACAACACAGCAAGACTCTGTCTCAGGGGGAAAAAAAAGAAGAAAAGAAAGAAAGAAAGGAAAGAAAGGAAAAAGAGAAAAGAAAGAAAAAAAAGAAAAGAAAAGAAAAGAAAAAAGAAAGACAAACAAACAAGGGGCCCAGGAGAAAAAGATGGAGCCTGTGCTGAGGTGGGGGGCGGGGAGTGGCCCAGCAGGGTCAGACTGCACAGGCTGTGAACAAAATGAGGACCAGCCAGCCCAGCTGCCCCCTTGGGGGCTAACATGCCCCAAACTGGGTGCTCAGGGCTTGTGACCAATGGGTGGGACCATGCCTTTAGAAACAGCAGAGCTTGGCACCCGGGGTGACTGACCAGTGACCTCGGTGTAGAGATTTTTCCTTTTTCTGGGAGGCAGTGGGCGGAGGTGAGGCCGGAGGATGGAACGGGACAGAGGTGCTGGTTTTGGTGAGGGAGACCCCTCCACGACACATGTGCTGTCTGGAGCAGGGAGGAGGCGCTGTGCAGGGGGCTGAGTCTTCTGGGAGTCACGGTCAGAATGCAGGCCATTAATGGGTCGGGCCCTGGAGATGTGGCACCCAGGAGGCCAGGCCTGGGGGTGGGGGGTGGGCAGAAACCCCGGAGGGGAGGGGATAGGCAGAGCCAAGAGGTGGGGCGGGGGCTTGCGGTGGGAGAACAGAAAGCAATTTTGAAGTCTTTTAAGACAATGACTTTTGAAAAAAAAGTTACACTATTAGCGAAAGGCAAAACATCCAGAATGTTCCAGAAGCAGCCGGACATATTTTTATTTTTAGTATTTCCCCACCATTTTCTAATCTGTTGTAAAACAACACAACAAAACACGGGACGTTTACAGGAAAAATCGCCAGTGACACCCCCTTAACTCACAAAGTCTCATTGTGTCTCTGAGCCCCTTCCTGCCATTCTCCACTTGCAGACGTGTTTTACCCACTCGGCATTTAACACAGGCACCTTTATTATTCTGCTCAAAGGAAGTTTTCTTTCTTTCTTTCTTTTTTTTTTTTTTTTAACAGTCTCTCACTCTGTCGCCCAGGCTGGAGTGCAATGACGCGATCTCAGCTCACTGCAACCTCTGCATCCCGGGTTCAAGTGATTCTCCTGCCTCAGTCTCCTGAGTAGCTGGGATTACAGGCATGAGCCACCACACCCAGCTAACTTTTTTTTTTTTTTTTTTTTGAGATGGAGTCTCGCTCTGTCGCCCAGGCTGGAGTGCAGTGGCATGATCTCGCCTCAATGCAAGCTCTGCCTCCCGGGTTCACGCCATTCTCCTTGCCTCTGCCTCCTGAGTGGCTCGGACCACAGGCACCCGCCACCACGCCCGGCTAATTTTTTGTATTTTTAGTAGAAACAGGGTTTCACCGTGTTAGCCAGGATGGTCTCGATCTCCTGACCTTGTGATCCGCCCGCCTTGGCCTCCCAAAGTGCTGGGATTACAGGCGTGAGCCACCGCGCCCGGCCTAATTTTTGTATTTTTAGTAGAGACGGGGTTTCACCATGTTGGCCAGGCTAGTCACGAAATCCTGGCCTCAAGAGATCTGCCTGCCTCAGCCTCCCAAATTGCTGGGATTATAGGCATGAGCCACCGGGCCCAGCCTCAAAGGAAGTTTTATAAGGGAAGTTTGTGACTTCATTTGGAAACTGTGTGTGAGTATGTTTGCACAGAAACATAGCTAAGCCATGCTAGTCACACACAGAATGGAAGTTTCTGTACTTCACCATTAGAAAAAATGTGAACTACTGTTTTAAAGCATAAATCCCGATAAATGTGTACCCAGTGAGAGGGAGCCCGAGCCAGCGGGGTGAGGCCGTCCTAGACTCCGCGTAACGTGGCATGAAGCCCACGGCGGCTCTGCTGGTGCAGCCGCCATCACAGTGAATTCCGTTCACCATAACAGCGGCTGATGTGATCGGCTTTGGAACATATCGCATCATAAACAGATAAGGGAAGAGAAATGGCCCTTTTCCTCCGCTCCGGATCCCGTAAAGTGGATGTAAGCCCTCGCTGTACGTGCACCGACGCCCTTTAAACACCAGGGAGAGGAACAGCCAAGGCTCTTCTCACACGGAAGAGGCGGGGACAGGCCGGAGTGACTGCAGAGGGCCCAGTTCAGGCCGGTGGCTTCTCAGGGATTTGCTGGCTAAGTGGCTGTCAAACCTGAGAAAGAGAAGGTCGCAGGCTATGACACGGCGACACATTCAGAAAAAGCTGCAGAGAACTCCAAGTAGGCTTCCAATAAAAACTGCCAAGTGGCTTTAAGAACTGCGGCCTGTGGTAATATTATTGTTTAAAGACATAGGACCATTGCTTTGGAACAATAAGGAGTCTTCTTAATGTGGTATACCTTTTAATCTGCTTGTGGTGGGGGATCACAACAGTTCCAACAGCCAAAAACAAACAGTACCAACAACAGAGATTTTAAGAGAGGACAGGCATGGGAGTGGGGAATAACCAAAGGGAAACACATTGAAAATCAATTTGGATTTTGACTTTTTTCAAAATATGAAAACATGGAAACATGCTGAAAGAAACTGATGGAATGAGGGGCCTGGGTCTGCGGACCCCTGTGTCAGCCTAGCTGATGCTCACATTCTTTGCAGTGGGGTTGCCCTGCATGAAGCCACTCACTCCAGCCAAGATGAATTCCATCCAGGGTAATGACAACTGAAATTTTATTACAGACTGGATGGCGTTTCCAGAGAAAATCCAACAAATGCACAACAGTTGGGTTTTCTTTCTCAACTAATTTTTTTTTTTTTTTTTCTTGAGAGGGAATCTTACTGTGTTGCCCAGGGTGGAGTGCAGTGACACGATCTCGGCTCACTGCAGCCTCCGCTTCCTGGGCTTAAGCGATTCTCCTGCCTCAGCCTCCCAAGTAGTTGGGACAATGGGTGTGCACCACACCACGTCTGGCTAATCTTTTTTGTATTTTTAGTAGAGACGAGGTTTCACCATGTTGGGCAGGCTGATCTTGAACTCCTGATCTCAACTGATCTGCCCACCTCGGCCACCCAAAGTGCTGGGATTGCAGGTGTGAGCCACTGCATCCGGCCTCAACTAATCTTAACCTGAAAAACAATAAAAATATCAGAGTCAAATCTATACACCCACTAGGTGTTTTTCCCCCCTAAGTTTGGCTGTGTAGCTGGGAAGCTGATGAGAATGATTCATCATGAATACATAAATTAATTCTCCAGAGTAAGGAAAGCATTATTATTTAACAAGCTAAGTGAAATTCTTTCATTAAAATCACCAAACCTATCACTAATGGGATCAGGAGGCAGAAACTGGTCAGATGTTTTATTTTCTACCATCGACACAGAGTTTAACTTGCTCAATGTCACTGACTTTGATAATGCAAAATCAAAACTCTCTGCTGAGCTTCTTGGTGAGAAAGGAACCTTAGAAGAGGGGCACGGAGGGGGCCTCAGGGGTCTCCTAGTCCAACGCTGGCTGCATGGGTGTGGATCTCTACGGTTGCAAAGGCCCAGTGCTCAGAAGGGGCCCATGCTCGGTTCTGCTCTTACCATCTTGAGATTCTTTTTTATTGTTTTTTGAGATGGAGTCTTGCTCTATTGCTCAGGCTGGAGTGCAGTGGCCTGATCTCGGCTCACTGGAACCTCTGCCTCCCGGGTTCAACCAATTCTCCTGTCTTAGCCTCCTGGGTAGCTGGGATTACAGGCACATGCCACCATGCTTGGGTAATTTTTGTATTTTTAGTAGAGACGGGGTTTCACCATATTGGTTAAGCTGGTCTCGAACTCCTGACCTCAGGTGATCCACCTGTCTCAGCCTCCCACAGTGCTGGGCTTACAGGTGTGAGCCACTGCGCCCAGCCTCAAATTCTTGATAAAAATTGAAATGGGCCTCAAATTCTCTAGCTGATCCTGGAGAGCCCAGCTGCTTTCAAGTGTCACTTGGTGGCAAAGATATCACCAAATCCTCTGAGAAACAATAAAAAACCATATAGTGAGGTTCTCAGAAAGCCAGTTTTGAATCTGTAGGGCAATTCTGATGTTACGGCCTCCCTATGATAAAATGTCCTTTTTTTGAAAGGATGGTGACAGCAAATGACTTATTTAATGTCCTGAATGCTGCAAAATTAAGAACCAAGCACCATATTTCTTTTCTTTTTTTTTTTGAGGCGGAGTCTCGCTCTGTCGCCCAGGCTGGAGTGCAGTGGTGTGATCTCGGCTCACCGCAACCTCCTCCTCCTGGGTTCATGCCATTCTCCTGCCTCAGCCTCCCGAGCAGCTGGGACTACAGGCGCTCGCCACCACGCCCAGCTAATTTTTTTGTATTTTTTTAGTAGAGATGGGGTTTCACCCTGTTAGTCAGGATAGTCTCAATCTCCTGACCTCATGATCCGCCTCCCTCGGCCTCCCAAAGTGCTGGGATTACAGGCGTGAGCCACCGCACCTGGCCCCAAGCACCCTATTTTTATTCCCCAAATATATTTTGAAACCTGACATAACTGGGAAGTCCCCCCGGCCCACCCTGTCCCTCCTTGCAGTGAAGTCCTTGCCCAGCAGCCTACCTGCTGGCTCCCCCGCTGGGGAGGTGGGGCTAGTCTGCTCCTAGGACTAGCCTCCTTCCTCTAGTCCTTACATCTCTAGGAAGTAAGGATCTAGTCCTTACGCACTAGGATGTTTGGAGGCCTTTAGAAAGGGCTTTTAGGGCCAGGTGGGCTCACACCTGTCATCCCAGCACTTGGGGAGGCTAAGACGGCAAGATCACTCGAAGCCAAGAGTTTGAAATCAGCCTGGTCAATATGAGACCCTGTTTCTATAAAAATTAAAAAAAATTAGCTGGGTATGGTGGTGCACGCCTGTAGTCCCAGCTACTGGGGAGGCTGACGCAGGGGGATCGCTTGAGCCCAGCAGCGGGAAGCGGCAGTGACCTATGTTTGTGGCACTGCACTCCAGCCTGGGCAACAGAGCAAGACCCTGTTTCTCTAAAAAAAAAAAAAAAAAAAGGAAAAAAAGATTTCATCAAGTCAGCCAACATTTTAATTTAATTTATTTTTGCTATAGAGTGTTGCTGTGTCACCCAGGCTGGATTGCAGTGGTGCAATCTTGGCTCACTGGGACCTCTGCCTCCTGGGTTGAAGTGATTCTCGTGTCTCTGCCTCCCTGGTAGCTGGGATTACAGGCGTGCACCACCATGCCCGGCTGATTTTTTATTTTTAGCAAAGATGAAGTTTCATCATGTTGCTCAGGCTGGTCTTGAACTGACCTCATGTGTTCCCTGTCAGCCTCCCAAAGTGCTGGGATTACAGGTGTGAGCCCCTGCACCTGGCCCAACAATATTTTAAATGAATAAAACGTTCAGAATCTGAAAAACCGGTATGACGGTTCAGCGTGGAATTAGTGTATAGTCCAGCAATCCCACTTCTAGGTATATACCCAAAAGAATCGAAAGCAGGGACTGAAATAGACATTTGTATGTCCACGTTCACAGCAGCATTATTCACAATAGCTAAAATGTGGAAGAAACAGAAGTGTTCATTGACAAAAGTTTAGATAAGCAAAATGTGCTCTATCCACACGATGGAATAGTACTCAGCCTTCTTAAAGGCTGCATATTCTAATATTCAGGGACAGAAATTCTAATATCTGCTACGACATGATGAGCCTTGAGGACACTCTGCTAGTGAAGTAAGTCAGGCACAAAAGACACATACTATAAGATTCCACTCACATGAGGTGCCGGGAGTCGGGAGTCGTCATTTCATAGAGAAGGAGAGTAGAATGGTGGGGGCCAGGGGAAGTGGGAGTTTGTATTTAATAGGTAAAAAGTTTCAGTTTGGGGTAATGGAAAAGTTCTGGAGATGGATGGTCGTGATGGTTGCGCAGCAATGTCAATGTACTGAGCACCACTGAACAGCCCACTTAAAATTGGCTAAGATGTCCTGACCACGTGATCCACCCACCTTGGCCTCCCAAAGTGCCAGCATTACAGGCGTGAGACACTGCGCCTGGCTGAGACCAGCCTGGCCAACATGGTGAAACCCCATCTCTACTAAAATACAAAAACTTAGCTGGGTGTGGTGGCACATGCCTGTAGTTCCAGCTACTCAGTAGGCTGAGGTAGGGGAATCACTTGAACCCAGGAGGCAAAGGTTGCAGTGAGCCAAGGTCGCGCCACTGCACTCCAGCCTGGCGACAGAGCAAGACTCCATCTCAAAAAAAAAAAAAAAAAAAAAAAAAAAAAAAGATTAGGATGACAAATTTTATATTATGTATATTTCATGACAGTTAAAAAATCCAGAATCTGGTGCTCCTTTGCTCCCTCAGACAGACGCCACTGTGTGAGTCTCTCAAGTTGCAAGCCCACATTTTGAAGACCCACATTATTATAGCCAAAGAACTTAAAATTAATACATTTTTACCTATCATGGGTTTGGATCATAATCCTGAAAGACACAATTCCAAACACCATAATCCCAAATGCTGAAAAAAGTAAAGCACTTTACTATAAAAACTTATTTAAGATTTGATGGACTTTGCAGGAGGAAATAGGTTTCACTTGAATCCCAAACCATAAGGACAGATTTGGAATTGGTGCCATCAAGGCTTCTGAAAGTGAATTTCAGGATATTACCAATAAAGTTTGTTTTTTCCATTCAGCTCAATGCATTTGGTAAAAAAGTCAGATGAATGGATTGGCCACGTGATACGGCAAGGATGAAACTTCAGTTTAAAAGTGCATCATTTGGCCCGGCAGGGTGGCTCACGCCTGTAATCCCAGCACTTTGGGAGGCCGGGGTGAATCACTTGAGGTTGGGAGCTCGAGACCAGCCTGGCCAACACGGTGAAACTCCATTTCTACTAAAATAAAATACAAAAAATTAGCTGGGTGTGGTGGTGGGCACCTGTAATCCCAGCTACTCAGGAGGCCGAGGCAGAAGAATCACTTGAACCGGGGAGGCAGAGGTTGCAGTGAGATGAGATCATGCCACTGCACTCCAGCCTGGGTGACAAGAGCGAGACTCTGTCCCAAAAAAATAAAAAATAAATAAAAAATAAAACTGCATCATTTGTCTGCACTGGCATTCCATCTAACTGATGACATTCCAGAAGCTTTTTTTTTTTTGAGATGGAGGCTCACTCTGTCCCCAAGGCTGGAGTGCAGTGGTGCGATCTTGGCTCACTGCAACCTCTGCCTCTCAGGTTCAAGGGATTCTCTTGCCTCAGCTTCCCAAGTAGTTGGGATTATGGGTGCACACCACCATGCCCAGCTAATTTTTGTATTTTTAGTAGAGATGGGTGTTTCACTATGTTGGCCAGGCTGGTCTCGAACTTCTAACCTCAGGGATTCCCCCGCCTTGGCCTCCCGAAGTGCTGGGATTACAGGCGTGAGCCACTGTGCCTGGCTGACATTCCAGGAGCTTTTAATGAGAAGAGCCACATTTGTGTGAAGAAGCCAGTGAAGTTACCTACTGGATGAAAAACAGCTATGCACATGGTAGGGTAAGATACATAGTACTGCGGTTCCATCATCAGTATTGCTTCCACCAAATCTGAGGTCTGTACCTGAGCGAATGCAGAATGGATTTCCAAGTACCCAAAACAATAAAGAAGCATGGCACAGAAGCTGGGGAAATTTAATGGGAAATAACTCATGTTGGCGAACCCTGAATCACGGAAGAATTTCTAAAAGAGCAGCGTCACACAGAAAAGGAATGTGAACTTCTTCTCTATGGAGAGGCACATCCTAAAAGGAAAAAAGCAGCTATGCGCCATGATGCAAAACTCAAAAATATAATGATCGTGGAAGTTGGCCAGCTCTTAGGGACTATCTCTGTGCAACTATCCATAATCTAGCCCTGAACTAATATACTTCTTCATATGTCAAAATTTTTAAAAGTTTTTTCCCACAATTTTACATTGTCAGCATTATTCTAATTAGTTTTATGCATTTTTTGCAAACTTGACTCCATCAAAGTACATTACCACAACACTGTAAGCACTGCCTATGTCAATATCTACCAACATGAGAATTTCCTGTTAGATTTTCCCTTTTTCTTGTATTTTTTTAGAGAGTCTTTTTTTCCTATTTTTTAATCTTTTTTTATTTTATAGAGATGGCATCTCACTATGTTGCCCACGCTGGTCTCAAACTCCTGTGCTCAAGTGATCCTCCAGCCTCAGCCTCCAAAAGTGCTGGGATTACACACGTGAGCCACTGTGCCCAGCCAAGACAAGGTCTAACTCTGTCAACCAGGCTGGAATGCAGTGGCATGATCATGGCTCACTGCAGCCTTGACTTCCTGGGCTCCAGTGATCCTCCCACCTCAGCCTCCCGAGTAGCTGGGACCACAGGTGCATGCAACCACGCCTGGCTAATTTTTAACTTTTTTGTAGAGACGGGGTTTCACCACAGTTCCCAGGCTGGTCTCGAACTCCTGAGCTCAAGCAATCCACCCGCCTTGGCCTCCCGAAGTGTTGGAATTACAGGCGTCAACCACCACGCCTGCCCTGCCCCCACAACTTTTTTGAGACAGTGTCTCACTCTCACCAAGGCTAAAGTACAATGGCTTGATCAGGGCTCACTGCAGCCTGGACCTCCCGGGCTCAAGTGATCCTCCCATCTCATCCTCAAGAGTAGCTGGGACCACAGGCATGCGCCGCTGCACCAGGCTAATTTTTTTTTTTTTTTTTTTTTTTTTTGTAGAGATGGGGTCTCTTGCTGTGATGCCTAGGCTGGTCTCGAACTCCTGGACTCAAGTGATCCACCTGCCTTGGCCTCTGAAAGTTTTAGGATTACAGGCATGAGCCACTGTTGCCCAGATCAATTTTCCCATCTTCTGTGCCAGGCTTTTTCATTGTTTTGGGTATGTGGAAATTCATTCTGTATGCACTTACATACAGTCCACAAATTTCATGAAATTTCTTCAATAAATGAACATCTGCGTTTGTGAAAGATAAAATTTCTCCAGCTCTCACTGGGCGCAGTGCTCATGCCTGTAATTCCAGCGCTTTGGGAGGTCAAGATGGGAGGATCGCTTGAATCCAGGAGATCAAGACCAGCCTGAACAACACGGTGAAGCCTGGTCTCTACAAAAAATACAAAAACTAGATGGTCGTGGTAGTCTGTGCCTGTATTTGCAGCTACTCAGGAGGCTGAAGTGGGAGGATCGCTTGATCCCGGGAGGTGGAGGTTGCAGTGGGCCGTGATTGAGCCATGCACTCCAGCCTGAGCCACAGAGACCCTGTCTAAAAAAAAAAAAAAAATTCTCAGCTCTTTTGGCAACTTCATAGGCCATGGTGACCCATCGTATTTGCAATTTTTTTTTTTTTTTAAAGATATAGAGTCTCATTATGTTGCCCAGGCTGACCTGGAAATCCTGGGCTCGAGCAATCCTCCTGACGTGGCCTTCTGAGTAGCTGGGACTATGGTTGTGTGCCACACACTGGCTCCATCACAGCTTTTGATCAGTCTTGTCAAAAGACTGAAGTTGTTCGTCACTGTATTTCAGGTGTTATACAGCTGAGTGCCCATAATTAGCAACCACAGTGACATGCATTTATATATTTCTGACCTATGAATACAGTCTGCTTGTACCTGTTACAGCCATATGACTGTTGTTAGTACACCTGGGGTTTATGCTTGCAAAAATATAGGTTATCATTGCCTATTTGTGAAAAGTGCTCTAAAAAGTGTTCTGTTGTGTTTTTATATGTTTCTCAGAGAAACCCCCTTTAAAAATGTCAAAAAATACCTTTTAAGTAATTTTTCAAATGATCTTTTCCAGGATTATATTTTTGGGATTTTGATTTTTTGGGATTGTGATTTTGGGGATTTCAGACTTGAGAGATTTCAATACTTGGGATTATGGTGTTTGGGATTGTGTTTTTCATGATTATGACTGGCAGGCAGCCACTGATATGTGGTCCATATTCAGTTTTCACCAAATTATCCAAAAATACGTTCTAGGGCTGAATTTCTCTCCCAATCCAGGATATATGTTGCCTTTGGTCATCCTCTTATACCTCCTCCCATGTGAGAGTCCCTTCCAAACCCTACTCTTCTTTTTGGTCTTTCTTTACATTGGTATTTTGAGGATTTCAAGCTATTTCTATTGGAAAATGCCCCCAATTGTGTTTGTCCGATTCCATTTGGGTCAAAATATTACTACAGAGGTGCCACGTCTCCCTTGCATCACCAGCAGGAGGCACAGACTGTGAGTTGTTCCACTACCGAGTCTGTCTGAGTCTGTGGCTAAAGCAGGAGCCACCAGGTCTCTGTCCAGGTCCCTTCCCCCTTTACAATGACCAAGTGATCCCTGGGCTGACACCTTGAGGTGGAATATCTTGTTCCTCCCCTCCCAGGGGTGCAGCTTCAGTTTCCCTGGGCTGACACCTTGAGGCGGAATATTTTGTTCCTCTCCCCCAGGGGTGCAGCTTCAGTTGATGATCCTTGACTGAACCAATTAAAATATCACGTTTTTGGTTGCGGGATAGAGATTTTCCAGTTCCCTCATCCTCTCTGTTTACTGGTTGGCATTTTTTATAAAGAAGAGCTTCTCCCCCACTGCCTTTCTGGAGTATCGTCGTGGACCCATGTTTAAAAATTAAATGTGTCACATAAACTGCCACCAACACTATTCTTTTAGATGCTTCAATTGTTCCAGATTTGGCCAGTGGGAGGCCTGGAGCCGCTCCTGTTTCTGTCTGCGGCATCTGCCCTGGTCCCTGGTAGCTCTGTGCTTTCTTTCTGGCACAGCAGGATGCTCCAGGGCCATTCCCTACTTCTCAACCAGATCTGGAATGAGCCATTTCTCCAAGGAGCCCTGATTCTTTTAAGGGAAGCCACCTTTTATTTTGCTTGATTGTTTTAAACTTTTTAGTAAGCTTTTTTGAAATAATTGTGTATTCACATGGAGTTTAAAGAAATAATACGGCCGGGCGCGGTGGCTCACGCCTGTAATCCCAGCACTTTGGGAGGCCAAGGCGGGTGGATCATGAGGTCAGGAGATCGAGACCATCCTGGCTAACACGGTGAAACCCCGTCTCTAATAAAAATACAAAAATTAGCTGGGCACGGTGGCGGACACCTGTAATCCCAGCTTACTCGGGAGGCTGAGGCAGGAGAATTGCTTGAACCCGGGAGGCGGAGGTTGCAGTGAGACGAGACTGCACCACTACACTCCAGCCTGGGTGACAGAGCGAGACTCTGTCACAAACAAAACAAAACAAACAAAAAAGAAAAAGAAATAATACAGAGAGATCTCATGTACCCCTTACCTGGTTTCCCCTCAAAGGCAGTATCTTGAAAAACTGTAGTATGTTATCACCATAGGATATGGATACAACCCACCTGGCTTGTCCACATTTCCGATTTTCCTTGTGGTCATTTGTATTTATGTGTCCATGGAATTGGTTCAATGCAATTTGGTCACATGTACGTTCCTGTATCTAGCACCAGTCAAGGGTCTCTCTTGTTGCCTTTCTAAAACCTCACCCACCCTCTCCATCCCTAACCCTGGACAACCACTAACCTGTTCTCTAGCTCCGTAATTCTGTAATATCAACAGTGATACATAAATGGAATCCTACAGCACGTAATCTTTTGGGACAGGCTTTTTTTCACTCAATGTAATTCCCTGTAGATTCGCCTAAGTTGTTGTTGTGTATTAAGAATTCATTCCTTTTCACTGCCAAGTAGTTTTCCACAGTGTGGATGGTCTACAGCTTGTTTACTTTTTCACCCACTGAAGGGCATCTGGGTTGTTTCTGGTTTTGGGCTCTTACGAACAACGCCACTAAGAACATTCACATACAGGTTTTTGTGTAAACCTAAGTTTTATTATTTACTTATTTATGCAGAGCCTTGCTCTGTTGCCCAGGCTGGAGTTCAGTGGCATGATCCCAGCTTACTGTAACCTCTGCCTCCCAGGCTCAAGCCATCCTCCTGCCTCAGTCTCCTGAGTAGCTGGGACTAAGGTGCACGCCACCACACTCGGCTAATTTTTGTATTTTTTTGTAGAGACGGAATCTTGCTATGTTGCCCAGGCAGGTCTTGAACTCTCGTGGCTCAAGCTATCTGCCTGCCTCAGCCTCCCAAAGTGCTGGGATTACAGGAGTGAGCCACCGCGCCCGGCCTAGGTTTTTCTTTCTCTAGGATAAGTGCCTAATAGTGCACCTGCTGGGTCATAAGGAAGGTGCACGTTTAGTTTTATAAGAAACTGTAAAACTGTTTTCCAGAGCAGAGGCAACTAAATGTTAAAAACAGTATTTGATAAAACCAAATTCCATTATGAAAAAGGAACAGTTGAGACCCTCAGGATTTAGAGGAACTTGAAATACCCTGTGTCAGAGGGCAGGGCCCCAGGCGACCTGGACTAGCAGCGACCTCCGTCTTCACCCCTCCAAAGTTGCTGCACAGAGAGACAGGCATAGATGACTCAAATCTGTTTTTGGAAGTACACTGGACATAAAAATGCGTGCAGATATGCAAACACGCATGCACGTGTGTAGAAAACACGTGGCCAAGGACAGGGCATGCAGGCAGCGGATTGATGTGTTCAGAAATGTGCTTACCAGGAACGATTACGGCCGGTGCGGTGGCACACGCCTGTCAACCCAGCACTTCGGGAGGCCGAGGTGGGCAGATCACCTGAGGTCAGGAGGTCGACACCAGCCTGGCCAACATGGTGAAACCTCATCCCTACTAAAAATGCAAAATTAGCCGGGTATGGTGGCGCATGCCTGTAATCCCAGCTACTCAGGAGGCTGAGGCATGAGAATCGCTTGAACCTGGGAGGCGGGGGTTGCAGTGAGCCAAGATCGTGCCACTGCACTCCAGGCTGGGCAACAAGAACCAAACTCTGTCTCAAAAAAACAAAACAAAACAAAAAACAAAACAAACACAACCACCACCAACAAAAGAAAAACAAGGAAGGATTATGTTTGCAAGCTGGGCCGTATAACCAGGAAGACCCCCTCCCTGCTAGCTTTCAATATCCAAAAGTGATGAAAATAACACAAAAATCCGAACAACTGGAAACACGCTGCAGGAGGAAGGCCTCCCTCCGACCCCCGCCTCTCACTCGCTTGGCAAAGCCCGTTTGCTTTTCCATGCCTCTGTTCCCTCCCTTCACAGTCTCTTTGGGGCACATTTGGAAATTATTTAAAAAGATAAAATGCCTCTAATCTGTTACCAATTAGAAGAAACATGTGAATATTATTTTCTAATTTGTGACTCTTGAGTGTGCGTCTCAAAAACCAGAGAGAAGTAATTGAAATAATTATGTCTGCTTCTGAATATTTCTATCATGCTCTTGAAATAAGAGGGTGGCTATGTCCTCTTTGCATGGTACGCCTGAGGGTTGAATATATCAGTAGGAACATCAAAGTCCTGGGTGCGAACGACCACAAAACTGCCATTTCTACCCAGCCCATCCCCAGCCTGTGCAGCTGGAGCCCACAATGGTGACAGAGGGGTGAGGACACGGCCGGTCTCTGTGAAGGGCTCAGGCGCGCAGGGCAAGGTGAGGAGAGCAGTGGGTTTCCTGGTAAACACGTGCTCCTCCCTGCAACTCCACTCACCTCAAAACTTCTGTATCCGATGGATTCATTTGCAGCCAGGGAGCTGCTGTACAGGCATAAGGTTGATTTATAATAGGAGCAGTGTGAGTTTTTTTTTTTCCAACCTAGTTATAAGTACGACTTGAGTGACTAACTCCTGAAAATTGGTCATTTCTTGGTGGTTAACAGTAGAAAGTCCACCAATGAGAAATGAGGCATGCTAATAAATTTATAGGGCGTTACATGCCAATTAGACCTCGTCAGCCATTCAAGAGGCAGGGATGCCAGTCAGGTTATCATTCCACAAATGCACTCTTTATTGCCTGCACTCTCACAGTTCAATCCCCCATTTGGATGTCTGAAAAGCAGCATATTAATGCTGACTGTACAGGAATCAGAAATTTGCAGAGGGCCTTTCTGGTTAAACAACCTCCCTTTTCTTCTGTGCAAACTCTTCTTTGTTCTCCAGTGCCAAAGAAGGACTTCGGGGTGAGCATGAACTCTATATGGAACCAGATTCGTTCCAGACTTTGGGTCTCATCAACGGCAACAGGCGCAGGCCATCAGGCCACCTCCCAGTTGCTACGCTCACTCTCTTCTGCCAGTACCCGGCAGCCTAGTAGGCGCTTTATCTCCAGCATGCAGTTCATTTGCAAGGACCTCAGCTTGACCTGGGATGGCATCTTTGCAACTGGGAGACTGAGAGGCACAGAGACACATGTGTCCTTTACGGAAGAGCAAGGAATATGTAGCAATGCCCAGGGAAACTGTGTGTCAGTTTGCTCTTTGTGTTAAAGCAATTGACTAGACTGACTTTAACTTTTTATTTTTTCTTGGGGAAATAAAAATCACACAACTGTATGTGCTTTGAAAAGACCTCATCCATGCAGAAATGTACAAACTGGACTTGGACGCTGCCACCCACGTGAGCGGTCTGACTTGGACCCTTTCCTTTTGGATATTCTCTGCCGCAACTGTGGCATCCCACTTTTTCTACTCCTTCACGTGATGGACGGTGGTGATGTACCTTCTACCTTCTGTACTTTGAAACATATTATACAAACCAGTTCTTTCTCTTTTGGTAGAAGTGAGTTCTTTGA
The DNA here is from genome assembly GCF_000001405.40 of Homo sapiens. Lineage (NCBI taxonomy): Eukaryota > Metazoa > Chordata > Mammalia > Primates > Hominidae > Homo > Homo sapiens. The sequence continues at coordinate 236,088,963 of NC_000002.12, read as the reverse complement.
ATTTGATTTCAGCCCCGTGTGTCTTTATGACGATCACCATCATGATCGAATGCCCTGTTAAGCAACTATTCTTTCAAGAAATACCAACTGAGCACTCGTGAGGAATGAGGTATTGCAGTGCACCGTGATAGGTTCTGGAACACAGTGAATAGAAGCAGAAGGATACATAGATTCGTGACAATGGGGACAGGGCTACAATTGTGGCATAAACTGCTGCAATTCACAGAAATCAAACAAAAGAGAATCTATGGTTTTACTATGTAGACCGCTCTGGACTTAGTTTACAAAAATTAAAGTGTAGTTAAACCCAGATAAATAATTAACACTACTTCCTGAAGCTTAAGAATACAAAATGCATCAGTAAACATGAAAGCATCTATGAATCTGCCTGGAGCCTGTGAGTCACTGAACCAACATTTAAGTTCACAGAGGCATCTTCTTCATGTAATAGCTATCACCCACTAGCTATCACCCAATAGCCCAACAGTAAGGATGACTCTGGAAATGCCAGCCAATTCACATGCCCACTGCCAAGTGTCTTACCCTCCAAGATGGTCATTACAGAGTGTGACAACCCAGGACCCAAACTCCAGATGCTTAATGGGTCTTTGCCCTTTCCAGCAGAGCTGGAGCTATCTGGCTGTTTCTTCAGTGTGCATTAAACCCTTTCAAAGCATTGTAGGAGAAAACTTGCCTTTTGCCAATTCCAAAATGAAAACAGCGCTGGCCTCTCTCAGTAAGGTGAAGGAAGGATTCCACTGTCTGAGGACACTCAGACACATGATAAGGCTGGGGACCCAGAGACGGGGATGTGCCTAGGTGTCCTGGAGCCCAGCTGGGTAAGGTTCACAATGAAAGGCACATTGGTGAAGGTCCCCACTTTTCTGGAAATAACCATCGTGGAGACTGAGGGTCTTTCTTGCTCAGGAGGGAGTCCTGCCAGATAGCCATCAACAAACTGAATAACCTGGACCCCGGGGCCAAGGATACCAAGCAGGTCTCTCGTCCTCCCTGTCCCTCCCCTGGCTGTGCCAGATGCTGATGTTCAAGGTCTTTACACATCTTTAAGCAGGTCCCAACCAGAGAGGACCTGCTGTAACGTCTCCTCCTGGCAAAGACCTCTGGTCTATTCCTCCCCATAGCCCATTCAAAAGCCTTGTGATATTAAATAATCAATCTAGTTTAATGGACGCCAACTTCTTATTTGGTGCTTCATGGACAAAGAAAATGGGTATGTCCCCGGTTGTCACTTAACCAATAAGGCCACTTACATGGCTTATGAGACTATTCACGGCACCACATGGAAACAGAGAAAAGCTTTAAAACACCAGGTGATCATGTTATCACGCTTAACCAAGGGGCCTGATTCAGAACATCAAACTAGTCAGAGGTGGGCATGAGCCGTCCAAGTAGCCCGTCATGGGCAGTGTGCACCACAGTCCTACACCGCATTTGCCATTTCAGCCGGGACTGTGGGGCGGGCACAGGCTCTCTCGGGAAGATGGTGTGGTAGAGCCATGAGAAGTGGCTAGGTCATAATATAAAAGGTAAATGATCCTGCAAGACGAGGTTGTCTGTCCTTGGAGCAGGGCTGTCGGGGACCTGGACTCTTTCAATGAACACCCACAGCTAGCCCCCGCTCCCGCCCCCACCCCGGGCTCTGGCTTCCTCTCATTCCCACCTCGACCCCTAAATAACACTGGAATGCCCTGTCCCCTGATGGGCTCCATAATGAGAAGGCCTGTCAATCACAGCTCCATTAGCCTGGACAGACTTTCACTTCCTGAAACAATTTATTGGATTCCCAGAAGCAAATGGGCCTTCTTCCTTTTCAGCTCTGTTTTTAGGGAGCTATTCAGAGGGAGTGTGTGTCCCTTCTGCTCCTGCTGCGAGGCCTTTGTTTCCTTCATTTACTCATGAAAACAGTTTCCTGAGTTTACCTACCTCCTCTGTCCTGGGTTTCCCGAGTGTTTGCCAAAACTTTTTTCCCCCACTGTTCAGTAGCCACACAAAACCCACCAGCTGCTTCCAGCTACTCAACCAGGGAGGGAGCGGGGAATTTTATTTGCAGATTTTTGGAGGGAGGGAGGTAGGGCAGGGGGGTGGGGGAGGGGAGAGGCACATACTTGAAGAAATTAAATTTATGCAAAGAAAGAAAGAAATAAGGCCGATGAATAAGTGCTGGCCAGTGCCCTCCTGTGTATCTCTGGGGTCCATGACTTCGTTCCCTTTCTATCTCATTCCTGACCAAGAATTTAAGCGGCTCTATTAAAAATGGCTAAAGACGCCCAGCTAAAATTTTATCCTAAGAATGTTGAAAATTTTTTGGAATGTATCCACAACACTTATCAGCTCTATGCTGAGTGACGGTTAGTTTTGTTTGGATGAGACTTCCAGCTATTTAAAAGAGAAACTATGTTACCTGCAATCAAATTGCTGTCCAAAGACTTTAAATGGGCAGTATTTCTTTTAGTTTCTGAATAGAAAAAGAGGAAAAAGAGGATTTAAAATTACATAAAATAATATTTTCCTTGTACTGCTCTTCTTAAAGAACAATATACACTGTGCAACTACACTTGAGCAGTAAGGTGATCTTCCTTTAGCATAAATCAGTTTAACTTTTAACCTGGGAAAACAGACTGAAGAAGACAGAGAGTTATGTCTCGCCTTCTGAGAATTTCAAGTCAATAGTAAATTGGGGGGCACGTTAGTACCACTGAGATCCAATCAGGATAAAATTACGCAGTCATGTAAGAAATAATATCTATTAGGCTAATTTAATCACCGAATACTTTACAGATGAATTAGAATTTAGAATCCAATTATTTCTTACATTCGGACTGTCAGAGCTGGTATCTCTAAGCAGGAGGAGGGGGGAAAAGGGCAGTAGGAAAAGGAAGATTAGGGCAAAAAGGAAGATCAGGGCAGCTTTAAAAATGCAGTCAATGGAACAGATCCTGTCCCGCTCCCAGGCTGTGATAACAGCAGAGAAATGACGAGTGTGGTCAGCGTTGCTGCCATCAGCCCAGCCTGGCAGCCAGATGAACCCACGGCCTGGACGCTGGAATTTGCTATCACTGATGGACAGCCATTGTCCCCTCCAGGAGTCCTGCTCCTTGTGTGGGGCTTGCCTTCACAAAGGAAGCCGGCTGGGCCACATCCTGAGGCGGCCCATGGAGCCAGGCAGCTCCTTGGCCTGGAAAACCACATGATGCCCCTGGGGGCCACCACATGGTCCCTGGTCATGCCCTGGGCAATGGGACTCAGCCTAACCCTCTTCCAGCCCCCAGTCCTCTTTAGGCCTGCATTTCTTTTTATGAACGGTAAAGGCTGTCTGGAGATGGGGAGGAGAGAAATGAGAAAAAAGAAGGAGCCCTGAGCATGCTGGGCCTCTGGGATCCATGGGCTGGTCCTACCAGCTGGAACAGTGTTTGTTGCTCTTTGTGTGGGGAAACTGGGGACAAATGGAAACTCAGGCTGGGAAGTGAGGTTGGTACTAGAGATGCATTAGAGATTTGATCATCTGAGCAAGAACAAAACTAGCCTTAGAGAGTGCTCCCCTCCCAAACAGATCCTCCAGGCGGCTGGGGAGAGCTGCAGCAACAAAGGACGCTTCTGATTTGCACCCTAGTGCTCCAGAAAGAATCTAACACTGCCCCCCTACCACCCCTTCTCTATTTGTCCTGGCCAGTTCAGGCAGTCACAGAATTGGGTAAATAAAAATTTTTTTTTTTTTTTTTTTTTTTTTGAGACGGAGTCTCGTTCTGTCGCCCAGGCTGGAGTGCAGTGGCACAATCTTGGCTCACTGCGACCTCCGCCTCCCGGGTTCACGTGATTCTCCTGCCTCAGCCTCCTGAGTAGCTGGGATTACAGGCGCACACCACCACACCCGGCTAATTTTTTGTGTATTTTTAGTAGAGACAGGGTTTCACTATGTTGGCCAGGCTGGTCTTGAACTCCTGAGCTTGTGATCCATCCACCTTGGCCTCCCAAAGTGCTGGGATTACAGGCGTGAGCCACCGTGCCCGGCCTAAAAAATCTTATTTTATTTTATTTTTTTGAGATGGAGTCTCGCTCTTTTGCCCAGATTACAGTGCAATGGCATGATCTTGGCTCAACGCAACCTCTGCCTCCCGGGTTCAAGTGATTCTCCCACCTCAGCCTCCCGAATAGCTGGGACTACAGGCGCCCACCACCATGCCTGGCTAATTTTTTGTATTATTAGCAGAGACGTGGTTTCACCATGTTGGCCAGGCTGGTTTTGAACTCCTGACCTCAAATGATCTGCCTGCTTCAGCCTCCCAAAGTCCTGGGATTACAGGCATGAGCTACCGTGCCCGGCAAAAATTCTTAAAATTGATATTTGAGTTGTGAATAGAATGACAGATTTGTTTCAAGGTTTCAATGATTTATATCCAAACAGAGGTTTTCCTGAAAGAAAATGTCTGAAAATTAATTTTTTGTTTGCATCCTGCATTTTCTTTAAGAACTAGAAATACACAGAAGCCCCTTGCATTATGGCTATTTAAAAATGCTCAACAATCTCCCACACTTCCAAAAGTAGAGTACGAATGTCAGGGAAAAACCACTACTTATCATTCGTTCCAGAATGATCCTTACAGCATGAAATGAATGAATGTACTGTGCATTTAAATGTTAATATGCTGGCAGGTCACGGGGCTGGCCGTCAAGACTGAATACACTTGTTTAAGTTTAAGGTGGCCGCAGAGACCCCCCCCCGCCCTTCAGGAAGGCACAACTAAAGCGAACCATCATTACAGCTGTTCCCCACCGGGGCCTCCCAGCCCCACTCCAAGACAGGAGGGAACTTTGGTGTTTACAGGCTGTAGGGGTTTTATGACAGGGGTGCTTCCTGCCTTCCTGCCCGGCTGAACAGAGAGCGCCAATCCTCCAGACTTTGTGAGTCTTCCTCCTGCACCTTTTCTTCCACCTGCCACACAATGAGTCCTTATTATTCCTTTAATTACTGAGCTGGATCCCTCTGTTCCTTCTCATCTAGAACCTTGGTGTGTGCATATGTGTGCCTGTGTGTGTATGTGTGCACGTGTGTGTGCATACACACGCACATGCCCATTTATCTCGGATTCATTTAATTGAGGGCAGAGCATCGAATGGGATCTCAGAAGAGGCACTCCTTGCTCTGCGATGGTTTATTGTGGCTCCTAAAACACCTGTTCATCCATTTATCCTTCTGTAAAAAAACAGACTTAATGTGCAGTATTTTTAAGGTATTAAAAAAAAATCTTCCTATATATTAAGTAAAACAAAAAAGCCCACATTATTATAAGACAATAAACTATTTAAGAATGATCATAAGAAAGCCTCCCAAATTTGGGGTACTTCTCTTTCTAATGTAGGCATGGGTGTGAGCATGCACACATTTATACGGAATTCCAGTGACAATGTCTTAGTTAAGCTGGTAACTGCTGGAAAATAAACAGGCTCTTCAAAATAATAGAAGAATCAGTTGCAGCATTTAGGCACCAACTTTGATGGGCTTATACCAAAAATGTCTCTTCCTTATAATAAAATGAAAACAATCCTTTAATCTTTCCTTTAGAGAAAATATCAGCCTCCAAAGCCACAATGTCAACGTAAAGAGCCCGTGAGGAGGACGACGCTTCCTTGCAACAAACCGAGCTCATCACATGACATCTGCATTATTAGGCACACACTGACCTGAAAAACCTGAGACCGAAGCCTCGGCGACTGACAACAGCCCTTTCTTTGGCAAGTTCATGAGCCAGTCTAAATGGAAGGCGAGGCCTCTTTTCTTTTTCTTTTTTTTTGAGATGGAATTTCGCTCGTTGCCTAGGCTGGAGTGCAATGGCGTGATCTCGGCTCACTGCAACCTATGCCTCCCAGGTTCAAGTGATTCTCCTGCCTCAGCCTCCTAAGTAGCTGGGATTACAGGCGTGCACCACCACGCCTGCCTAATTTTGTATTTTTAGTAGAGACAGGGTTTCTCCATGTTGGTCAGGCTGGTCTTGAATTCCTGACCTCAGGTGATCCGGCCACCTCGGCCTCCCAGAGTGCTGGGATTACAGGCGTGAGCCATTGTGCCCGGCTGATGGAGTTTTGCTCTTGTCCTCCAGGCTGGAGTGCAATGGGTGCAATCTCGGCTCACTGCAACCTCCACCTCCAGGTTTCAAGCAATTCTCCTGCCTCAGCCTCCCAAGTAGCTGGGATCATAGGTGCCTGCCACCGCGCCAGGCTAATTTTTGTATTTTTAGTAGAGACAGGGTTTCGCCATGTTGGCCAGGCTGGTCTCAAACTCCTGGCCTCAGGTGATCCACCCGTCTTGGCCTCCCAAAGTGTTGGGATTACAGGCGTGAGCCGTTGCACCTGGCCCTCTTTTCTTTAACTAGGTGAATTTTGTAAACCAATCACCACTGCAGGTGAGCTGTTTGCCCCTGATAGGCCTTTTGGGAACCATCTTCCTTTCTGGAGGGGATCGATGCTTAGGAAAAGCTCTCCCTCCCTGAGAGATCAAATGGGCAGCGGCCCCGTAGCAGGACCTGGTGGGTGAGCTCCCACCACATGCCTAATTAATGACCCTGCTGGTCGCAGCTGGAAGAGCTGAGCTGGGGGTGATTAATTAAATTAGCTGGCAGAGGAAATTACAGTGGAAAAGCCAAGGTTTGATTGCTCCATAATTAACCGCAGTGCAAATAATATCTGCATCTATAACTTCCAGCGATGAGATCAGAAGCCAATTGAATTTGGCACTGATTGAAGCTGTAAATATCCCGTGGTGAAAAATGATAGGTTTGTTCTAGAGGGAAAACTTACAGAAATGGACATCTAGCAAATGTGATCGGGGGAAAGAAAAGGGCACCAGAGGAAACGGCAGGAAGGAAGCCTTACCTTTCATGCTGCCTTTTTCCAACATTAAAACAACTCTTTTTTCACATTCCTTTTGGATTAGTGACTAGGCGTGCTATATTTCCTGTCTCTAAATTTCAGGTTTGACTTCCCATGCATGGAACCTATGTTAGGGTTCCATCCCCCTTTCTCGTTCCAGGGATTAAAACCCAATTCTAAAATAATTTCATAGGCTAATAGGAGGGGACCGCTTTCATCCCCCTGAGAAGAAAAATGTTCTATTTAGACCATCAAATGCATGAGCTATTGCAGCTTTTCTGGATAATGACATTTTTTCTTCTTTGTAACAATTTTCATGTTCAAAATATGGTTTCATTAGCAATAGGATTCTACTTAAAAGAAAAAAAGTATTTTATACAGATAATTGCCCTGCAAAAAAAAAAAAAAAACCCACAGAACTTTCAGCAGACTGGAAACATTACTTTTTCAACCATCCACATATTTTCACTGTAAGTTGTTTTAAGGAAGGAGTCATGTGTCTCTACTGGAAAAGCTTTGAAAAGTAATGACTTGGTGGCTTTGGACCACGAGGCGTGACTTCTGTCTGCAAGTGGTCAGAAAGGATTTACCCCTATCTTGATACACAGACTCTCAGTCGGGTGGAGGACACACTGCAGCTACTAACATGTGACACACAAAGTGTCCGTCCAAATGCAGCGCGGTTCAGACACGCACCCCGGCCATTTTCTCCACTGAGCTTCCATACAACCTGGGGGGTCAGTATGGCAAGTGTAGTTACTCTCTTTTTATTTTTAAAGAAGAAAGTTGAGGTTCTAGGTGGTCAGTGTTGTGGCAGGACAGGACCCCGGCCTCCTGCCCACTGTCCTTACTCTAGCCAGGACCCTCCCTTCCCGATTCGATGTGGTTTTCCTTCCAACAGACAACTCTGTCTGCACCCTACGCTGAGATGTACCCACAGGCACCACCTGTCTGGATGGAAAGAAATAGGCAGGGCTGTGACTGTCATGGGGGTTTGATGACATGGGCCACAGTATCTACAGAGGTCAGAATAATGTGGTAGAAGGGAAATGGCTCCCAAAGATGTCAACGTCCTAATCCCCAGGACCTGTGACTATGTGACCTTACATGGCAACCTAACTGCAGATACGGTTAAGACAAGGCCCTTGAGAGGGGAGAGTATCTTGGATTATCCAGGTGGGCCCAATATACAAGGGTCCTTATAAGAGGGTCATATAAATAGGAGAATCAGAGTCAGAAGATGTGAGGACAGAAACAGGTCAGAGGGGATGCAAGGCCACCAAGATGAGTAGCAGCTTCTAGAAGCTGGAACAGACAGGGGCATGGACTCTCTCACAGCCTCTAGAAGGAATGAAACCATGCAGACCCAGCTTGGACTTCTGACCTCCAGAACTGTAATGGAATACTTCCGTGTTACTTTAAACCACTAAGTGGGTGGTAATTTGTTACAGCAGCAATGGGAATCTTATACCTACCCTATTAGGAAGAGAAGGATTGAGAGGCTAAAAGCTGGATGGATGAAACGTGTACAAGATACAGCAGGTGGCTGCCCTTGGTGGCATCCATTGAGCTTGATGTCTAGTGTGATCTGTCCCTCTTGGCCATAGAGTCTCCGTAACAACTCTTCCCTTGGCCTGGGAATTCCACAGGCCTCTAAACTTGTCTGGTTGCAAACTGACGTCCTTATTTCCTCCTAGCTGTCCCTCCTAGACTGAGATGGAGGTTTCTGGACTCACAGAATCTAGACCAGAGACTTGGTGGAGGAGGCAGTCTGATCTTTGCCGGGTAACAATTCTTCTCTCTCCTTTCCCTGTGTCTTTCCAGCAGAGGCTCTGCCTGCCTTTTTTCCCAACTATCTTTCCAAGAACATGCACAGGAAACAGCCTTGGATGATGGAGATAGCATCTCCCTCCAGAGCACAGGGCAAATGTGCTTTGTGCCCACTGTAGAAGATTTGGTTCCTAAGCTTAGGGTTCCTCTCCTGCAATGCAGCCCTTGATGTGTGCGGATGCCATGGGGCCCTGACTACATCACAGCTATGGGCACTGGGACCTGGGAAATGACCCAAATGCTAATACTCTGGCTACTGCTATTGCTGTGAATAACGGATTTTTCTTTGTCTCTGACCCTGAAGTCTCATATCTTAGACCAGCTCCGTGAAACTGGAAGGCCAACTTGCCAGGTAAGTAAAATCTCAAACTCAACACAAGTTCTCATTCCCTGGTAACCAGTGCCTTGAGTGTTAGTCTTCAGCAACAGTGGAATACATGTTAGCATATTGGGGGGTCCTCTTTTATACCTTTGCATGGGGGTTCCCTCCGTCTGTACCACCCCCTTCCCTGTCCCACCAACTGCCTGTCAGGGCCACTCAGTCTCAGGTTTTTTTCTCTGAGGCTTGCCTTGACCCTGCAACCCACTTCCTCCTGTCTGCCTACCCCTGCTGCAGATTTTGCATGGATCACTATATATATATGTATGTATGTATATGTATATGTGTGTGTGTATGTATGTGTGTGTGTGTGTGTATATATATATAATTTTTTTTTTTTGAGACGAGGTCTCTGTCACCCAGGCTGGAATGCAGTGGCACGATCACAGCTCACTGCAGCCTTAAATTCCTGGGCTCAAGCGATCCTCCCAACTCAGCCTTCTGAGTAGCTGGGACCACAGGCACATGCCACCATGCCTGTTTTTTTTTTTTTTTTTTTAAATTTTCTTTTTTTGTAGAGACAGAGTCTCACTATGCTGCCTAGGCTGGTCTCGAACTCCTGGCCTCAAGAAACTCTCCCGCTTGGCCTCCCAAAGTGCTGGGATTACAGGTGTAAGCCACCGTGCCTGGCCAGCATGGGTCACAGTATCAAGCAATTTTTGGTGTCTCTCTCTCCTTCATGCTGTGAGTTTCCTGAGGGCAGGTGTGGTGCTAGTACAGTGCCTGGCACATAGCAGGCAGAGGGGACTCTGTGGAACTCTCTGTCTAGATGCCAGGCCTGGTGTGGCATCGGAGCCCTAACCCACCAGGCAGGGGTGTAGATCAGGCTGTTTCAACCACCTCCTACACCCCAGCCCCGGCATCAGGTATCTTCCCCCATGAGGGATGAGGCTAAAGGGACGGGACTGGAACCTCACTGTTCAAGCCCACTGGGTCACTGTGTGAGGCTGGACCTTCTGCTGGAATGAAGAACAGAGCTGGAAGTGAGAAAGGAAAGGCAGTGGGTGTGGCCACCCACTTAACCACGTGGGATGGGGCCGCTGCAGGGGTAGGAGGGTGGGCAACCAACCTGGCAGAACGACCAGTCTGGCTCAAGCTTAGGAATCCTACAGGGAGAAGGGGCCAGAGGGTGGACTTGGGTCCCATGGTCCCATCTAGCACCCAGCCACAGGAGCCAGGTAGGGGACAGACGTGTGTGAAACCCATCTGGAGTCAAGAAATGCTAGCACGCTGCTCAGCAGGTGGTTCAGTGGTAATACTTATCTAGGGAGATTACGTTTTCAAAGGCAAAAGTGCCCAATAAAATGCACCCCACCCCTCTGGGAGAAGCAGCGTGCGGCTTTTGCTGGGAAGGAATTCTCCAGGCAATTAAAGTCATAGCAGGATGACTCATGATCAGTTTCACATGTCAACCTGGCCAGGCCACGGCGGCCAGTGATTTCATCACACACAACCTATGCATTGCTGTGAAGGCCTTTTGTAGATGTCACTTATAGTCCATGGACTCCAAACAAAGGCAATTATCCTTGAGAAAGCAGGTGGGCCTCATCCCATCAGGTGAGAGCCCAAAGAGCAAAAAACAGGTTTCGTGATGATGAAATCCTACATCAAGCATGCAGCATTAACTTCTGCCCGAGTTTCCAGAACGCCGGCCTGCACTACACACTTCAGATGTGACACACACACATACATATACACACACACACACACACACCCCCGGCTGGCCTGCCCTACACACTTCAGATTACACACATGCACACACACACCAGCTGGCCTGCCCTACACACTTCAGATTACACACACACACACACACACACACACACACACACACAAATTGGTTGTTTCTCTGGAGAACCCTGATGGATACAGCATGGCTGTGAGCAGAGCAAAGACCCAATTGAAGCAGAGCCCTATCGCTGTGAGGCTGGCAGTGACCCAGGGGAGACGCAAGGTGAGAAAGAACAGATGTACACAGAGGGCACCACCCTTCTGGAGAGCAGCACAGTGATGTTGGATCAATACCTGAAAAAGTCCACAGCCTTTGACCTCATTTGGCTCCTTCTAGAAACTCATCCTTAGAAATGAATTAATCATAAGCCCCATAAGCTGTATTCACAAATGTGCTCAACCCAGCGGTATTTCAATATTTCATTGCAAACCCATGTCCAAGGGGGATGACTATGTAATGACGGCTCAACCATGGACGGATTATTGTGACACCACTAAAAATAACGCTTTAAAAGACATACATGGCTGGGGGTGGTGGCTCATGCCTGTAATCCCAGCACTTTGGGAGGCCAAGGTGGGTGGATCACCTGAGGTTAGGAATTTGAGACAAGCCTGACCAATATGATGAAACCCCGTCTCTACTAAAAATACAAAAATTAGCTGGCCGTGGTGGCACGCACCTGTAATCCCAGCTACTCGGGAGGCTGAGGCAGGACAATCACTTGAACATGGGAGGCGGAGGTTGCAGTGAGCTGAGATCGCGCCACTGCACTCCAGCCTGGGCAACAGAGCGAAACTGTCTCAAAAAAAAAAAAAAAGAGACATACATAAGGACATGAGAAGATGTTCATGATATAGTTTTAGCCCAAAAAAGGCTCTTAAATTCTTTAAAGCACTGTTTCTTTTCACAAATGTTGCAGAGGAAGACTACATGTAATATGTCAAACATTAACTGATTATCTCTCGGGGGTTGGAATATGAATATATATATATATATATTTTTTTTTTTTTTTTTCTACTCTTTTTTTCTTTGAGACAGGGTCTCACTATGTTGCCCAGGCTGGAGTGCAGGGGCACAATCATAGCTTACTGCAACCTCCTCCTCCCAGACTCAAGCGATCCTCCCGCCTCAGCCTCTGGAGTAGCTGGGACACAGACATGCACCACCATGCCTGGCTTTTTTTTTTTGGGTATTTTCTGTAGTGACAGGGTTTTGCCATGTTGCCCTGGCTGGTCTTGAACTCCTAGGCTCAAGCAATCTGCCCACCTTGGCCTCCCAAAGTGCTGGGATTACAGGCATGAGACCCTGTGCTGGGACTATTTTTCTACTCTGTAGGATACAGTCACTTCCCAAAATGTAGCCCTGGCTCACTGGAGGCATTTCTCTAGGAAGTGGTCTGTTGCCAGGTATGCTCATAGCGCTGGGGCTTCCCTCTTTAGTGGTTTGGGAAATTATTAAGTGCCACAAAGAAGCCTCTGTAATTTTGTTTAATCCAGTTCTCAAACACAACTCATTTTCCAGAAACATCTATCATCATTCTCTGAGATTAAAATTTCTAGGAGTATACTGTGGAAATCATGGCTTTCCCAGATTCCACGGTGTCCTGGGTCACACACTGAGAAGGTCAGGACAGCTTGTTATGGGCCATGTGCAAAGCCGTCAGGAAGTGAACATTCTCAAGACTTTATTTTTTTTTGAGATGGAGTCTCACTCTGTCACCCAGGCTGGAGTACAATGGTGTGGTCTCGACTCACTGTAACCTCTGCCTCCAGGGTTCAAGCAATTCTGCCTCAGCCTCCCAAGTAGCTGGGATTATGGGCTCATGCCACCATGCCTGGCTAATTTTTGTATTTGTAGTAGATGGGGGTTCACCATGTTGGCCAGGCTGGTCTCGAACTCCTGACCTCAAGTGATCCACCCACTTTGGCCTCTCAAAGTGCTGGGATTACAGGCATGAGCCACGGCGCCCCGCCTCAAGACTTTAAAAAACTCCACAATATTCTCTTGTGAAACCAATCTGACTTTCAATTCCTAGATCTGATTGAGGGGTGTCTCTGAAGGAGGACTGTTATGACAGCACGGGTCTTGGGCCTTGGTGAGGAGCAGAGCTGCCCCCAGACCCCTGGTCCATGTGAGGGGGCGGCACCGCCTCCGCCTGGGTGACCCACGCTGCCCCGGCCTCCTCTGCAGCATGGCCCCTGCTCTCACTCCCTGCGGAGGTTTGCTCTAATGGAACTTCTGCTGCTTCCTCTGAATGTTTGTCTGCCTTCTCCAAATAAATTTCAGATTGAGTCACCTATTTGGCCACAGATTCCAAAGCTAGAATCAATGGCGGCATCTTGATGACACTGGGCAGCAATCAGCTCTCACTGCTGTTTGTCAAAGGCTCCTCTTGAGACCTCTGTCAGGGACGCAGAAAGGCCTGTGAGGTTTGGGAAGAGCTTGAAGGGGCTATAAGCTCCTCAAAGCAGCGGAGGAGAAAGCAGCTCCTCAAAGCTCCTGGGGGGCTTCCCCTGGAGGCCACTGAGGGGCATGTCGGCTATTTCCAGTGCTGAAAGACCCTGGCAGGTCCCATATTTACCTGGAAGGCTTTGAAAACCAAGGAAAAAGATCTGGGCCCAGCTTCCTTGATCCTCACCCAAGGCCAGAACACAGTTCACTATTACGATGTCCAAGGGGGCAGCAGCGGGGACCCTTTGCGGCTTCATCCCCCATTCATCTGTCTTATGTTTTCCTTAGTTTTCTTAATAAACTGGGAGCCCTTGGGGGTGGGGATGGGCAGTACCAAGTCTTCTTTTTTCCCCAACAGCTGTATTAAGGTATAATTTACATATCATAAAATCTACCTGTTTTTAGGGATACACTTCAGTGATTTCTAGTAAAAAAAACCCAGCGCGCAACCATCACCAGAATCTGGTTTAGAACGTTTCTGCCACCCCTGAAAGATTCCTCATGCCCACCTGAAATTTTCCTTTCCACACCGACGCAACCGCTTCTCCTTCTATCTCTACAGACTGGCCTTTTCTGAGACGCCATGTAAACCGAATCAATCACTTATAGATCTTTTGTGTCTCGCTTTTTTCTTTTTGAGAGAAGGTCTGTCTCTATCGTCTAAGCTGGAGTGCAGTGGAGTGATCTTGGCTCACTGCAACCTCCACCTCTCGGGCTCAAACCACCCTTCCACCTCAGCCTCCTGAGTAGCTAGGACTACACGCGTGCAACCATGCCTGGCTAATTTCTGTATTTTTTGTAGAGATGGGGTTTTGCCATGCGGTCCAGGCTGGTCTTGAACTCATGAGCTCAACTGATGCGCATGCTTCAGCCTCTCAAATTGCTGGAATTACAGGCATGAGCCACCATGCCCAGCCTGGTTTCTTTCACTGAGAACTCAACCTTTATGTTAATTCTATAGACTTTTAAGTAAAAGAAAACAGGAAATGGAAATAAAAACCAAATCTGAGTGTGCTTTGCACTGAAGAAATTTTTGGTCATTGTCTAATTCAATAAATGTTTCGTAACATTTTTACACATTTATTTTGGTTGAGTGTGGTTCAGAAATACCTACTGTATGTAGATGTTAGGTTTTATGGAGACTATTATCTCGTAAGAGCAAATGGACTCTTTCAATGTTTAGAATGAACTTGAAATTGCTGAGCTTAAGCTTGTAAAAATTAAGAACAGCCTGTGCCATGCCAGATAAAAACTGCTCATTAACTTCCCAGAGTGCAGAGTGTGCACAGAACACCCAGTATCTTTATATGCTGATCCAAAGTCGTCCCAAAGAAATGGCTAAAGCTTTTACAGTTGATTCTATGGGGAGGGAGTGGAGAGAATCACACACTTCCCAAGCTAGCAGGGGCTCCCCGGGGGTCTTCTTGTTTAGCCTCTCCCTTGCAGAGGGTACTGATGTTAGGAGAAGTCACTTATGCTGACTTGTGGCCCAAATGGTCCAGGAAGGCAAGGTTTCTCACTAGGGCCCCTACCGCGTCAAGCTGCTCCTCAGAGTCAGCTGGTATGCAATGGAGAAACCTCTCATGCAAACTGTCACTGGATCTCTACAGCTAGCAGGGGCTCCCCAGCCCCCCACCACGCTGGGACAATCCAGGATGTCTCCAGGCATTTCCAAATGTCCCCAGGGGGCAGATCAGCCCCAGGTGAGAACCTGTGCTCCTGGAGGAGACCTTGGCACCCAGAGGGTGGTTCTTGAGCTGGGATGTGCAGCGGAAATGCTTGGGGGGAGGGGCATGCCCAGGCCAACCAGCATAGTGTGATTCTGGGGGTCTGGTGGGGGGCTGCAGGTCTCCTGCAGATTCTAAAGTGTGTTGAGAAGGCCACGGGAGACGGTGGGGTAAAGCCATGTTTGCAGCCCATGTGAACAAGCTGACCTGCCTGTACCCCCACCACCAATGAAGTTACAAGTTACAAAAGGTTAAGTGGCATCTAAGCTCAAAGTTGCTGTGGTGGGCCCTGGAGTTAAGACCAGGTTACTTAATCGCCATTCTCAGGTTATGTTATAGGTATTTATAAATTATCTTCTATGTGAGCATCATTACAAGGTCCTTGTCAAAGCCTAACTTACAACAATTACTCCTGACTGGCGCAACACCAAGATGGTATAATCCAATATCTCCAGTCCCCAGCTGTTTTGCAAGCTGTTTTGCAGCATGTTTTGCAAGCTGATAGGGCAAATGTAACTCCTGTCCTGATAAGCTATCTAGACCCATGATTGCCAAACATGGGCCACATGTGGCCATCAGATGCTTGAAACGTGGCTAGTCCTAATGGAGATGTGCTGTGTGAAATAACCTACTGATGTGTCAAAGGCTCAGAATAAAAGAAGAATATAGGCCAGGCACGGTGGCTCACATCTGTAATCCCAGCACTTTGGGAGGCCGAGGCGGGTGGTTCACGAGGTCAGGAGTTCGAGACCAGCCTGGCCAATATGGAGAAACCCCGTCTCTACTAAAAAATACAAAAATTAGCCAGGCGTGGTGGCGTGCGCCTGTAATCCCAGCTACTCGGGGGACCAAGGCAGGAGAATCGCTCGAATCTGGGAGGCGGAAGTTGCAGTGAGCTGAGATTGCACCACTGCACTCCAGCCTGGAGACACAGCGAGACTGTCTAGGAAAAAAAAAAAAAGAATATAAATATCTCCTGAATGCTTTTTTACATTGCTTGCTATGCTGAATTGACATGTTACATACACTGGGTTAACTACATTATTAAAATTACTTCCATCAGGTTCTTTTGACTTTTTAACATGCAGCTACTAGAAAATTTAAAACAACACATATGGCTCCTGGTATAGTTCAGCTGGACAGCAGACAGTGGTATGGCAGGTAAGACATTAGAGGGGAAAATGTAAGAAAAGACTATTTTTGGGCTAGATGCAGTGCCTCACTCCTGTAATCCTAGCACTTTGGGAGGCCAAGGCGGCAGGATCACTTGAAGTCAGGAATTTGAGCCAACCTGGCTAACAAAGTGAGATCCTGTCTATACTCACCTACCTACATAAATAAATAAATTAAATTAAATTTAGCTGGGCATGGTAGCTCATACCTGTAGTCCTGACTACTCAGGCAGCTGAGGCAGGAGGAGCCCTTGAGCCCAGGAGTTTAAGGCTGCAGTGAGCCATGATCACACCACTGTACTCCACTCTGGGCAAGAGGGTGAGACCCTATCTCTTTTTTTTTTTTTGAGACAGAGTCTTGCTCTGTCGCCGGGCTGGAGTGCAGCGGTGCGATCTTGGCTCACTCACTGCAAGCTCTGCCTCCCGGGTTCAAGCGATTCTCCTGCCTCAGCCTCCAGAGTAGCTGGGACTACAGGCGCGCACCACCGCGCCCAGCTAATTTTTTGTATTTTTAGTAGAGATGGAGTTTCACCATGTTGGCCAAGATGGTCTCGATCTCTTGGCCTTGTGATCTGTCTGCCTTGGCCTCCCAAAGTCCTGGGATTATAGGCGTGAGCCACTGTGCCCGGTGACCTTATCTCTAAAAAAAAAAAAAAAAAAAAAAACCCACAACGAAGACTACTTTTGGAGAGAACAGACAGGAGAGACAAAAGCTTTTTTTGAGAATTGAAAAACCACAGGATATGTGAGTTTTTTTAAAAAAAGTTTAGTTCTCTCCTAGAGATGGGCCAGGGACACCATTTGAAGGAGAGTCATCCGGTGTCTTTGGACAATTTTAAGTTTACCACAACGGTGGATAATTCCAAGATCTGGATTGGTTTTTAAAACCAAGAAAAATTACGACTCTGTGTGCCAGCCGCAGGCAGCTGTGGTGCTCCAACCTGTCTGTCTCAGGAGGCTGCTGGGAGCTTCCAGAAGACCCTGAACAGGGGCTGAGCAGCAGCGAAACTCCCCAGCAACACTGGGGAGCACTCCTATGCTGCTGGCCATTTTTTTCCTTCTTCATTTCTGTTATTAAAACTCTCACTTTTAATTCAGCTCTTTCAGACAGATCAGCCCAAATGGCTTTCCTAGGCTGGTCCTGGCCAGTCCACCGCAGATCAGGCAGGTCTTCCTGCATCGCACTGCAGATTCACAAACACTGGCTGAACTGTTTACCGTGAGTCCCCTCTGCACACACAGCACACATAAGGGTCTGTAGATCGCATGGCCCCAGTGTGGTTCTGGGAGAGTGGCTGTTGAACAAATAAATGTTCCAGATTGTATGTATCCTTGGGGTCAGGCCCTGCCACCCCAAGCCAGGTCCTCACAGTCCCTTGGGTGGGCTCTGTTCTCTGTGCTAGAACCAATCCTTCCAGGAGTGGCTGGGACCACCGAGGTGCTCAGCAGGAAGCCATCTGCAGGCCAGGTGGGCTCAGACTTGGTCCATGACTGTCCCAGACAGTTCACAAACCCCTTTTATGGTCTCAAATAAAATCTGTTGGACACTTCAAAAATCCTGCATATTTAGCCTGAGTGCTTCTTTGATTTTCTAAAAAGGATTATTCGGGGCTAAGGCCACTGATGTCAAAGAAATGAACCAGCGCTGCCCTCCAAGCCCGACTGGGCAGGTGGTTCCCATCTTCTCACTCCATGCCGGCAAAGCCGTGGGCTTCCTTAACGGTCTCAGAAACATGATCTCCTCTAGCTTTGTTTAAAACTCAGAACATGCTCTCTTTGATTTTTCCCACCACTTAAAATGTGGCATATCTTTTCTTTTTTCTAACAGCTTTGCTGAGATGTAATTCACATACCCTACGATTCACTCATCTCCAAATGCACCATTCAATGGTTTTAGCATTTTTCAGAGTCATGGAACCACCATGACAACCAATTTGGGGACATTTTGATCACCCCAAAAAGAAGTCCCACTCCCATGAGCAAGCACTGCCCATCCCCCTGATGCCTCCCCGCCCCTGCCCCGGCCCAGGGCCACCCCAATCCACTTTCTGTCCGTATGGATTGGCCTATTCTGGCCATTTCATGTAATTACACGGTATGAAGTCTTTTGTGACTGGCTTCATAATGTTGAAGGTGCATTTACGTTGTAGTATACATCAATGCTTTAGTCTTTTCTGTGGCTGAACAATATTCCATTGTGTGGATACACCATATTTTGTTTATGCATTCATTGGTGGATAGACATTTTAGTTTGTTTCCACTGTGTAGCTAATAGGAACGATGCTGCCATGAACATTTATGTGCAAGTTTCTGTGTGAACGCAGGTTTCATTTCTCTTGTGGATACGCCTAGGGGTGGAAGTGGTAGGCCACAGAGTAGCCCCGTAATTTCACTAAAACTTCAGAGGAACTCATAACTTTATAGATGCTCCTCAGCTGCTAAGAGTCCTTCAGAATTAGCCTGAGGATTTCAATGCTGCTCTTTCTCATTCATCTGGGTAGGTGAGCATGGTGTCCGGACGCTGCCCCTAACCACTCGCCCTGATGCCAAATCCAAACCAAGAGCAAACTGGGAACAAAAGGAGAACTAGCAGGTCCACTTCCAGAGGAGGAAACTGAGTCTGGGGAGGGTGCGGGTCATGGCTGCACAGCTTTCGGGAGCAATGTGGGGGTCACACCCCAGTGGTACTCCTAACACGAATGCTCTCATACAGCGCCACAGCCAGCAGATGCCAGGGCTCTAGGCGCCACTGACAGTGGACCAGTGTGCCCTTGGGTGGCGTCAGCCACCACTGTCACACTGGGTGAAAGGCAAGCCATGCCATTCATGTCAATGACACATTCCCGGCCCTCTACGGCTCTGATGTCATAGATAGCTTATTAAAAATCTAACCAAATTTTTAAAATGGCAGAAAATTAGAAAATAAAGATAAGCAATAAATAAGAATAAATCAGAACCCTATCCCCTAGAGAAAGTGTCACAATTAACAATTTGGGGTACACAATATTTTAACAGAATACCATAACTATCTCCCCATGTAATCACATTTTCACCTGCATCATCACATTTCCAGGTGCAGTGGCTCACTCCGGTAATCCCAGCACTTTGGGAGGCTGAGGTGGGCAGATCACTTGAGGTCAGGCGTTCAAGACCAGCCTGGCCAACATGGTGAAACCCCGTCTCTACTAAAAATACAAAAGTTAGCCAGGCGTGGTGGCGTGTGCCTGTAATCCCAGCTATTTGGGAGGCTGAGGCAGGAGAATCACTTGAACCTGGGAGGCAGAGGTTGCAGTGAGCCGAGGTTGTGCCACTGCACTCCAGACTGGGTGACAGAGGGAGCCTCTGTATCGAAAGAAAAACAAAGTTGCACTGTTTATATCATGTGCTATGCTCATATGTATAAATAATGCATATACTTACCATGTAAAATTTATACATTATATATAATTCATTACATTATATGAAATGTAAGATTTTATGATATATATTCAATTATACATCATAACGTATGTATATTTACATTGCATTGTCACGTGTACACGACAAAATCATGTATTTTATATAATGTAACTATATGCATTACTTGCATACTAAAGTAATAATTTATTTAATTGCCTATTTTGAATTTTTGCTTTATTTAAAATTTCTTTCTTTTTTTTTTTTTAAGATGGAGTCTCACGCTGTTGCCCAGGCTGGAGCGCACTAGCGTGATCTCGGCTCACTGCAACCTTCACCTCGCGGGTTCAAGTGATTCTTCTGCCTCAGCCTCCCGAGCAGTTTGGATTACAGGCATGCACCACCATGCCCAGCTAATTTTTGTATTTTTAGTAGAGACGGGGTTTCACCATGTTGACCAGGATGGTCTCGATCTCCTGACCTCATGATCCGCCTGCCTTGGCCTCCCAAAGTGCTAGGATTACAGGCGTGAACCACCATGCCTAGCCTACATCCTTCAGTTTTTAGGATAAATTTTTTTTTTTTTTTTTTTTTTTTGAGACGGAGTCTCGCTGTCGCCCAGGCTGGAGTGCAGTGGCGCGATCTTGGCTCACTGCAAGCTCTGCCTCTCGGGTTCACGCCATTCTCCTGCCTCAGCCTCCTGAGTAGCTGGGACTACAGGCGCCCGCCACCACGCCCGGCTAATTTTTTGTATTTTTAGTAGAGACGGGGTTTCACCGTGTTAGCCAGGATGGTCTCGATCTCCTGACCTCGTGATCCGCCCGCCTCGGCCTCCGAAAGTGCTGGGATTACAGGCGTGAGCCACCGCGCCCGGCCTAGGATAAATGTTAAGAGAAGAACTGCTAGGTCAAAAAGCATATCATTTTAAAGGCTATTGACACATATTGCCAAGTTCCTTCCAGGAAGGTTTCCCCAACTTTCACTCTTACCAGCAGTGCCAGAGGAGAGGAGAGGGAGTTGGCCAACAGGAAGGGTTATTATATTATGGAACAAAACGACCTTTGTTTTTTACCATCAGATGTTTCACAGTGATCTGCGCTAGCTATTTGATTTTTTGTTTTTTTGAGATGGAGTCTTGCTCTGTTGCCCAGGCTGGAGTGTAGTGGCGTGATCTTGGCTCACTACAACCTCTGCCTCCTGGATTCAAGCAATTCTCCTGCCTCAGCCTCCGAGTAGCTGGGATTACAGGCACATGCCACAACGCCCAGCTAAATTTCGTATTTTTAGCAGAGATGGGGTTTCACCATGTTGGCCGGGCTGGTCTCAAACTTCTGACTTCAGGCAATCTGCCTGCCTTGGCTTCCCAAAGTGCTGGGATTACAGGTGTGAGCCACCACACCCAGCCAATTATTTGATTTTAGTAAGAGCCACTCTGTCTTACAGGAACATACACAACATGTCCTTCTCTTTGCCAGATGAGATAGCACAGGACGGATGGCTGACCCTGACAGCCCGGTGGCTATGATTTGGAACATGATGCAAAACATCCAGGAACGGTCATTACTCTTTGGATTCCATGAGACTCTTGTGAAAAACACTCGCTCTTCCTCGTCTCACCTCACGTGAACACGGCATACTGGAAAGGATGTGCGGAACGTCTGTTAAGAGATGAGGTTTCTTCCCCAGAACAGAGAAAAGACAGGACCCCATTCTCTTCTTCCAATACGTGTTACTCCCAGTCTTGGCCACATCATCTAGCGCATAGTAACATAGATTATTTCACACTACTTCCTAAGAAAATAATCAGATTGTCTTTCCAGAAACATCTTTACTTTCTCAAATGGGCTAGCTCAATACTAGGCATTTCTGTAGATACTGAAGACTTGTCCTGCCCACCTGATTTAGCATTATAGCAAATATGACAGGTAGACATAGTATTTTTCATTATAATTTTTAACGATGTTTCTGAACTTGCTCAGAGTGTCTCACTCTTACAAGTTTTTCTCCTTTAAAAGCGTAGTGATTTTTCCTTAAAAAAACTAATAGATGACTTCTATTTAGAACTTAGCCCTCTATTGAGAAGATTAGGTGTTCAGCATTGTGTTATATATATTGTTCATTTAATTCTTGAAATCATCCTGATGAGGCAGGTACTACACTTACCCCTCACTTGGCAGAATGGGAAACTGAGGCACAGTGAGGGTGAACATCCAGCCCGGGTCACACAGCAAGCCAGTGGTAAAGACCAGGTTGGATGCTGCCAGTCTGACCTGAGTTGGAACTCTGAACCCCAACTCCAGAAGCAGATCTACACAGAGTACATCTGACTTACAGTAAACTCTTAGGTCTCAGTGATAAAAAAAAAAAAAATTGGTTGGTGAAGAAGACATTTTCAGATATTCCCTTACATGGGGAAAATGTATCATTGGTAGATAAACAATTCTTTTCAATTACATTTTTGAGTGATAGTAGCCAGGCACAAAAACGTATATACCATATAATTCCATTTCCATGAATTTTCTAAGAGGCAAAACTAACCTATCCTGACAGATGTCAGATTCATGGCTGCTTCTGAACAGGGAGAATAAACAGGAGGGGGGACAGGGGAAGTTCCTGGGGTGATAGGAATATTATTGATAGACCTATGCAGTTATCAAAACCAACTGAATTGATTGTATACTCAAAATGTGTGTAATGCAGTATGCAAATTATACCCCAATATAAATTTTTTAAAAAGCTAAAAGAATAATATACCACTTGCTCTGGATAATCCAACCATTTTAAGAGTTCATGATTTATCTCAACAATCTCAAAAGAATGGCATGATACTGGGACCTTAAGAATGAGGTATTCAAAATTCTAGTAATTTGGCTGGGCACAGTGTCCCGCGCCTGTAATCCCAGCACTTTGGGAGGCCGACGCGGGTGGATCAATTGAGCTCAGGAATTTGACACCAGTCTGGCCAACATGGCGAAACCCCATCTCTACTAAAAATACGAAAATGAACTGGGCGTGGTGGCAGGTGTCTGTAGTCCCAACTACTCAGGAGGCTGAGGCAGGAGAATCACTTGAGTCCAGGAGGCAGAGGTTGCAGTGAACTGAGATTGTGCCACTGCACCAGCTAGGGCGACAGAGTGAGACTCTGTCTCAAAAAACAAAAACAAAAACAATAAAAAACAAAAACCAAAATTCTAGTAATTTGTGCATTCACTGCAGCCTGCAAATCAGGGCTTCCTGAGGCCCATGTGTCAGTAAACGGATTTGCACAGTGAGTGTCCCCTCCAGAGCTTGGGCAGGGTGGCCCTAGTGGGACAAGCAATGGAAGAAGGGTTTTCAGGACACATGGGCAAGCCATTACTGAGGGCACATCCCACTGAGGGCCACGAGTAGTGACTCTGATGTTGCTGACACATGCCGACCACAGTGCCACCCTGGCCATCAGACAGCTACTCCCTAGAATCTCAGCACAACAGCTGGGGACAAGCACAGTGACTTGTCACGTTTAATGATGCAAGGATTTTCCCATCTGATAAGGAAGCTGCTGGACAGAAGGAAGGACTCTGGAAGGCTTTGCTGAAAGCAGTGCTAGATGGTGGGTCCTAAGGCTTCATTTGCCCTGAAGCCCAACTGGGTGCCACAGAGCTCCACAACCCAGCAGGAGGCAGCTGTCAGAAGAGCCCCATTTTTAAAAGGATGATGGAGATGATGTGTTCCGGCAACAATGGGACCCCACTCGCTTGCCTTAGGAAGCAGGATTTTGTTGTAAATATGCACATTTAAAAGCGTTCCTTTTTCTAAGCTCTGCAGCCCCTGTGGGCCTCCCTTTCGATAATCACCCAACTGTCCACAGGCTGGCCGAACACTGTTCCTATTCCAGAGAGAGCCTGATGGAGTGTTAGCAACATGTCAGAAAAGGTTTCTAGGCTGCCTGCGAACAGAACATTTAGGGGAGCTTTCTTTGATGGCTGCTTCACAGCCAGATGAAAACCGCCCACGGGGCGAGTGTATTTCAGAAATAAAATGCATCCAGTCGAATGCAGAGTCACAAGCAGGCAGCAACAATAGGGGCCCGAGGAGCTGAAGACACCACCACCGACACTCCTAACTCAAAGCCAATGGACGTGCCCCTGTGTGCGAATAAGTTATTGAACTTCCCTTGGCTTGGCAATTTCAAAACCACAAGTGGGAACGTCAGGAACAGAGCCTTTTCCAATGCTGTGTTGAAACCCAGAGGTTTTGACGAAGCCCGTGATGAAGGCAGCACGTAAGCCTTCCGGCCTCCGATAAGCTGCTGTCTGTCTGTATCTGCCTCACCTCTCCAGCAGTATCAGTCAGGCTGATGCTCCATGGAGCCTTTGCCTGGCCACTTACTTCCACTTCCTTTTTTTATCAGTCATATATCATGACCCTAACTTTAGTTTTTGGAAAGAAAACAATGAAAAAGTAACACAATCTCTCAAATATTTATTGAGTATCTACTATGGCTCCTCTGGAATATTACAGAACAGGTGATTATTCTTGTTTTCATTTTATGTGTTTAGAAAGGTATAGTTTGGCAATTTAGAATGAAAACATATTCCTCTTTCTCAGTTCATTCCTTCCACACCCCCAAAGAATTCTCCGAGGAAGGGTGCGAGGCTCTTCCAGGTCTTTTCACGTGCTGTTTAAAGGATACCAGCAATCAGCTGGTGGGAGCTGATCCTGGGTCCCTCTGCAGCAGTGTGGGTTTAATTTTTGGAGGGCTCTTTCCATGCTCCTCAGCAGGAGTGCTACTGGCATTTTGTTATTTATTTAGTTTTAAGACGGAGTCCCGCTCTGTTGTCCAGAATGCAGTGCAGTGGCACGATCTCAGCTCACTGCAACCTCCGCCTCCCGAGTTCAAGTGAGTCTCCTGCCTCAGCCTCCTGAGTAGCTGGGATTACAGATGTGTGCCACTATGCCTGGCCAATTTTTGTATTTTTTTTTTAGTACAGACAGGATTTCAACATGTTGGCCAGGCAGGTCTCAAACTCCCAACCTCAAGTGATCCACCCACCTCGGCCTCCCCAAAGTGCTGGGATTACAGGCGCGAGCCACGGCAGAGCAAATTTTCACGTGTAGGAGTGTCCTGGGCTTTAGCATTTGAGGCTGAAAGCTACTAGAGGCATTTGCAGCCATAACTCCATGCTCCTAAGCCACGCTGTTGGCTTCTCTCAGGAGTCTCTGGGTGACAGGTTCACAGGCTAATTCTGGCTTGGTCCAAGTCACTGGGTTAATTATAGGCAAGTCACTTTTCCTGTCTGGGTGTCATCTTCTCTGATTTTAAACAGTTATCTCCTAATTTCATTAAGATGGCAAGGATCAGCATGAAGACATTGTGGCAGCTCTTCGAGGTCCTTGAGGAGAGACTTATAGGTAAGTCATCATGATTATGTATGTATCCTCCAGGGTCATTTGTATTAGATCACGTACATCAGAGATGCTTTTTATATGAGTGGGTCCCTAAAATTGAGTGATGTGTGCTCCAGATAATGTTCATCTTCCAGACCCCTGGTTGATGAAATTTTGTATCAGTTATAAATGACATTTAATTATTTGAAGCTTTAATGGTATTGTCACTGCTGTTCTCCCTTTCTGGGCCTCAAGTAATTCTGTGAAGTCAGATCTCTGCAGCCAGGAGTGGCTTGCTTTGTCCCACTGGCCTCGGACAGTTTGCCTCTAAAGCCCAGTGACCCAGTCACAAAGCCAAGACTGCAAAGGTGAGGCTGGGCCTCTGCTACACTGGGTGGCCAGCCTAGAAATCAATCAATTAATCTTGTCGAAATCACCAGCACAAATGTGTGCAACTTTTACCTTTCTTAACATGAAAATAATCTCGTCAAGATTTTACAACTGGAATTACCTTTTGTGTGTTTTGCTTGTTGTTTAAAGGCCTCATCATCCTCCCAATGGCCCAAGAAAGAAAACTAAACATCAACATGGATGCTTGTCTTTCCCACACCCCACATTCACTTTGGTTAAGAGCCACCATTCCTGGTGGCTCATGCCTGTAATCCCAGCACTTTGGGAGGTCGAGGCCAGTGGATCACTTGGGGGTCAGAAGTTCAAGACCAGCTTGGCCAACATGGTGAAACCCCGTCTCTACTAAATATACAAAAATTAGCCATTAATGGTGGCGGGTACCTGTAATCCCAGGTGGGAGGCTGAGGCAGGAGAATCACTTGAACCTGGGAGGTGGAGGTTGCAGTGAGCTGAGATTGTGCCACTGCACTGTAGCCTGGGCAAAAGAGCAAGACTCTGGCTCAAAAAAAATAAAAGTCCTGAGTACAGCGGGGCGCAGTGCCTCACCCCTGTAATCCCAGCGCTTTGGGAGGCCAAGGCAGGAGGATCACTGGAGGCCAGGATCCCTGCCTGGGCAACATAGTGAGACCCCCATCTCTTAAAAAAATAGCTGATGGCCAGGCACGGTGGCTCATACTTGTAATCCCAGCACTCTGGGAGGCCAAGGTGGGTGGATCATGAGGTCAGGAGTTCAAGACCAGCCTGGCCAAGATGGTGAAACCCCATCTCTACTAAAAATACAAACATTAGCTGGGTAAGGTGGCGGGAGCCTGTAATCCCAGCTACTTGGGAGGCTGAGGCAGAGAATTTGCTTGAACCCAGGAGGTGGAGGTTGCAGTGAGCCAAGATTGCTCCACTGCACTCCAGCCTGGGTGACAGAGTGAGATTCCATCTCAAACAAACAAACAAAAACAAACAAACAAACAAACAAAATAGCTGAGTGTGGAGGCATGTGGCTGTAGTCCCAGCTACTTGGGAGGCTGACTAGGTAGGATTGCTTGAGCCTGGGAGTCTGGGGTTGCAGTAAGCTATGATCATGCCACTGCATTCAAGCCTGTGTGATAGAGTGAGATTCTGTTTCTAAAAAAAATACATGAAAATAAATGAAAAGTAACAACAACAACAACAACAACAACAAAATACGAGTCCTGAGTATGCTCCTAGAATCCCATACCAGCCTGGCTCTGCCTCCCTCCCCTCCCCTCTGGCCATGGCTTCCTCTAGGGAGGTCAGATCTGGGGTGGGTTCTGGCCCGTCCTGCATTCACAGGCTCAGGGAGACACAGGCCTGAGTTTCCTAGCCCAGGAAAAGGAAAGAATGGCATTGGTTTGCTGTGCGGATTCCAAGAGGCAGGGCTTGTCAAGTGCCTGATCTCTCCCAGGGACTCCCAGTATCTGGTGGTGATGATCGCTGATTCAGGCTCACTTGCTCCCCTGGACATAGGCACCACCTTCCACCTGCTCTCGCTCCCCTGTGGGCCGTCCGCAGGGCAGGAATTTGGCTGCAGTGCACATCCTGCTCAGAGCTCTACTCCCCAGGCCTGAGGAGGGGCAGCCACGCCAGCCCTCGGCCCGCACCCAGGCCCCCGCCACCCAGCATGCGTTCCTGTACGCCTGCACCTTTGCTCCAGCTGCTCTTTGTGGAACGCCCTGGCTCATCTGTTTTCCTTTGGAAATTCCTTTTTTTTTTTTTTCAAAATTGACATAATTTATATACCATAAAATTCACACTTTAAAAGTGTACAACTCAGTGGTTTTTAGTATATTTGCAAGGATGTACAACCATCACTACTATGTAAATCCAGATCATTTTCGTTGTCTCCAAAAGAAGTTTCGTACTCATTAGGCAATCACTCCGTATACGCCACTGCCCCTCCCTCCCCTGCACCTGGCAAGCAGGAATCTACTTTGCATTACTATGGAGGTGCCTGTTTTCGCCATCAGACAGATGGAATGGTACACGGTGTGGCCTTCTGTGCCTGCTTCCTTTCCTTTAGCATCATGTCTTCGAGGTTCACCCACGTTACAACCTGTATCCACACTTCACTCCTTCCCATGGCAGAATCACGTTCTGGTGTACGGACAGACCATGTTTTGTTCACCCATTCATCCACAGAGGGACACCTGGGTTACTTTCACTTTTTGGCTATTATGAATGATGTTGCTGTGAACACTCAGGTGTACATTTTTGTGTGGACAAGTGTTTTCATTTATCTTAGGTATAGACCTGGGGGAGGAATGGCTGGGTCATACGGTAACTCTAGGTTTAACTTTTCGAGGAAGTGCCAGACTATCTTCCCAAGTGGCTGCACCAGTGTCTCCACGTTCCTCACCAACACTTGCCACGACCGTCCAAGAGCACGTGCGGTGGGGGCTCAAGGGTGATCTGCATTTCCCTAAAAAGTAATGACATTAGGCATCTTTTCATGTATTTACTGGCCATTTTTATATTTTCTGGAGAAATGTCTATTTAGAGTCTTAGCCCATTTTTATTTTTTACTTATTTTATTTTTCAGACGAGGTCTTGTTCTGTTATCCAGGCTAGAGTGGAGTGACGTGATAACGGCTCACTGCAACCTCAAACTCCTGGGCTCAAGAGGTCCTCCCACCTCAGCCTCCCAGGTAGCTGGGACTACAGGTGTGCCCCACTGTGCCCAGCTAATTTTTAAAAGTTTTTGTAGAGGTGGGGTCTCACTATGTTGATCAGGCAGGTCTTGAGATGCTGGCCTCAAGTGATCCTCCTGCCTCAGCCTCCCCACATGCTGGGATTACGGGCATGAGCCTCCATGCCCAGCTCTTTGCCCATGTTTAAATTGGACAATCTACCTTCTATTGTTGAGTTTTAAGTATTCTTTTTTTTAATTTAAATTTTTATTTTTTTGAGATGGGGTCTCACTCTGCGGCCCAGGCTGGAGTGCAGTGGTGCGATCACGGCTCACTGCAGCCTTGACCTCCTAGGCTCAAGCAATCCTCCTGCCTCAGCCGCCTGAGTAGCTTACCTATGACCACAGGTGCACGTCACCATACCTGGCTAATGTTTTTTATTTTTTATAGAGATGGGGTATCCCTATGCTGTCCAGACTGGTGTCAAACTCCTGGGCTCCAGTGATCCTCCCACCTTGGCCTCCCAAAGTGCTAGGGTTACAGGCATGAGCCATCATGCCCACCTGTAACCGTTCTTTATATATTCTGGATACCAGATCCCTACTGGATATTTAATTTTCAAATGTTTTCACCCATTCTGTGCATTTTTACTTTTCTGACACTGCCCTTTGAAGCACTAAAATTTTTAATTTGGCTAATATTCAATTTATCTATTTTTTCTTTTATTGCTTGCACTTTAGGTATCATATCTAAGAAACCACTGCCTAATCTAAAGTCACAAAGATTTACCCCGTATTTTCTTCTAAAAGTTTTATAGTTTCAGTTTTTGCACTCAAGGCTTTGATCAATCTGGAATTAATTTGTGTGTGTGTGTGTGTTTTGAGACGAAGTCTTGCTCTGTCACCCAGGCTGGAGTGCAGTGGTGCGATCTCGGCTCACTGCAACCTCCAACTCTTGGGTTCAAGTGATTATTCTACCTCAGCCTCCCAAGTAGCTGGCGTTACAGGTGCATGCCACCATGCCCAGCTAATTTTTCTATTTTTAGGAGAGACGGGGTTTCACCATGTTGGCCAGGCTGGTCTTGAACTCCTGACCTCAAGTGTCCACCCGCCTCAGCCTCCCAAAGTGCTAGGATTACAGGTGTTGGAGTTAATTTTTATATATAGCATTAGATAAGAGTCTAACTTCATTCTTTCACAAGTGGATATCCAGTTGTCCCAGCACCACTTCCTAAAAAGACTATTCCTTCCCCATTGATGGGGAAGATGTCTTGGCATCTTTTTTGGAAATCAACTGCCCACCGATGAAGGGGCTCATTTCTGGACTCTCGATTCCGCTTCATTGACGTGTGTGTCTATTTTTACACCAATATCACACAGGCTTGGATCACCATGCTTTTGCAGTAAATTCTGAAATCAGAAAGTGTGAGATCTCCAACTTCTTCATTCTTTTTTCAAGACCGTTTTGATATTTGACGGTCTCTTACTGTGCCATATGAATTTTAGGATTAGCTGTCAAATTTCTGGGAAAAAAACAGGCAGCTGAGATTCTGAAAGTGATTTTGCCGACTCTGTACATCGATTTGAAGAGTACTGCCATATTCCAATCCGTGAACATGATGTCTTTTCATTTACTTAGGTCTTCTTTAATTTCTTTCGATGATGCTTTGTAGTTTTCAGTGTACAGGTAATTTATTTCTAAGTATATTACTCTTTTTGATGCTATTTGTAAATGGAACTGTCCTTAATTTTATTTTGATTGTCCACTGCTAGTGTACAGAAAGAAATACAATAGAATTTTTTTTTTTTTTAAAGATACGGTCTTGTTATTTTGCCCAGGCTGGTCTTGAACTCCTAGCTTCAAGTAATCCTCCAGCCTCAGCCTCCCAAAACATTGGGATTTAAGGTATGAGCCACTGCACCTGGCCTTTTTGATTTTTTAAGAGTCAGAGTCTTGCTCTGTTCCCCAGGCTGGAAAGTGGTGGTGCGATTGTGGCCCACTGCAGCCTTGAAATCCTGGGCTCAAGCAATCCTCCTGCCTGAGCCTCTTGAGTAGCTGGGACTACAGAACTGTGCCACCATGGCCAGCTAAGAGTTTTGCACATTGATCTTGTATCCTTCAATTTTGCTTAACATGTTTCTTATGGGTTCCTTAGGATTTTCCACATAAAAGATTATGTCATCTGGAAATGGAGGTAGTTTTACTTCTTTTCAAATCTGGATGCTTTTGGTTTCTTCTTCTTGCCTAATTCCCTGGCTTGAACCTCCAGTATAATGCTGAACAGATCTGGTGACATTCTTGTCTTGTTTGTGATCTTAGGGGAAAAGCCTGCAGTATTTCACCATAAAGTACAATGTTAGCTGTGGGTTTTTTAGAGATGTCCTTTATCAGGTTCAGCAAGTTTCCTTTTATTTCTAGTTTGCTGAGTGTTTGTTACCATGAAAGGGCACGTGGTTTTGTCAAATGTATTTTCTGTATCCCTTGAAAAGATTATGTTTTCTTCTCTCTTTACTGTATTAATGTGGTATATCACATTGATTGATTTTTGCGTGTCGAACCAACCTTGCCTTCCTTGCATTCAGTGCCACCTGATCACAGAGTCTAATCCTCTTGTAGATGCTCTCTGGCTGTAACATCTGCTGGGATATACTGGATATGCTAAGCCAGACAACAGTCTGGTAAAGGAAGAAAACAGAAGACCTGGGTCTAAAGAAGTGAGGAATGAAGTCCAGGGACTTGGATTAACACAGTGAGTTCACAGGCAAGATTGTGGACTTTTATTTTTACTACTTAGTGCAGACCAGAGTGTCTCAAACTTTAATGTGCATAAGAATTACCTAGAGAGTTAAAACACACCACTGGACCCTACCCCCTAGGGATGCTGACTGGGTAGGCTTGGGTGGGGCTCAAGAATATACCTTTCCATGTGATACTGATGCTGCAATAAACCATTATATACATACAAAGCAAAATAAACATGGGCCACATCTTCTATATCAGCAGGCCCTCCACAACCCCCGGGGAGGGCATGGACCACCTGTCCCTCTCACTGCTAGTATGCATGACCCAGGCCTCAAAGCTGATTGTATCTTCTGGATAAAAAGGAAGCCCAGGAAACTTCATAAATATTATTTTCTTTTAGCACTAACTCTACATAATTAAGTGGGTGGAAAAATGACTAGTCTCTTCTTAGAAATGAGGAATTACCCTGTTTTTAAAATTAAAATGGCAGAAGATGCTGGCCATGAAACCAGAACCAGGAACTCTATGGCCTGAGACATGGCTCCATATTGTACCATGCAGATAATAAATATGATTGTGAGGTCTCTGCAATACAGGCTTTATATTCCCAAAACGCAGTGTTGGGTCAGGGACATGAGCAGGATGTGGTTACGTGAAACACGGGGGTTGAGGGGGGGGCTCTAACCCTGCACTTGTGTGGGTGGATCTCAACATTTTACAGTTCTCAGTGCTGTTTTCTGTGGAAGCTCTTAGGATTAGCACTGATGGAAGAGAATTAAGACTTTAGAATCATGGCTGTGTGACTTGTAAGGTCGAGTTTTGGCCAGGCACAGTGGCTCATGCCTGTAATCCCAGCACTTTGGGGGGCCAAGGCAGGCAAATCACCTGAGGTCAGGAGTTTGAGACCAGCCTGGCTAACACGTTGAAACCCTGTCTCTACTAAAAATACAAAAATTAATTGGGTGTGTTGGCACGTGCCTGTAATCCCAGATACCTGGGAGGTTGAGGTAGGAGAATCACTTGAACCTAGGAGACAGAGGTTGCAGTGAGCCGAGATTGCACCACTGCACTCTAGCCTGGGCGACAGAGAGAGACGCCACCAAAAAAGTCAGGTCAGCTAAATGAATGTAAACTAAAATGGAAGAGGCTTTATGATTACTTATATTACTATAAGTGAAGCTGCTGTGAAGTGGAAAGACACTGTAGTTACATAATATGTTTGCACTACTCATTTAGTAAGTTTGACACACGATGGCTACTGAGATAGAAACTGACCAGGGGCGAGTGGGAGTGGTGCTGCTAAACATGGCGGTTCTCCCAATGCCGCTACTGACGTGGATTTGGCAGAAAAGGAACAGGAGCAGCAGCAGGACTGCAGAGCGGCATCTGGAGTCAGATCTTGGTGCCTGCAGTCTGACCTGCGCTCCCATGTGACCCTGGCACACGTCTGGGAATGGGGATAATCCAAGCACACAGGGCGCTGTGTGCTCCGGCCATGTTTTTGTCTCCCTCCTCTTCATTAAGAAGAAGAAAGAGAAAAGTTCACTAGAAGACAGAGAGTCTCTGGTGCAAAATAAGCAAAACACGACTGAAAGACAGGGCCCTTTGGAAAATGCTTGACTGCTGGAGGAATCAAAATAGAGGCCATATTTATTGGCCCATGTTATATAATTCAAGCCTAAAAAGGTTAATCTTCCCATTCCATTCCTTCATACACTCCCACAAGTAGACACAGGCTTGAACGTGGTCAGGGCACCTGGAAGCCAGTTGCTGCCTGCTGATGACTTGCCTTCTCATCTGCCAGGGGCAGTAAAAATTCTTAAGCATCAGAAACTCCTTAATTGTCACGACGGCCGTATTTCAGAACGTAAATGATAAGGATTTTCAACCCTAGACAGCTCTGCGGTAGCAAAGCCGGCTCCAAGCACACACTGGTTTCTTGCAGGATCAAACAAATAACTGGGGTTCCTGTGTGGCAGGCGGCATGATAAACCGAGAGCACCATTCTGTCTGTCTGGTTCAAAGGCAAATGCAAGTATAGTTATCCTTGAAAAAGCAGATCCCATTATACTTAACCTCATGGAGAATCTTCTTAGAATCACCTTTCTTATAATTAGAGCCAGTCTTTATGGAGAGCTTGCCTGGATTCCCACCAAGCTCCCTGGTGGAGGTTCACTAGATGCATTGCTCTATCTGTTGTCAACTGTAATCTGTAGGTATTATTTTAAAGGCAGTGTTAACGTACTTCTCATTTGTACATTTTCCTAATTGGCTTAATATTTATAGCAGAATATTTCTGATCCGGGCCCTGAGCTCTAGTAAACTGAAGCATATTTAGCAGTGTGCTAATGAGGACCATCCAGTCATGAAGGGTGGCTAAGTGAGTTATGGTTCTCTCAGTCTGATTCCAAGTTGGCTTGCTAAGAGAAGTTGCTAAAATATCTTAAGTAAGGGCTGAGGTCCCTGAGCAGCTGTTGCGTTTGCATAGCCGAGGATGTATAAACTTTATTGGTAGTAAATGTCACTCCTGCCAGCAGACGGTGTGCCTGCAAACCCACGGCTCCTCGGAGAAGGCTGCCACTGTCGTGGCTTGAGCAGGGCACAGTCCCTGCCTGGACGGGGAAACTGGGAGGGTGGACCCGCTCTGCGGCTGGGGCCAGGGCAGGCCCACTGACAAGCACGCCGCGGTGACAGAAATTCACTTTGAGTTGCAATTAGTGGTACTGTCATTTTCGGGGGCTCCTGCCAATTAATTAAGCCTGTCAAATAGAAAAACCACAGCGTTCACATGATAATTTATATTGGAAGAGACGAGGCTCACAGAGCACAGCAGCTTCCTCCACAAACAGAATTCTCCCTGAGAGCACTGAAAGAAACACATGAAAACAAGGCACATAAAGCCACACACAAAAGTGTGCATGTGTGTACATGTAGGGGGGTCTGCACGGCGAAGAAGAAAGTTAAACTGTCCTTGCTATAATTGTTAACTCTGATCGCCGGAGTAGAAGACAGGCTGATTAAAACTCCAAACGAGCCCCCAGCTCCCTGAACCCTCTGCATCCGGGATGATAGAATCAGAGGAGTTTATTCATACCATTAAGCCCCAGAGAACTTAATTGAAAGAAGAGCACAGCCCGGACCTTGACAAGCGGGAGGTCACAGTAATTGCTGCCGGACATATTTAACATTAAGATAATCAGGCCATTAATTACCCTTTGGATCATTAAATCAGCCAGTTGCAAAATGAAATTTCTGCCTCTATTACTCACTTGAGAGACCACAGGGGTGGCCTTTAATTTATCAGTGAGCTTGAGATACAAAGGCTGGGGCTGGGGGAGGGCAGCCGGGGAGGGGGCCCGGGCCCGGCAGTGGCGGCAGGGGCAGGGCATCAATCCGCCATGCTCGGTGATCGTGGCAAATTAACTAGGTAAGATAACCTCCGCTTCCAAAGGCAGGAGCTGGGGGTATGTAAATAGATGAGGGCAGACAGGGAGATCAGAGTCTGCACACCAC
Organism: Homo sapiens; assembly: GCF_000001405.40. Classification (NCBI taxonomy): domain Eukaryota; kingdom Metazoa; phylum Chordata; class Mammalia; order Primates; family Hominidae; genus Homo; species Homo sapiens. The sequence continues at coordinate 236,054,716 of NC_000002.12, read as the reverse complement.
TTAGCAGGATAATAAAGGAAATCATCCTTGATTATCAGTGCTAATTTGGACACTGCCGGTAGCTTGTTATGCGTGTTCTGAGTAGCATTTAATTAATTCAATTGCTTGTTAATGAGGAAAGTGACATGTGGGGAGCAGATGCCACCCAACTGCAGATGGACTCTGGTCATCGCGGCAAAGTCCTTTTTTTATTTTTTTTCTCCTTTCTCCCCCTCCCTTTTTTTTTTTTTTTTTTTAAGAAAGAAAATAGGAAAAGGTGTCAAGCATAGAGGAACACTCAAAAGAGACAAAACATTGACCTCAGCAGGCCAAGAACTGTTGAAAAATAATAAGATGAGACAATCCTGGGGCTGTGTGGGCAGTCGTGTTCCCTGAGGCCACATTTGGAACAGTGCATCTTTATGCCAGAAATTTGAGCCCGAGATTACTACATTGTGATCTTATGATCAAACCTAACAAGACAAAGACACAGCCAAGTGGTACTGCTTTTAATATCTCAGAGTTAGCTGTAGGGATCCAATTATTTTCAGTTTGGATACATTTCCCCTTTATCAATATCTCCATGTGCATAAATAAGATGAAAGTGGAGTTCCAGAATCAAAAAGAGATGGAACTCACATCACTGGGCAGACTTGTTCCATCTGGAAGTGTACGGCCAGTCTCTCCCACGTGGATTTCTGATGTCTGGCCCCAAATCTTCCTATCGAAGGCGACATCTTTTTATAGGTTAAAGACAAGAAGGGAGTTTAGGCACAGAGGTGAACTTACAAATAATGGGGGGAAGAAAAAGAAAAAGGATGCTAAAAAAGGGAAAAGAATACGTACTAAATCAGCAAACTCGGTTCCCTTCCAAGTGGCATCAAAGAGGTAATGGGTGATTTCAGTTGCGCTTAAAGCGCCTCTCAAGAGCTCTTTCACGGAATTGAAAACACTATTCTCCACTTCCAGGTTCCTTTGATTTCCTGGCCCAAATCAGCAGGCTCCTAAGCCGCCAAGTAAACAGGCTACCTGCACTGAAATGCAAATAGCAGCGAGTCCCTGCAGGGCCTTGGGGGCCAAATGCTTTGACACCAGGACACAAAGATGGGGAGATGCAGTGCCACGCAGAGCGAGGCTTCTGCCAAGAGGAATGTGGCGCCAGAGGGCTCTGCTCCGTCCTGCTAGGAAATCACTTGCACTGCAGCCAATCCCAAATGTTTTTAAGTGCAATGGGGACAACAATAAAGAACAACGGGCCAGGGCGCTGCCGTGCAGCCCCGGAAACACTGCTGTACCGCGAGGGAGAGAGGATGTGCGTGGACGGGTTTACTGAGACGGCTTTGCTGGTGCTGCAAACGTCAAAGCCCCGGTTTCACTCACATGAGGAATTCCAAGGCCCCGAAGTAGCAAGAGCACCTGACATGTGTTCCATGATGACGAGTTCCCGCTTTCACTCATTTACTCGTTCAATCATTCATTCATGCAGGAGACGTTCGCACGACTGTTTTAACATCTTCACCTCTGAGCTTATTACTCTTGCCTTTGAAAGGGTCACCAAGGAGCTTGGCAACTTCTCCTTACAGTAACACCATGTACCTCTAACACTGGAACCCAGAGCCCCGCCTGGCTGGTGGCCCCCGGCCCAGCTGCTCGACGCCCTACAACACGCTACGTTATGGTACCGCACACACGCACAAGCCGGGTGTTACGAAGTCCTGTCCTACACACAGCTGACGGCTCCCTTCTTAAACCCCTAAAACCTAGTTAGTTCTGTCCACTGTTACTACTTCACCACCACTTCAACATCCCCACTTAAAATCGATATTTTAAGTGTGTGCTTAAATGGTATCAATAGCAATTAGAGAGGGGAATTCTGATGCTACCCCAGATGTAGTTAATTGTTGTAGCATTGCTCTGTTTTCTAACGTGCTTCTTTTTCCAAATTAAACCCCCATTACAGAGGGGGACAAAGGGCATCCTCTCCCCTCCTGCGACAATAAATTTAATATCGAATGCACTGGGAAAAAATGGCAGTTGTTGCAGAATCCATCCAAAAAGATTTTTTTTTTCTTCCTGGGAGTAATTAAAAGATGCTTTTCTTGACTAATGATTCCCCTGTTTAGGAATGGGAAGTCAATACTGCTTCAGCCGCCGTCAGCTTCCATTGATCATGATGCTGCTCAAGTTTGAACGGCAGTTCTCAGGGCGGCAGAGATTAACTGGAACCAATTATAAGCCGTCCGAAGCTGCCCTAATCAGGGGTGCAGGGACACAGCAGAGGCCGGCTGTCCAGGGCGCCTGCTGTCCTAACTGGCCGCACGAATAGGTGACTCCAGTGTGCGGCGGTCTCTTTGGAGGAAGATCTGCTGTGTTCTACTTCCCCATGGTCTTGAATCTGTGTGTGTTTGTGTGTTTGGGGGTGGGGGCAGGCTGAACGACGCATTTCTAATTATATTCCACTGTCAGAATGAATCTTCTGCACAAGATGGAATGGACCAGAGCTCCTTGGGAAAACAGCTGGGCCCTTTTTCAAAGAATTACACCAAATATATTGCACTTGGCTTTTCCTTTGATAGAGAGAAAAATTTATTAAAATATTTCTTTTTGGTATTACCTCAGGGCCACATTAAAAGAACCTTCCAGCTGTTTCTACTAACAATCGTAGGTTCTGCAGAGAGACCAGGAGGGGCGGAGTGGGGCAGAGGGAGCGGGGGTGGCTTCGAAAGGCAGAATCTTCTCACGTCATGGACAGACCGGCTTGCGGAGATTCCAGCCCCGACTTTCACTTTTCCATTTTCTATTGAGGGGACGTGCAGGAGGTGGTGAAGGTGGTGGGAGTCTGAATTTCTACTCTGTTATCGGGCTGGGTGTGTTTTGCTTTGGACAGTGTAGTTAAGGCTTCCCGCATGCTCCACCAGGACCCTGGCCTTCCAGCGGGAAGGGACACAGACCTTGCTGGCTGCCTTTAGTCCTCTTGGGAACAGGTGGGACAGACAGAACCCATGAATAGACAAACCCTTCCCCTCTCCCCTGCCCCCAGGGTCGCTTTTAAGGTGCCAGCCCTGGCTCAGAGGCCCTTCCTGCTTCTGCTCTTTGGGCCTCCCCCATTCCTGCTCCTCCTCATTCATGGGAGGCTCCCGTCCACGGTGCTGTACTCGCCGACAGGCACACCTCCCCACAGGCCCGGCCGAGCCTGCATCCACCGAGGCCACTCCCACCCTCCAGCCCGCCTTCCCACCTGGTCCCCTGGCCCTGGCCCTGGGAATCACCCCCTATTTCAGAGTCCAGCTCAGATGCCATTTCTCCAGTGACACCTCCCAGAATGCACCCTCCCGAGCCCTGGCATCCTCAGGCAGCCCTGAGAGCCTTCACCAATCACCAGGGAACTGCAATCATCACTCACCGTTGCTTTTCTACGAGAAAGTGTGCAATGATTATTTGCTGATTTTCACTGAAAACAAAACTCCCCAGGAAAATTACTACAGGCACAAAGAAATATTCAGTTCTCGTATGTGTTTATCTTCTTAGGTGCAAAGGGAACTTAGAAATTCCACAGTTACCTTCAGCAACAGCACAGAACCACATCACCAACACCACAGTCTTGGAGAGGAATTACAACTCGGCCTGCTCTTTAGGAAAGCCAGTGTGACTAAAGAAAAGATGGGACTTAACTGCAACCACTGCACTTGGGAGTAAGCAAGTCTCTGCAATAGGTCTCTAAAATATAATGATGTGATGTATGTAACACTGGAAAAAAGACAGGGCTCTGCACTCAAGAACTTAATTCAAGGATGCAAATTAGAACTACAAAATACCTGTGCACACACAATCTTCATTTATGAATGAAGATGAAATTATAAAACATTTATCAGGTAAAACATGAACCCGTATCTTTGCTTCGAATAATTCCAAATGGTTTCTAAATTTTAATGGATGGATAAACAAACTTTTCTAATAATTCATGATATTAAAAATAGTGAATGTGCTTCTTTTACATATAAACAGTAAGATGCATAGATTTTTCCAGCTTATTTCAATGTTTTCTGCATTCATATATTAAGCTCAATCTAATTTCCAATCATTTTTCATTTTCAGACCCAAGTTTCCTCCAATGTTATCATTATCTGTGAAAAAATAGATATTAAAACATGAATTCATCTTTTAAGCTTGTTCACAGTTGATGACCCAGCTGATTTCTATGGTAGCATTAAACAAATCAAGATAAATACTTTTTAAAGTGCATAATTTCTTCGGTTTGTAAGAAACTTACCCCTGTCTACACTATAGAGCATAACTCATAAAGAGGTCGCGTATCAAAACCATGCAATTTTAAACAAATATGTTCTTTGCACCTTTCCTGTCCTCCCCACTACCAAAGAATCCCTCATACGGAGAGCCAGATGAGTAACACACCAGCTTCATTCTCTCCAGTGAGCCAAAGGTGGCACCACAAATTCATTTTTCAGTGTTAATGAACTGAAGTCCACGAACGCTTCTCACGTTCTTACTGCTCTGCAGTAGAAACCGGTTTCTGTGGCGTAACCACAGATTACCACTTGAACTTTCATTTTATCTGATCAGCAGCAAAACAAATCAGAGGAACCTAAAAAGTACCAGTGATGGGAGACCTCTCCTCTCCCTTCATCTCTTCAGACACCTGAGAGGCAAACACGGACAGCAAACCTCAACCTCCCACTTCCTATTGTGGGTGAAAATGAGCAACCCTGGAAGCCACTTGCTTTAGACAAGTACGGAGATGAAATGCTCTATTCTGCCTCCATGCCATACGCCTTCTCAGAAGACACTCCATTTTATCACCCCTTAGGAACATTAAATATGCATGTGTACTCAAAAACAGTTTATAATAGCTGTAAATGAAAAATGAGAAACTAAATGGCCTCAAAATAAATGCGTTTTTTACACTGGATAACAATTAACATTAATGAGGAGTTACATCATACATTATGCTGAACTTGGTTGACTAAATGTGTTGAGATATATTTTAGAAAATAAAATAGATTTTGTTACCATAAAAATAACTTTTGTGTGATGGTGCGGGGGGGGGATCGACAGAGCAGATGCTTATCCAAGCTATAAGAATAACAAAATTAAAGGATCAAAAATTCATAATTAGTGTTAACGGCACAGCTTATGCCTATTAGAAATGTATTAATTAAAGTAATATATTCATAAGGTTAGAAGCTTAATACATTTCTAAGAGGGGGGAGAGAAATCCCCAGGCCTAAAAACAAACATAAAAAATTAAGGAGTGTGAATTATCCACGTCTGCTCAAGACCAACTTTAAACACAGACATTCCTATGCCGGATGAATCGGAATTCCCGAATTCCTACAGGTTATCAGGGCCTTCCCAACCGTGGCTGTCATTATGATCACTTCCAGTTGCCTAACTGTTGGCAAACGTGTCGGGAGCCAGGCATCTTCCAAAGTTCCTACCTTGTGGAGTCTACCGATGGTTTCGTCCGCCCCTGGCTGCTCTCTTCCCAGACGCTGTTGGCTAGCTCGTTCCCGATGGATGACATCACCTTGATGAGCTCGACTGGCCAGTCATCCAGGTCCAGAGATCGGACTCGGGAAAGGTGGGTGCCAAGATTCCGGTGGATCCCTGAGCATTCGATGCACATGAGGGCTCCCAAGTTCAAACTGGCCCAGTTGGGATCTACGGGAAGAGGAACAGAACGCTAAACGCAATCAGACCATCATGCATCATTCCAACCGTTCTTAGAAACACAAGGCGACGAATCAGTCAAACTTCACAACGACAGAACCACATCCATGGCGAGAAAAAATGCTCCCTAGCCAGTGCTCAGTCCTGTTTCAGGTGTCCCAAATGACTGGCCGTTGGTAGTAGCTTCAGAACACATTTGGCTGAAGCCAAAGCCTTGGAATTTCCCGCACAATAAATAATTGACAGCGTTGGTTTGGATAGAAAAGATGCACTTTCCCATATGTCACAGCAGCATTCACCTTGAGAGGGCTGACCTGTGTGGGAAAAAGCACGTGTGACTCGGCATCCACTGTGGACAGCTGCTGCTGAGAGGGAAGGAGAAGTGGTGCTGAGGGGCAGCTGGGTGACACCGTGACTCTGGTCATTCCTTCATTGCTACCTCTGCAGCCACTGGCACATCAAAGTTTCCAGTAGGTACACAACGGGCATGCTTGCAAATTTCAAAGATGAGAGAGAGGTACACTACAGTGAAGAAATATCGTTTTCAGTGATCTTATTTAACTATAGCTACTGAAGCAACTGCACTGCAGGCAAGTTGGTGGGCAGGGCCCTTTGGTGAGGTTATCACGCAGCGCAACCAACGCTGACTTGCAGAATGAATGGTGACAGGCTTTGGGCTGTGAAACTAGACCAAGGACTAGTGCAAGGATTGTGCAGGACAAGAAATGGATTCAGACAGCAGCACTGGGACCCCAGAACTGGAGCACTCACTGCGTGAAACTGGCTGGCATCATCAGAAGACCAAGAACTCAGGCCCGGGTTGACTTCACGCTAGAATCTACAGCTGATGTGCAGAGATAGGGTTGACCTTGATAGTCACTGGCTTTCACCACTGTTAAGTAAATACGGCTTACTCACCTGGGAATAGGCAATGCTTACTCTGGACACACCTGAAGAGTCAACAAAAGACCAAGTAGCTTAGGTCACATTTGACTCACTGGGGAGACATCCTTTGTTTTATAAATGGCAAGTAACCAGCAATAGCCTTACGCCAGTTGATCAGAAATCAGAAAGCCAGTCCTTTATTTAACATCTACTACATATGCAAGAAGGCAGTGATAGATACCACAAGAAATGTGAGAAGAGGCTGGGTGCGGTGGTGGCTCATGCCTGTAATCCCAGCACTTTGGGAGGCCGAGATGGGAGGATCACCTGAGGTCAGGAGTTCGAGACCAGCATGACCAACATGGTGAAACCCTGTCTCTACTAACATTACAAAAAAATTAGTTGGGTATGGTGGAGGGCACCTGTAATCCCAGCTCCTTGAGAGGCTGAGGCTGGAGAATCGCTTGAACTCAGGAGGCAGAGGTTGCAGTGAGTGGAGATCCTGCCACTGCACTCCAGCCTGGGTGACAGAACGAGACTCCTCAAAAAAAAAAAAAAAAAAAAAAGAAATGTGAGAAGAGAGGTCTGTGACCTCAGAGAGGTTCTGACTGGGAAGGGGAAACCTATGCATCAAATGAAAAAAACCCAAGCAGAAGAGAACAGAGAAATGCAGAGACTCAACGCTGAAAAGCGCAGTCAGAACCAATGCACAGGTGGCACGAGAAGGAAGAGGGCAGCGGGGACACAGAGGAGGCCCTGGCCTGGGGCTGTGGAGGGTGGAGGCATGGCACACAGCTGGCGTGGACCCCTCCTCGCCTGTGCCTCTCCCTTTGTGTCTGCACAGCCCACCTCCCCACTGGCTCCCTCTGCTTCTGCACCTCCGGATCACTGACAACCAGGCCTCTACCTCCTGACCATGGACGCAGCACAACCAAAGTCACTAGCCTGTTCCAGGGCGAAACCCAAAAGACCCCTGTGGCCAACGTTTCACTCGGCCTCTTGTGGGCTGGCCACTGCCCCACCCCTCCTCACAACACTGAGTACTACTCTTTTTTTGAGATAGGGTCTCTTGTGGTGGCACAATCACTGCTCACTGCAGCCTCAAACTCCTAGGCTCCAGTGATCCTCCTGCCTCAGCTTCTCGAGTAGCTGGGACTACAGGTGCACATCACCATGCCTGGCTAACTTCTTACATTTTTTGCACAGATGGGGTCTTGCTATGTTGCCCAGGCTTCAACCACTGGGCTCAAGCAATCCTCCTGCCTGGGCCTCCCAAAGTGTTGGGATTACAGGCATGAGCCACTGTGCTGGGCCAGTGCTAACTTCTGATACCTTTTTGGTCAACGACCTCTCTGGATTTTTTCCCCACTTTCCTGGTTGCTCCGTTGTGATCTCTTTCCCAGCTCTTCCTCCCTGACCTCAGGGCTCCTGTGGGGTCATCTCTTCTGACTGTGTAGTCTTATTCAGGCCAACCCAACCCACACTTCAATCACCACTCAGGCACTAACACCTCTTCCTGGCTCCTGAATTATTATATACGCAACGACCACGTACATTTCAGTTGGGAGAATCTCCTAGTCAACATCCACTCTGCAAATGCATTCTTCTGCCAGGTCCCTCCTGTCCCAGCTATTCAAGCTGGGACCCCAGGGGTCCACCTTAATTCTTCCATCATTCCCACAGCCAATCACAAGGTTCTCAACCTCTCATAAGTCCAACGCTTTCTTCTCGAACTTATGCTCCCATGGGCGTCCTCACCAGCATCGCAACTGGGGTGCAAGGGGCTCCTGTCTGCGGCCTTGCCCGTCACTTCCCTGCAGACCTCTTCACACAGCAGCCAGGGCCCCACTGAACACGGCATCTCTGATCATGTCACACCACCGCTCAAAACCTAGCACCTCTCCTGCTCCCTTATGTCCCAGCATCCAGCCCATCACCGAGTGCTGTGGGGAGTGCTCTGACACACTGTCTCCACTCACATCTGGATCCCCATAGCCACTTGCCTAAGCTCTTACCAGAACCTCCGATTTGGTTCCTATGCCCACCCCACCGCCCTCCATGCCGCTGTGGGTTGCAGATACAGAAGCCACTCATGCTGGCCCCTCGTTCAGACCGTGGTGCACCCCCTCCTACCTCCCCCCAGCAGCTCCCAGGCTGTCAGGTCCAGATCTGAAGGACGACATTCATGCGTGGGACACATTCCTGTGCCGGACTCCGAATTCTCTGAAACCCAAAATGTTGCAGGGGGCGGGGGCACAGTGTTCCAGGGCCCCATGCTCACCACCCTCTGCTTAGAGACAGGTAAGGCTGGGGCTGACTGAGGGGAGAACCTTGCCTCCGCTCCAGCAGAGAATGACTCATCGGCAAGGGTTGGTATCTAAGCATCACCACTGCAATTTCCTTGAAAGATGCCTTAAGGCCCAACTGGGACACTTCGCTGTGTCTCGGCCTGGGTGGAGAACCTCGGCCTGTGGCTGATCCCAGCCTCCTGGCACGGACTCAGACCTCTGCACTGTCTCCTGCCCCTCCACCTGGCTTCAGGCCCCGCTGGTCCCACAGCCCCAGGGCGGCCCTGCCTGCTCTCCAGGCCCTCACACCTGTGTGCGTGCCACCTGCTAGCACTGCCTTTCCACCTTTGTCCTCTGCAAGCCTCTTGCTCTCCGGGCCTCAGCTCCCCTCCAGAGAAATGAGGCTAATAATTCCCATCCTCAAGGGGCTGTCAGAAGGATTAAAAGCTACGAGGCACTTAGAGCAGTGACTGCCCCACGGGAAGTACAGTGTTAGGTGTTGGCTGTAATTACATCTGTTCCTTCACGTATTCAACCAATATTAACACACTGGCTTCTGGGGATACAGCAGTGAACAAAACGGAGAAAAATCCCTGCCCACAGAAATGCAGGACGTAGATTCTATGAGGACAGACCAAGCAGGAAAAAATAAAAAAAACTAGGCCCAGCACAGTGGCTCCTGCCTATAATCCCAGCACTTTGGGAGGTCAATGGGGGAGGATCGCCGAAGGCCAGGAGTTTAAGACCAGCCTGGGCAGCATAGTGAGACTACCTCTCTACAAAAAATTTAAAAAATCAGGTCGGCGTGGTGGCACGCACATGTAGTCACAGCTGCTCAGGAGTCTGAGGTGGGAGGATTGCTGGAGCCTAAGAGTTCAAGGCTGCAGTGAGCCATGATTGCACTGCTGCAATCATGGACAGGCCCCGAGAGGCAGCCTACCCTTTCTGCTGCACTCCATCCTGGGCTATAGGGCGAGACCCCATCTCAACCCGCCCCTGCCCCCGCCCAAACCAGAAAAGAGCTAAGAAAATTCTAGGATACACCAGAGCCAGGAAGCCCCCAGGGCAGAACAGCAGGGAGTAGGGATGTGTGTGTGTGTGTGTGTGTGATTTCAAACCTGGAGGTCAGGGAAGGACTAAGAGGCGACAATGGGAAGGAGACCCGACGTTGCGGGACCGGAGGTTCTATTTGTGGGCCAAGCTAAAGATGAGAGCCTGGATGTGCTCCTACTGTAGGTTGTGGTGAGCTATCTGGTGGTAGTGGTGGGTGCCAGTCCCCTCTTGTGTGCAGGCCTGGGGTTCACAAAGGGAAATAAGGCAGGATTCTAGACATGAGAAAGGCCCAGGAGAGAGGGGCACCTGTGAGGTCCACGCAGCAGGGTGGGAGGGACCAGCGCACGGTCAGCTCCAACCAGGGCTTCATGGGCGACATGGATGGGCAGAGAGAAAGCAGCAGAAACGGTGAGCTGCCTCTCAGGGCCTGTCCATGAAGGTCAGACCTGCTGGTGAGAGCCACTGAGGGTCCCAAGCCCTAGGATTCTCAGGGGCCCTCAGGTGTGGACTTTCCTTGGCATGTTCCTGGCAGAAGGCAGGCAACAGGCACCCTAAACAAAGGCCCCACTGTCCGATGGGCCTGGGACATGCTGGGTTGGGCCATGCTGAACAGGTAGCTTCAGAGCAGTACTCCCCGGAAGCACAGGTGTCCGAAGGCTGCAACTTCCTGGGAGTCGGACGTTGTTAAGAGTTTCCCAAATTCACTGGCTCTCAGAATCCCTTTATAGACAGGCACCCCCAAAGCTCCAGAGGCTCAGCGTCCACTCTGGAAACAGTGCTCTGGGATGTGCCCAGTGAGCAGACAGAGGGGGCTCCTGGCGGTCTAGAGCATTCTCTGCAAGAACTGGGGGTCAGGGAGCTGTTACCACAATTCCAAATTCCACGCTGCATGAAAATCCCCAAGCCTCAAAAGACCCTACCACTCAGACACAACTGGTGCTAACCTTCCAGAGTGCAGCCTTACAGATCTTTCCCCTCTAAATACCTGTAAATACTCGTTAGGTTCATCTAGACTCATTGTCATACCCCTTTTTCATTTTACAACACATTATGAAGTTTCTTTATCTCAATTAAGCACCCCCCCCACTTTTTTTTTTTCCCTTGAGACGAAATCTCACTCTGTCGCCCAGGATGGAGTGCAATGACGTGATCTTGGCTCACTGCAAACTCCGCCTCTCGAGTTCAAGTCCTGCCTCAGCCTCCCAAGTAGCCGGGATTACAGGCATATGCCACCATGCCCGGCTAATTTTTGTATTTTTAGTAGAGATGGGGTTTCACCACGCTGGCCAGGCTGGTCTCGAACTCCTGACCTCAGGTGATCCGCCCACCTTGGCCTCCCAAAGTGCTGGGATTACAGGCGTGAGCCACCGTGCCCAGGCTCAATTAAGTCTTTTTCCATGATTTTTAAAGGTAGCAAAGACAAGACATCACCATGAACTGCTCTTCAATTGTTAGACATTTGGGATGCTTCTGATTTTTTGCCATGTAAAGCACTGTGATGAACATCTGGAAAGACAGATCTCTGCACCCGCCTTACTCAATCCCATTGGTTTAGTTCCTGGAGTATACAGCTGGAGTCAAGGGCATCCACTCTTCAAAAGCTTTTTATATACATTGTCGAAAGGCCCCATGGAGGTGTTTACAGTTCATCATCAGTGTGGGCACTGTACCTATCCCGGTACTTTAACCAAAATTGGGTATTTTTACTTAACAAATCCTTGCCAATGTGCTACATCTTCTGAGCCTTTCCATTCTTGAGAAAATACAGCAGGCTGGACAACAGATGGGTTTGAATCCTGCTTTGGGACTTGCTATTTCTGTGACCTCAGACAAATGACTTGACCCTTCAGGCTCCTCAATTCCTCCCCTTTAAGTGGGGCCCACAGGGGCACCAACTACTAGGGTTGCAGAATGAAAAGACAGCGCATGGGAGGGTTTGGCACCGGGCTGACACAGACCACACATTTAGCAAATGCGTGCTTGGTATCGCCTCTTTCTCCTGAATTGTCAAACTCTGCCTTTTCCCTTTGTCCCTGTCCATCTGCTCAGGTGGTCTTGCTCAGAACAAACTGGCCCACACCTCCCCTGCACTGGCCTCCCTTTCCCACCCCCCATCCGCACTCACATGCACAAGCTCATCTCAGACAGGACCTGCGACCTCCGATTTGCCAGGTATCATGGTCCCCGCAAGCCACGGATGGCTTTCCTTTTAAAGCGACCTTCAGACGCACGGTGGAAACAACTGCAGGCATTTTCCTTAATGGATGTTCTAATATTTCTCAGATTCGTGCTTTTAAAAAAGCTCTTACTTTTAAAACTTTTTGATAGAAACACACTTCAAATAACTGCTTCTCTCTTCGAACTTCATTTCACCACACATTTGAAAGTAAAACTTAAACATTCAAACATAAGGAGGTACTTTAAAGAAGAACCTCAAGATACCTGGAGAAGAACCCCTTCCCTCACCCGCAGGACAGGCTTCCAGAGAGGCCGCAGACAGACTTTTGATCTCTCCCCTGCCTGCTATGCTGCTGAGTGGACTCTTGGAGGGGGCGCTTCCTTTCCCTTTTGTCTGGAGCAGTCCTGGGCTCCTGTCTCCCTTCCCGGCCAAGCCGACCCTGGCTGGCCTCCTCCCTGCTTTGCCTCTATTCCAGTATGTTCAAAATGGTCTGGCCAGATCCATCTCCCCAAGTGGAGCTCAGGGTCCATCTCCTTCCTGCTCTAAAACTCCAATGATGTCTCTCTGCTTACAAATGAAGAACAAAGCTGGAAAAAGTTTCACTTGGCACTCACACTCCAACTAGCTTCTACTGGTTTTCCAGCCCAAAAAGCATCTCTAATCCTACAACCACCCAGAGAAGCTCTCCTCAAGCCACTCCCTTTGCTCACAGTGATTCCTTCGGCCCCTTCCCTGTACAAACCCTGCCCATCTCCAGAGCCCTGCTGACACGACAGCTCCTGCATGGGTGGCAAGACCGCCGCATGCCCCCGATGGCTCTCCCCAGCGCTTAGCTCCATGGTCAGCAGGTTGGTGCCTTGTCCAGTGCATTTCAGGCTTCAGGATGGCAGGACCCACCACGCCATGCACGTTTGACTCCTGGGCAGCACCCAGCCTGGTACCAGCACCTCTTACCTTGTTTGAACTGAACTTCCTTCTCTTCAAAACACTACTTAACAAAAAAAATCTGAAGGGAAGAAATTTACTGAATGTCTCCAATACTGTCTCTGGGCTGGGACTGCAACCATGAAAATAAGTCCCTACTCTCAAGATTATGAACAACAAAATGACTTTTTCAAAGGGAAAGTAATAGTATGGATTAGACAACGGAAATCATGAAATAAAACTGGGGTACTCGATGGCACAAAGCAGTAATTACAACTTCTATCAGTTCAATCAGAGGCTTTAGTGGGTAATGGATTTAAGACCAAAAAAAAACAAGACATCATTTGATGGCAAAACCCAGAACATATGATTGTGAATTTAAAAAAACAATACCCAAGAATCTCTAGGCAGGAATGAACCAATTATATTCTATTTTTATGAAAAAAAAAAAAAATCAACAAGTGATCACTGATTAAGCAAAAAGTAAGCCAGCTGCCACGCCTAGTTAATTTTTAATTTTCTGTAGAGACGGGTTCTCCCTGTGTTGCCCAGGCTCGTCTTGAATTCCTGGGCTTCCTAGATTTGGCACAGGCTGTGGGTGTGGGGTTGAATCCTTTGCACCTCAGGTATGACTGCTGCTCATCGGATGCCTAAGGCAAGGAAAGACTCACAGAAACGCACCCTGCAGCCAGGGGTGAGGCTTGTGTGGAAGGCACTCTGTTAAGGTAAAATCCAAACAAAATATCTCAATTTCCTAAAAGCAGTTAACTCTTATCTGCCAAACAGGACAGATGTGAGTCCCCTGCAACCCGGGCCTAGTGGGACCATGTGGTCTCCAGCTACACAGCGCCAGCCCCTGCTACCACCGCACACACTTACTCTGGGTCTCGCAGTCCACACAGTGGGAGTTCCCGCGCATGTTCCGGATCGACTGCAGGGCCATGGCCTCGCTCTGGCTCGTCAGCCGGGACTGGGCACGGAGGAAGACACAAATACAAGGCGTAAGCACCCCGGGAGAAACGCACATCACTGATAACATCAGGGAAAGATCAAACAGATTGGGAGCAAATGTAGGACGAGGGTAATTTCTAAACAATCACTCTTGTTTTGATGTCTTTGGGAAAGAGCATAACTGAAGAAGAAATCATCATGCATGGGGCGGGGGGAGGGAGGAAATGTCACATTTTAACTCATCAGCTGAGACGGACTCTGCCAGAAATGAGCAAAGAGGAGAGTTCTGGATCATCTGTGAATACGCATGGACCATGGTAACCTGGAGAAGGTAAATGGGTAACCTTCTGGGCAGTAGCCACATGTCTACTTGGTAAGAAGAATGAGAAAGAAATAATCCGTTTATAAGCCCAGGGTTAGGGCTTCATCAGCAATGTAAGACATATCTCATGGTTCCTTGTCAGAAAACCCCATTCATACCACACGTCACCCTGGGAGATGCACATGTCATCTGAAGACCCTCGGTTGCCACAGTGACAAAGCCACTCGCCAGGGTGGGGGCAGGGAGAAACACGAGTATAGCTGGGAGTGCTGATTCTTAACCTTACACTTGATGGCTTGCTTTATTTTTATTTATTTATTTATTATTATTATTTTTTGAGCCAGTGTCTCGCTCTGTGGCTGAGGCTGGGGTGCAGTGGTGTGATCATAGCTCACTGCAGCCTTGAACTCGTGGGCTCAAGTGATCCTCCTGCCTTAGCCTCCTATAGTGTTGAGATTACAGGTGTGAGCCACCACACCTGGCTCTATGGTCTTCTTTAAAAAGGATTTAAAAACATACATGCTCATTGAAGCAAGTTTAGAAAATACAGAGAGGGGAAAAAGAACATAAAATTAATAAACAATCATACGGCCATCCATAGTTAAGCATTATTAACATTTTGATGTCTGTTCTTTTAGCCTGTTGTTTAAGCACATCTACATACACATATGTACTTTAAAAAGCCAGCGTAATACATATTGCTGCATAGAAACCTGCCCTTTCCAGCCTAACGAAACTTGTTCATTGCTCACTGCTGTCACATACTCTCTGACATCATCATTTTAAATGGCTGCATAGCATTCCACTTAGTGAAGACCTACTTATCAAGTTCTCTTTGATGGACATTTAAGTTGCTTCCAATTTTTCTCTATCATAAACGATGCTGTAAGAACATATGATTGCTAAGTCTTGGTACACACTCATGATTATTTACTAAGAATAGATTCCTGGAAGTAGAAGTTCTAAGTGAAAGGATATGTACTGGATATGTACCTTTTTCCCCACCTAGAGAGAGGGTCTTGCTCTGTTGCCCAGGCTGGAGTAGTGCAATCATAGCTCACTGCAGCCTCCATCTCCTGGGCTCAAGTGGTCCTCCCACCTCAGCCTCCTGAGTAGCTGGAACTACAGGTGTGAACCATGCACCTGGCTATTTAAAAATTTTTTTGTAGAGACAATGGTCTCCCTATGTTGGCCAGGCTGGTCTCGAACTCCTTGCCTCAAGTGATCCTCCCACCTTAGCCTCCCAAAGCACTAGGAGTACAGGCGTGAACCATCGTGTCTGGCTGATATGTAGTGTTTTTGAGGCTTATTTATTAAGTATGCATTTAATATTATGGTTAAAGCAAAAATTGATCAATTTCAGAGGACAGTTACAATAAGCTTGATTTTTGCGTAAGAATTCTTCATAAATTGAAACATCTCATCAAATTGATGTGAAATAATATATTACTTGCTACATAATAAATTATAATGTATTAATCACTACTGTCTAATTAGCATCATGCGTTATTGAATTTTAATTCCCTTTGGTTAGATACCCAAGTATTCAAAATATGTTTAAACAGTTTACACTGGCATCTGGAATGCAAGTGTGTGATCACACACACACACACACACACACACACACATACAAAGGGATGTGCCTCTGTCTCTCTGTGTACCTGTATCATTTCTGTGGTTGGTTGGTTTGTCTGTCTGTCTAGCTATGCCTATACCTGTATCAGCTCTCAATTATCCACTGGCAGGTAAAATACTATAAAGCTGGTGGTCAACTGGGCCTGTATTTTTGCCTCCCGCTACTCCTTGTGGACAGTATTTCCATGTTTTATGCCCTCACACCTGTTCAACCAATGCCCACGATGACCAGCTCTGAGTCGGCCACCTTTGGTTGCTCAACGCGTCCTCCTCCCAAGGGAGCAATTCCCTGGAGAACAGGCGCCTAGTGAGGGCCGAGGGCAGCATTCTAAGGCTGGTGTGTGCATGAGCTGAGACACGAGTCAGGAGGAGCCTGGCAAGGTGTGGAATGGGAAAGGCTGCCACCATCCCAGATCTTCCTGAATTAGGTCGAGGTGGCAGGGGCTCAGAGTCTGCCGTGAAAGACTGTGATTTCTCCATGAAGGCAGGAACCTGTGCCTCTCTGTTCGGTAACACAGCCTGCCTCCCTGCCTTCCTTCTCAGAATGAGCTGCCCACGCTTGGAGGATGCTGTGTGCTGTTGCTTCCCATTGAGGTGGCCCCAAAGCACCCTGTGCTCGTTTCAGGAGGCACATCATGGATGCATGTGGACGTGACCCAGTAAAGCCAGGGTGTATGGAATGAAAGGCAGTGGTTCTCCCCACCTTGAGTATAAAACATCTTTTAAAAAGGGAAGCAAATTACATTATAATAATAATGACTGTGGTCTGGTTTACCCTGGTTAAAGAGGGTAATAAAATAAGACACTTCATCTTTCTGAAAGACAGACTCTCTTTTTAGTGACAAAGCTGCACATAAATCATAGGCAGAAATTTCTTTAAATGGTTACAAATGAAACTGCAGGTCGGTGGGTAACATCCTTTCTCTTAGTTTCTAGTTGATCATAGTCTGAAATATCAAAATGCTCTCCAAAAGTCTAAGACGTCCCAGCAAAGAGGTTAAAGACAAACAAACATTAAAATAATGAAACTGAAGCAATCCTTGATGGGAAAAAGGACTTTTGTAGAAGGAACATCACTGGGCAGTAGCCTAGAGAACACAGGTTAAGCCAGGCGTGGTAGCTCATGCCTGTAATCCCAGGACTCTGGGTGTCTGAGGCAGGTGGATCGCTTGAGCCCAAGAGTTTGAGACCAGCCTGGGCAACGTGATGAAACCCCACCTCCACAAATAATATATATTACATAAATAAATATACAAATAAATAAGCAAGCAAGCCAGGCCTGTAGTCCCAGCAACTCAGGAGGCTGAGGTGGGAGGATTGCTTGAGCTTGGAGGTTGCAGTGAGCTAAGATTGTGCCACTGTACTCCAGCCTAGGTGACAGAGATAGACTCTCTCCAAAGGAAAAAAAAATACAGGTTAAAATATTTTTCCTTTTCTAGCTAAGTAACTACAAAAAACAAATTGCCTCTCATTATTTTTTTAATATAGAAACATTTGGGGGTGGCGTTTTCTGGTGAGAACCAGAAAACCTGCTGGACAAATTCTAAAAGAGCTGCACCACCACCTCTAATTATTGAATAAAACACATACCAGGCTTTATCAGTTTAGATAATAGAAACTTTATCTTCCCAAACTCCCTGCACGCTCATACAGACCCATCTACTTTTCATTTATGTCCCTAACAAGAGACGGTTTTCCAACTTGATGTCGATTTGAATTCTGGGCATTTACTTGAACAGTGCATCTTTTAAGTCCGTCTCTCTTTTTTTCTGAGTGTATTCTGTCCAAAACAAAAATAAATGTGGACCCAGAAGCCACAAGAGTCCAAAAGATTCCCTCTGGGATTGGCTGACAGACTGAAGATTTAACCTTGGCTCTCCTGCCAGGGAAGCACGGTCAGGCTGGAATACTCATGTATGATGGTATAGACACAAAGTGCTTCTGATCGTTTTAGTTATTGAGCTTTCTGCTCATAAAGAATAGCTAGGTCCTGTCATTCACACTGGTCCTCTATTTTCTCCTCCCTGGGGCATTACTTGGGGCCCGCACTCCCCCTGAGCAGCCCCAGCCTTGGTTTTGGGCAGCCAGGGGCCTCACCTTGTTCTTGCTGCTCTCGCACGACTGCAGGCTGGCCAGGATCTGGCTCTCGATGGCTTGGACCCAGGCGTCCCGCTCCTCATACGTCGTGGCTTCAAAGTGCCATGTTTGGCCAGTGAGGGACACAATGATAAACTCAAAATTTTCTTCTTGTTCTGAAACACAGAGTGTGGGATGAAGAGTTTAGCTTTTATGAGACAGCAGTCCCCCTGCGGGCCCTCTGTCACAGAAGCGCCTCTGGGTTCAGCTGCCCCTGCATGGACCGGTGAGGCGCACGGCACTGGACAACCACGGCGGCGGAGATTTGAATCCATGCACCTCCCAACAGTCCAGATGTGGTTCCTAAGGCCAGCATGACTTAGCCAGGTTTCAATCAAGGCTCAGGGCACAAGGCCAGATGAAATCAACGAGTGATGTCAGCGTCTCTGTGTGGTGCACACACAAAGCAACTTAGGAGAATAACCATGTAACTCATGGCTGACCATCCTTATCTGTGGGACGAAAATTAAGTTAGGGCCGCTAATCTCCGGCTGCAGGGTTAATTTCTATCTAAGCACTCGCGTAGATCCACAGACACTCCATGGATAGAGGAACGCGGGAAGGTTCTGTTCTTTTATGGCAGAGGACCTGTTACCGTGGGAGAGGCATCAATTCCCACGTTTTCAGACAGGGAGAGTGCATGGGATCCCGCGTGCCTTAGGAGGATCTCAGCTGAGACAGGCCCCAGACTTGGTAGCTACTCTGGGGCCATGTCTGCAATGGGAAGAGAGGAACTTGGGGGTATACCCTGCGACCCCACCTGCCACATCTAAGTCTTTGGGCAAGTTCCTGGACTCCCCTGAGGTTCATTTTTTCTAACCCATAAAATGAAGGAAAAGGGCACCGACTGTCTAATGCTTTTCTGCTAGTTCCATGAAGTGTACAGACCCATGCGGACTTGGGACCTGGTCCATAGGAGACACTCCACAGATCCACGTCGGCCTCTGTTCATTATTCCTGTCCCTACTCCCGGCCCCCAAGTCCCCGCCAAAGGAGGAGGCACCACTGGCAAAAAGCATAACTAATTGCATACAACCACGAAGAACTGTTTTTGAGATGGAGTCCCACTTTGTTGTCCAAGCTGGAGTGCCATGGTGCAATCACAGCTCATTATATCTTCCACCTCCCAGGCTCAAGCGAGCCTGCCTTCGCCTCCTGAGTAGCTCGGACTACAGGTGTGTACCATCACACCTGGCCAATTGTTAGACATTTTTTGTAGAGATGGTGTCTCCCTAGGCTGGTCTCAAACTCCTGATCTCAAGTGATCCTCACTCCTTGGCCTCCCAAAGTGCTGAGTGACAAGTGTGAGCCACTGCACCAGACCCTCATTAAGAAATCTTCAACTAGGTTTTCAGACACAACATCTCATTTGACTCAATGTTTCCGGGCCCTGGCCTGTGAACTAGCTGCATTATAATCCCCTGGCGAGCAACTATTATTAGTACTGACTTTCACCTACCTGCCTGCCAACCACTTTACTTATCTCTGTCACCAGCCCGTGGCCATTGGGCTGGCTCATGTCTACTGCACGGACCTCTGATCTTCCAGACTCTTGGTCCCTCTAGCCCAGCTTCCAAGCACGGCTTACTGACCTCACCTAGACTGGCTCTCCCAGGCCCTTCCTCACAATGCGCCTGCAGCCTGGGACGTGAGGACGTGCCACCCCACTCACCCTTTCCCCACTCCTTTCTGGCTGGGTGGATATGCAGCCCTCTTTGTGGCTGAGAGATCCCTTCCACCTGAGCAGCCCAGTGATGCTCCCAAGCCCCACTCCCAGGGGTGTGGGGACAGCACCCAGCCAGAGAGGGCCCATGGCCTCCACCAGCCCCTCAGTGGTCTGTGACTCCCTAGGTGCTGACAGCCACTGTGCCCTGGGCATATTCTGGGGGCTGCAGGAAAGTGCTGTGATGCACGTGCTGAGTGGAGGTCGGGCCTGAGGCCCTGGCTGGTTAGCCCCGCTTGGGGTGTCGGCACTGAGACCCACCCTGTCCTTGAAAGGGACCGATACGGGCTGGAGTGGGAGGGGAGAGAAGAGTCTTTGGAGGAAGCCCTCAGCTGGCCCACACGGTATGGGGGTGTCCTTTGTGCTCTCAGTCACCCTGGTTCCCGATTTCTGGAGAGCTGGTGACAAGAGGTCAGGATGGGAGGGTCTGGTTGCTCAGGAATTTTATCCCAATCTACTGGGCTCTTGAATTTGGAGAACAAATGACCACCCCACCCCCGCCACCTGTGTATTTATGCAGAATGAAACACTCCACCTGCTGTGGAAAGAGGGGTGGGGGAGGAAGGTGGGGGTCAGGGTGTCTGCAGGTCATGCCTTCAACAACGACCTTAAACACTCAGGGACTTGGAGATTTCATTAAAAAAAAAAAAAATCATTGTAACTGTAACTTTCACATAGGTTTCACCATGGCTGACTTACAATGATATCGTGCAAGTACTGGCTGAGCCATTGCATCTGTGGGTCTTGGTCCAGCTTCTTGATCCATGGGCTTTTAAGTCCTAGTACTATGATTTACAACCTTTTCCATACAGATTCTCATAGGATAGTGCCCCAATTCATGTATTTTATGCAAAACTCTCCTAGTGAACAGATAGGTAAGGTATGAAAAAACTACATAACTCACAGTTAGATCATAAGGAAAACTTGGTAATTCATAGGTGGGATGTGACAATTTTTCATTATGAGATCAACTCGACAGGCTCACACTTTGTTTAATCTGTGAAATTCAAATGCATGTATCAAAGCTCCCTCTGATCAGCATTTATTGGATCTTCTAGTGAAAAAAATTACAACCATTAGCTTCCCGGTTAAATTTCTGCACAACTGGTCCCCTGTAAAGCTTTCCTGCTCAAATGTCTGGCTCTAGCCAGTCATGAGCTACAGTCACTGGAACTAAGGCTAAGAGCTGAGCTTGTATTACACTGTATGGGTGCAGGGCTCGGTCACTGTGGTCCTCAGCTGCCCTCCCCAACGTGCTAGGCACTGGGCTGGGTGGAAGGGATTCCAGCATGCAGGAGAAGCCTGTGCCCTCTAAACGTGTCTACGTGGTGAGGACGGGCACACACTCAGGCAGATGACTGAACACAAAGTGATAAAAACAATGGAAATCTGAATGAAGCTCCAAGGGAACGTCTCTATTTTTTGCCTCATCCCAACGCAGTAGCTGCTATCTGGTATCTTGCACTGTAATACTCTCAGTATCTCATGCAAAGACAAAACTTGCAAATTAAATTGCTAAAGCGCAGTTTGGCTCTGCCCGATTAATTATGTAAACAAATTTTACCTATGCATGCAAACTCTACTTAGGGGAACAAATACATGTAAGTGTTCACAGGAACATCAGAACCCATTTCGAGCTAATTTCTAAATGTGCTCCCTACAGTGGCTGTTCTATGGCTTCATCACTCACTCTATTTATTTATTTTTTGAGACAGAGTTTCGCTCCTGTCGTCCAGGCTGGAGTGCAATGGCATGATCTCAGCTCACTGCAACCTCCGCCTCCCAAGTTCAAGCGATTCTCCTGCCTCAGCCTCCCGAGAAGATGGGATTACAGGTATGTGCCACCATATCCGGCTAATTTTGTATTTTTAGTGGAGACAGGGTTTCACCATGTTGGCCAGGCTGGTCTTGAACTCCTGACCTCAGGTGATCCGCCCACGTTGGCCTCCCCAAATGCTGGGATTACAGGCATAAGTCACTGCACCTGGCCGATCACTCACTTTAAAAATCTATCCCACCACCTGTCTTCTCCGTATACTGGACAGAAGAAAGTTCCCTTGTCTAGTATCTTCTATGTCACTCAACATTTCTGTCTCTCCTTTCAGCTCCTGGTCCTTTCCTCCCGTCTCTCTGCATCCTTTACCTGGTCCCCTCATACCTTCTTGCGGACCTGGATTTGGCATGGTTTCCTCACTCTCTTGCAAACTTCATGTCCCCCTTCTACAGACCTCCTGCACTCACTTCCTGATCTCACTCCATCCTTGAGAGAGATCATCACCTCTTTTCTTCATCCTTCACTCACACAATCTGCAAAGCAGACACGTGCACGCGTGCATCCAGCTCTTTACCACCCTCTCTTTTCTAATAATGCTTCCCCATCATCCACCTGATTGAAACCTCACTCTGTAAGATTACAGATCAAGGAACAGCCAGGGGCCATGGGCTGTGCTTAGTCTTCTTTCTCACTGACCCCCCTCTTTCTGGAGCACCTGACGTTGCTGATGGGCACCACCATCTTGCAATATTTTCCCCCTTAGTCTTCTGAGATGCTTGATCACCCTGAAGACTCACCCAGATGTGAGCAAGGCTTTTATCAGGGTGAATGAAAGAGATGTGAATAGAGTTATATGGATTCACAGCTAAGGGGTACTAAGCAGCATAAACTAGCAGAAGGTCTGCAGTGGTCAACCATGGAACTATTACCTCTGTCTTGCCTCATTCAATATTCAATGTTTTATCAATGACTTGGATAAAGACATATAAAGTCTGCTTACCAAATTGTGAAAGCAAAGAGTTTTGGGGGATAGCAGATAAACTAGGGTTTTATCCCCATCCCCAAGGTCTAAAAAGAGGAGGATCTCTTAGCTGAACTGACAACTCAAATGGTCAAATGCATGACTAGAATTCCTTCTCTTGGACCCCAACAGCAGGTGAGGTTTGGGAGAAGATTTTGCTTCCCAACTACAAATATGAAAAGGCTGAAGGACTGCAGTGAACGGCAGGCCCAGAACGAGGCTCCCAGTGAAAGTGAAGGCTGTGAGTGTGTCACCCACAATGGTGGGGAGGTGGTCCTGTCTCTATCACTCAGGGTGGTGGCCAGCAGGCACCACAGAGAGAGCCCAATGCCAGGGACTGCTCACTGGGGACTCTGAGCACAGGGAACTTCTGTCTGATGGAAGAGGGATGACACCTGTTCTGGGTGCCCTGGAGTCAACCCAGGACAGAAAAAAATGATGGAGACCCTGCAAGTGGAAGATTCTGTCCCCCTCACAACTATCCAGAGATGGGGCTTGTGGGTTCTGCTCCCTGGGGGTTTCAGGCCCTTGAATGTGGCCCTTTCAGAGGAGACTGGTGGGAATTCAGCGTCTCACACATGATTGGGAGGGCCCTTGCAACTCTGAGATCCTATGGGAGTGATGCAAGATAGCTGAGAACTATCTTGCATTTGTGTTCTCAATGAAGGCAGCTTTGAGCAGCTGCAGAGAATCCTGTGTTGAGATCTCCAAGGCTGGCTCCAGGCTCCTGGAGAAGGATCTGCGATCAGCTAGCAATGTCTACCCCAGGGCAAGGAGGGGTGCCCGTGGCGTGCCTGCCATCTTCTCACTGTGCAACTATAGTTCTCTTTCGAGCTTTCTGATCACTGCTTCTCTTTCTCCTCCCTGGTTCCTCTGCATGTGGCCTTTAGTGAAGGCAAACTTCAAGTTTAGTTAATGTTCCTCCTTCCTCCTCCCTCCTTCTTAGGGGTTCCTTTCCTTCCGAAGCTTAGAGAGTCACTTCCTACAGACATGTACAGTTCTCATACATATATCTCCAATTCATATATCTAATCAGTTTTGGATTTTAAAATGCCTGTGGATGTTTCTCAAAAACTTTGTCCTCATATCAAATTTAACATGCATCACATAGATTTGCTAGCATTTTCAAATGCTCCTCTTGGGGTTCTGTATTTCTGTTAATGATTACAATGCTATTCTAATCATAAAATCTCAAAATCACCTGGATTCCTCCCTCTCCCTCTTCCCACTTTCATCTCATCAGTCACAGCCCTGCTTAGCAATATCTGCCAATCTGTACCCTTCCACTTCCTTCTACTTTCAGCCCTTGCCTGACTGTGAAATTGGTTCTGGCCCACCTTTAACACTTCGCTGAGTTTACTGTGTAAGAAGTTTGTGCTGTCGCTCTCCTCTCCAACACTTAAGCATTTCTCCCTTGTTCCTGGGGCCTGGCTTCCCCTCCAAGCTGACTGCATCACAACACAGCAGTCCACAGTGAGGCATGATCTCAAGAGGACCCTCCTTCTCCTTCCCCAAATCAAATACACGAGGTGAAACTAGAATTGTGAGCCTAAAGTGCTAAAAACCTGCAAAAGTGAAGGCTACCCTGAGGGGCAAACACCTTTGGTAGCACAACAGATAAGGTCCTAAGATAGGAAACATAAACCCAGGGTCCAGCACCTGGCAATCCTGCAAGGAAAGGAGCCGGGAGGCCCCAGGTCTCAGAGCTCCCTTGGCTTCTGGTATCTTCTCTACAGGAAAGCTTCCCATGGACGGAGACCAACTACATCTGAACTCAAAACCAGAGATCACCCAACACACTGCAAACAAGACAGCAGATTTAGATCCAAAGTATTACTGATACAGGCTGGGCATGGTGGCTCACGCCTGTAATCCCAGCACTTTGGGAGGCTGAGGCTGGTGGGTCACCTAAGGTGTCAGGAGTTCAAGACCAGCCTGGTCAACATGGTGAGACCCCGTCTCTAGAGACAGATTGCTCTTAAACAAATATCAAGACGATCACAGACTTCTTAAGAGTAACAGTGAGAGTCGCCAGATAGTGGAATGATATCCTCAAGAGAAAATAACAGTGTAGACTTGAGATTCAGATAAACTCTCTCTCAAGAACAAGAGTGAAACACAGGCCAGGTGCAAGGGATCATGTCTGCCAACTCAGCACTTTGGGATGTGAGGTGGCAGAATCACTTGAGCCCAGGAGTTCAAGACTGGTCTGGGCAACACAGTGAGACCTCATCTCTACAAAAAATTTGAAAATTAGCCAGGCATGGTGGCTTGCACCTGTAGTCCCAGCTACTTGGGAGGCTGAGGTGGGAGGCTCACTTGAGCCTGGGAGATGGAGGCTGCAGTGAGCTGTGACCACACCAATGTACTCTAGCCTGGGTGAAAGAGTGAGACCCTATGAAAGAAAAAACAGAAAAGAGCAGAGAAGAAAAGAAAGGAAGAGAAAAGAAAGGGAAAGAGAAAAGAAAAAGAAAAAGAAGGAAAGAACAAAATATATTTTTCTGCAAAAACACCCAAAAGTGCTTATTACCAATAGACGTCCACTAGGGAAATTACTAAATGATATACTTCAGGGCCAGGCACAGTGGCTCACACCTGTGATCCCAACACTTTGGGAGGCCGAGGCAGGTGGATCATCTGAGGTCAGGAGTTCAAGACCTGCCTGGCCAACATGGCAAAACCCCATCTCTACTAAAATACCGAAAAAAAAAAAAAAATGGCTGGGTGTGGTGGCACGCACCTGTAATACCAGCTACTCAGGAGGCTGAGGCAGGAGAATCACTTGAACCTGGGAGGCGGAGGTTGCAGTGAGCCGAGATCACGCCACTGCACTCCAGCCTGGGTGACAAGGAAAGACTTCATCTCAAAAAAAAAAAGAAAAAAGGATGTATTTCAGGAAGATCCTAGAAGGCAGGTTTGTGAAAGACAGGTTGGTGAGCAAATGAACTGATAAATATGTAAACAAAAAAAAAAAACTAAATAAAAACAATACCGACTATGACTGCTAATGACAATGTCTACCATGGGAAAGGTCAAAATGCTGGAGAACGTGAGAGTAGCGGTGAGGACATGGGAGTTACGATGTCATAGGGCCTTGTACTGCTCTACTGGGAGAGGTAAGGACTCACTTCACATGTTGGTAAGTAAATTAAGTCCATGTGGTAAACCTCTGCAAGAAAATAAGTAGAATGTCCAATTTCTCAACCAGAAGAAAGAAAAAAAATCAATAAGAGAAAGAAGCATGATTAAAACTCCTTAGCCAACGAGGAATAGAAGAGGACTCCATTACCTTGGACAGAGATAATCTATCCCTAAACCCCACAATGTCACTAATCCTAAGGGTGAGATGTCAGAAACATACCTTTGAACACTCAGTTACAGGATGCTCAAGACAAGGACACCCACTGTAACTGCTTTTTTCCATCCCTGCTACCCAGTGTATTAAGTCAAAAATAAGGGAATGAAAGACCGAGAGATTGGAAAGGAAGATAAAGACATTCACATGGTATATGACTGTCTTCATAGAAAACCCCAAATCACCTACAAATTATTAAAAATCATAACAGCAGTTGGCAAATGGGCAAGATATAAGATGAATACAAAAATATTAATTGCAAAATGTACACTAGCAAACAAAAATCGTATTTAAGCATGCCTTCACAAATAATAGACATATATTTCTATCTCTGAGGTAGCAAAGTAGAGATACAAAGACTTGTGAATGAGCTAAATACTTCCCTAAAAGTAAGAACATAAAGGACCACTTGGTATCCGCAGCCACTCAGAAGAGGTGGCAAAGAGAAGGCTTTACACTTTGCCTGGAGGTGACGGATTAACCAGAGCCTGAGGGTGGCCTGCTCAGGTTCAGGTCTCCTCTCCCGGAGAATGAAACCCAGGCTAATTGGCTAATTACCATGAAACACCAACAAGGCCCAACAGAGTAAAGAGGAAACAGATGCAAGACACCCTGTGACCCAGGCTGATGGGCACCAGCTTCAGGTAAAGGCATGGATTGGGAAGGTCAGCCCCATGACAGACCCTGCTGACCGTGGAAAGCACAGCTAAGCTTCACATCCTAAGGACCAACTGCAACCCCAGACTCACTTAAGATATTCTTTTCTTGAGGGGGAGTCCCGTGCAATAACTCTAAACCTGGAAAAGCACAGGACTATACAAATAATGAAGAAATAAAGACACGAATCGCAATCCCCGGGACCAACAGCTCTGTGATAGTGTGGTGGGCAGGAAGCTGTGCCATCTCTGTGATCCTTGGGTATGGTCTGTCTCTGACGTGTATGTAGCATGCACAAAGGCCCTGTGATCACAGGGCAGGTCTAAACGCCACGCTTTTCCCTGTGAGTAGCAGTTCACCATGTAGTGAGACGCCGATGAACAGCTCTTTGGGGTTTCTGTTCTGTTTTGACCAGATGGTTCATCCTAGCCCTGGAGAAGCACAAGATGGCCCCCTCTGTCTCGTCAATGCGGGGTCCAGCATCAGCTCCCAAATCAAGAGGCAATGGCGCTGCTGACCCTGGGCTGGCCTCTCCCAGGCAGGCTGTGCTGATGGGGACCAGGGCTGAACTGTGATGCAAACATCTGGGACACCTGGAGGGGAGAGGCTCAGTCTGCCCTGGGGGAGGCAGGGCAGAGGCGGGAGATGGAACCCTACATGCTCAGCGCAGAGGTGGGCACCGGCGGGAGGACTACCCTGTGTCTTCTTTTGGATTTTCAGGCCCTGAAATTTACGACAAGGGTCCGAGCAGCTGGACCTTGCTTCCTGAGGAAGGATTAACATCTGAGCACAGAGCCTAATTAAGGCCACTCTACACCAACACTGCCGAGTGGAATCCAGCTATGCTAGGCCCATGTGTTTCCCAGGATCCTGTCTTTAGGTGGCTTCATTTTTTATTTTGAGGGAGGGTAATAGGTGAATACCCACACGTAGAGTTTCAGATCTAATTTATATCTGCCATATGACTTTTCTCTGCCTCCCAAGATTAAAAAAAATAAGTACAAGGATTATAGAGCAACTGCATAGTCATGTTACAACTTCCAGGAAGAAATCTGTTTATCCATAACAAATCTACTGCATGGAGTAATAAACATAGAAAATAATACCACTGGGCTCCAAATTCTGTCAGGCACAACGCCAGGACTTTACAGCCATTTTTGCTTGTAATCATTTTCCTCTCTTAAAGTGGCAGTACTCTTCCTCCATTTCCTAAAAACAAATTAACATTTAAAAAAAGGAGCTCTCCTTGGGAATCAAAGACGGCATAGGGGCTGGAAGGGTCTCCTAGTGGCTTTCCGTTATCTTCTCCTATTCCTCATGCCAAGAGAACAAGATGGTTGGGCCTTTTGAAACTAGCTTCCCCAGAAATCCCTCAACAGTTTGTCTTACTGTCCTTCTTTTAATTTTTATTTTTTTCTGAGATGGAGTCTCGCTCTGTTGCCCAGGCTGGAGTGCAATGGCATGATCTCAGCTCACTGCAACCTCCCCCTCCCAGGTTCAAGTGATTCTCCTGCCTCAGCCTCCAGAGTAGCTGGGATTGCAGGCGCCTGCCACCACGCCCAGCTAATTTTTGTATTTTTAGTAGAGCTGAGGTTTCGCCATGTTGGCCAGGCTGGTCTCGAACTTCTGGCCTCAGGTGATGTGCCTGCCTCAGCCTCCCAAAGTGCGGGGATTACAGGCATGAGCAACCGTGCCCGGCGTGTCATACTTCTTTCTAACTGATGTCCAGTCACACAATCAGGTCAGTCTGGTAAATGCTGGGGGACATGGTACACAGAGGTGGTGGTCCTCTGGGCCTTCCACGTGCCACCTGCCGGGTGTCTGGCTCCCTGGCCAGCACAGGGAGCAGGGATGGCCCCATCTATGTTGGCCAACTGGAGCACGTGATGTCCCTGGCCACTCTGATCAGTCCTGGTGGGGGCACATGATCAAGTGTCTTCCAGGGTTTCACATCTGAGTTGTGTCCATAGAGTGCCTTCCCCTCTTATCTGGGACCTGTCAGGACATGGCCCACAGGTGCAGGTGCAGGTGCCTCTGCCCTCTCCATGGGAAGGAAAACTTCTGTTATCAGGCCACTCCCTGTGGACAGGTATGAATGCTGCTGCCCAGCAGAGTGAAGCCAGGGATGGGAGGTGGCAGGGAGCCTGGTGCCTCTGAGGTCCCTGAAGCTCCTGCCTGTCCTACAGTTCGTTACATAAGACATCCATCCATCCATCCATCCATCCATCCATCCATCCACCCACCCGAGAAGGAGTCTCCCTCTGTCGCTCAGGCTGGAGTGCAGTGGCACCATCTCAGCTCACTGCAACCTCTGCCTCCGGGGTTCAAGTGATTCTCCTGCCTCAGCCTCCTGAGTAGCTGGGATTACAGGTGTGAGCCACCACGCCCAGCGTCTCCTTTTTTTAAAACTGGATTTCTGGTGTTACTAAACCTAGTTCTGACTAATCCAGTAGAGAAGATCTATCCTGGTGGTGATCTCCTATGTGCTGCTCTGGTGACTTTATTAGGTCAACACCTAGCAAATCTCAAGATTTAATCCGTGTTTAATCCGTGTTTACACTTCGGTGGCATTGCAGTGACCATTTACGCTCATTATGTAAACAGTGAATAGATTTTTGGACCCAATTTCCCTTCTTCTGTGTGGAGAGAACAGGAACATGCTCCTCCTAAGGTTCAAAGAAGAATTTTTAGCAGATGATAGAGCCTTATTCAAATCACCGATGGCCCCGAAGGGCTGCAGCACATTACGAAGTGACACGGTGATGACATTTTACTTATGAGCAACTAGATTAAAAATGATCAAAACAGTAATTGGCAGCGTGAGGCCCATCAGTCAGAGACAGAGCCGAGCATTACTCTCCACTGCCACCCTCACTTCAAACGTGCAGAACGAGCATGTGCCTGTGAGGATGCCCTGTTCGGAGCTTTCACTTTTAGTGGTGTCATTTCACTAATACAAACTACCTATTTGTGACAATTGCAGTGGCTTCTATTTCATTCACTGTAAAAACAGATTTCAGGTTGTAGAAGCTCCTGATGGTATATCTATTAAAAGCATGTTGAAGTTTCAGATACACACACAGACAGCAAAATTAATCCCCCTGTTCCTGAAAAATCAAGATGCCACCACACCCCAAAGCCTGAAGTAACAGACGGTGTACTGTTTCCCAGTGTGACATTCCAGGGCTTAGCTGTTTAATAAAGTTTTGTGATTGGGCTCACAGGGATTTAAACAGTTTTCTGTGTTTAACAGTTAGCTGTGGAAAGGTCCACTATAATAGTATTTTAGCACCATGAACCTGTCGAAATCAACCTGCCCAATTATTCCAAACGACATTAATAACACCGGATATTACACTAATTGTGTCCAGTTTCTATGCAGACAAGGCCCCATGGGGCTAATTTTGCCTCCTTAGGGGCAAGAAACTCAGCCATCAGACTGATTTCACAAGGAATCCCTCCTCATTACATGAATCCGGGCTGTCAAACTTTTTTTTTCTTAAAGGTTAATGGGCCAATCCGTCATCAATTATTTTTTTGCGGAATTCTAGCAGACAAAGGGTTAAAGGGCTAAAAGCAGCTGAAAACCGTTTCACATTTGGAAGTTGCTTTCAACAGGAGGCATCTGACAAGGATGCATGGGGGAGAAGTGGGTGCGAGGGGAGGGAAGGAGGGAGGCACAGAGGCACACACAGGTCTCAGGGAAAGGGTCTGGGGAAAAGGACAACTGCACTGTGCTCTTGCAAAGGCCAAGAGGACCTGGATCTGTGCCCCGAGCTACGATGAGAAATGGCTCAAAGCTGTTGATGGGGCCGGGCGCAGTGGCTAATGCCTATAATCCTAACACTTTGGGAGGCCAAGGTGGGTGGATTGCCTGAGCTCAAGAGTTTGAGACCAGCCTGGGCAACATGGTGAAACCCCATCTCTACTAAAATATAAATTAAAAAAATTAGCTGGGCGTGGTGGTGTGTGCCTGTAGTCCCAGCTACTTGGGAGGCTGAGGCAGGAGAACTGCTTGAACCCGGGAGGCGGAGGTTGTAGTGAGCCAAGATCACACCACTGCACTCCAGCCTGGGTGACAAAGTGAGACTGTCTCCAAAAAAAAAAAAAAACAAAAAAAAAAAACAACCAACCACAAACTACTGATGGGTGCAGGTGCAATGCCGAGATGTTTCTCTTCTGAATAGAAAAGGGCTCAAGGAGGATGCAGAAGTCACTTACTCCAAGTTCTTCAATGACCGGATGAGAATCTGGGTCCTGGGGAGAGAGGAGGTTCTCCCAGGGTGCCCTATAGCCTGAAATCCAGGCTCCTGAGGCCCATCCAGTGTTCTGTCCACAAGGCTAAGCATCCTTTGTGACACATTTAATGAGCAACCTGTGATGAAAATGAAATGGGATATCGCAACGGTGCAGAGATGACATGCTCAGCCTGGGGGACGGGCATGTTTGCTGTACAAAGAGTGCAGGATCTACCAAGCCCAGAGGCCTCCAGACAGCACCACCGAAAAGACGGGACAATACAACAGCCAAGGCCTGGGCAGAAAATAACCATCTTCTCCACTCCTGACCTTGGTGAAAGAGTTGGGACTTCTGTTTTAGGACACACCACAAAGCCGTGGTGAACACATTACCACCGATGCTTACCTTCCGCCAAGCCCTTTTTCTTTTTCCCCTATTAACAAGTGAGTTTTCGCTATGGGTTCTCCCAGTTTCTGTCTGAACTGGAGCTCCAACTTTGGGGTTCTCTCTCCTGGAACCTACTTCCCATCCTGCCATCGACGGACTGGTGCCCATGAGCAGCCCACTTCATCTTTCTGATCTCAGCTTTATCTGCAAGGGAGGTGCCAGGCTGGACCCGGGATGACAAAGGGAAGCTCTCTCTCCTTTTCTTTTAAAAACAGACATTCCTAACTGTTCCTGAAGAGGCTGGTGCAGCCCCAGAATTCCTCTTCACACAGTTCTCCAGGTAGCCACTGTCAATGCAACGGGGTCGGAAACTCAGACGGAATATACTCGCTACCTTGTGGTCTTTCTCCCTCTACCATGACCCTAAGAGGCAATGTGTGGCAATGTCACGCACACACCCGGGCTTTAATGCTATTTTTCCTCATACACTTTGTAAAATCCTCCAATATTTCTGTTTTAAAACCATCTATTAAATAGGCGTGTGGCTTAGATATTTTACCCAATTATGACAAAAAGCTCACACACTAAGATGTCAGCCAAAACACAGTATTAGAAAGTCAGTTTTTATTTTCAAATTTTCTCCCATTTTTGTAGGAAAAGACTGATGTGAAAGAAAGCCTGCTGACCGGGTGCGGTAGCTCAAGCCTGTAATCCTAACAGTTTCAGAGGCCTGGGGTGGGGGCGGATCCCTTGAGGTGAGGAGTTCGGGAGCAGCCTGCGCAACATGGCAAAATTCCATCTCTACCAAAAATACAAAAAGCAGTTGGGCGTGGTGGCGGGTGCCTATAATCCCAGCTACTCAGGAGGCCGAGGCATGAAAATCACTTGAACCCTGGAGGTGGAGGCTGCAGTGAGCGGAGACTGTGCCACTGCACTCCAGCCTGGGCAACAGAGTGAGACTCTCTGTCCAAAAATAAAAGACAAAGACTGTAGGCAAGCCTGGAGAATATGGACCAGGGTTGTACAGAACCAAGAAACCTATGGATATACTTAGTATACTTGAGAAGTTATTAATTTTAAACAAAAACAAAAGATCATTATAAACACACGCAGTTCACGGTTCTCAGCTAATTATTTTTGGAAACTCTGAATTTGGTCAACATCTTTGTCTAGCCAAGAGAGTCCAACAGAGGTGTTGTCCTGTGGCTTAATTTAGAACAGTGTGATTAATTCTGTGAAGAAGCAAATCCCCACAGGTCAATTACGAGCTTAGGAATGTTTAACTACTAAATATTACCACGGGAAGGTTCTCATGACATACAAAGGACATTTTTATTTTTCAAACACATTATAAAGAGCTGGGATAGCAGTTCAAGGACCACGTGTAAAGAAACTCCATTTGAAAGCTTTGGCTTCCAGAGCTGTAGGGTGCCATATGTGCCTTTTTTTTTTTTTTTTTTTTTTTTGAGACAGGGTCTCTGTCGCCCAGACTGGAGTGCAGTGGCTTCATCTCGGCTCACTGCAACCTCCACCTCCTGGGCTCAAGCGCTTCTCCCACCTCAGCCTCCCGAGTAGCTGGGACTACAGGCATGCGCCACCACACCTGGCTAATTTTTGTATTTTTTGTAGAGAAGGGGTTTCACCATATTGCCCAGGCTGGTCTCGAACTCCTTAACTCACGCAACCTGCCCACCTCAGCCTCCCAAAGTGATGGGATTAGAGGTGTGAGTCACCATGTCTGGCCCGTGCCTGTCTTAAATTAAGAAAAGACTCCAAAACAAAGCTCTTGGGGAAAAAAAAATAGTTATCTGACCGCAAATTGAAAACATCTTGCGATACAGCAGGGGTGAGTGTTGCTATCTCCCTTGTACTTTCTCTGTCCCAGATACCCTGTGAAAGCTCCAGGCCCAAACATTCAGTTTAGAAAGACAAAGCAACGATAGGCACGTGCGGTGATTTATCTTGTTACTAAGCGGTAACTGTTTGTTACTCATCCTGACACACTCCCCACTTTGCAGAGGTCCCCTCGGACTCCTAATTATAGGAATAAGTGAGCACGGCCATGTTGGGCAGGCCTAGGGCGGGTTCCTCTGCAAGAGTCCAGCATGGCCATCAGGAGACCCGGGCTTACCAGGAATCTTCAGCGGCACCCTCCACTGTCCACGGTGAGGGCTTCCTCTCCTAGGTGCTGCTCAGCGCTGAGGTGATTGATACCCAAGACTGTCATCCTTTCAAAAGGAGGGGGCTAGAAAAATGAGCAATCTTCTCTTCCCAAAACGTCAATTCTAGTTATTCCCCATGCAAGGGTTTCCTAAATCTGAAGTTATCTGTATTAGTTTTTTTTTTTTTTTTTTTGAGACAGAATCTTGCTCTGTCGCCCAGGTTGGAGTGTAGTGGCACGATCTTGGCTCACTGCAACCTCTGCCTCCCTGGTTCAAGAGATTCTTGTGTGTCAGCCTCTGAAGTAGCTGGGATTACAGGCACGCACCACCATGCCCAGCTAATTTTTGTATTTTTAGTAGAGATGGGGTTTCACCACGTTGACCAGGCTGGTCTCGAATGTCTGACCTCAAGTGATCCACCCACCTTGACCTCCCAAAGTGCTGGGATTATAGGTGTGAGCCACTGTGCCCGGCCTACCTGCATTAGTTCTTAGTTGGTGCTGCTCATCACTGAGGAGGGGTGGCTTTGGCCAGCTCTGCTCTGTACCGATACATTAAAAAGGCCTACTGAATAGTCCACAGATATTCTCCATGGAGTCTTTGGGTCATTTTTCTATTAAATAAGTCTGTATAGCAATTTAATAGCAGCCACGGCGGCCAGCTTCCCTATGTGCCCAGCTCTGTGGGAAGCACTTCACAGGCTTCACTTCATTTCTTCTTCAATTACCCTTCAAGGTAGGTTTTATTGTCTGCATGCGAGGAAGAAAAGAACAGAGAGGAAGGACAGACCCAGGAAAGCATCCCAAGCCACACAGCTGGGAAGTGGCAGAGAGGGGATGAGACCCAGGCGTGTGTGACTCCACAGCTCACGCTTTTAGCCAAATTTCTACAACTGACGATTCTTCTCAGATGACAGCAAATGGAAGCAGGAGGGTAGGTTTAAAAGTCTAGATAACAGGTTAAGTTTCATTTCTAAATTCCCCCCTATGCTTCATGGGCAACACGTCTTTTCAAATCTCTGTTCCTGGCTACATAAACAACGTTCAAACACTGCAATTTTCTTTGAAAACAGAGAGAATCTGGGTGCTTGAGTACTGGGGCTTACTGGTCCTAGGCAAGGAGCAATGCAGGGGCCATGTTCCACATCTCTAGGTATGTTAGCTTGCTGACTCCTCCCCACAACCCTGTGCAGTGGGTGTCATCACCCCAGTTTATAGGTGGGGAAACTGAGGTACAGAGAAGACACATCAAGAACCCAAGGTTAGAGCTATGAAGTGGGGATGTGGGACTGAACCAAGACCACCTGAGTTAAGATCTGGGCTTGAGTCTGGCGCCCATGCCTGCCTCATACAAACAAGAGCAGTGATTCAGTGTGAAAGAGAACCCATCTGAGCCTGGAGAATGCTCACTGCAGAGAGCAGGTTCTGGAAGGCAGCCTCTCACAGTGGGGACCCACACGGGGCACTGGGGAGACTGCCGGGGCATTTGGCGGGGGCCTTGATCAGACACTGCAGTGAGTCCTTCAGGAAACACACAACACAATGGGTCACAGATTGTCAGGCAGGGCTGCCTTCTTCCTCTGCTGGAGATGATGATGACAGCTGTCTGCAGATCTGTGGATCATCTAGTCCCCTCCACTGGTACTGGTCCCAAAAGAATCCTCGGCACACACCTCACACTCAAGCCTAAGGGCGCTGCAGGCTCTGTACTAAGCCCCGTCCAGGTGCAGGCTGCTGCCTCCACCTGGAATTCCAGCCCCGTCTTCCTGAGAGCTCCTGGGGCTGATGCCTGCCCTTCTCCCAGGCTCGGTTTCTTCTTTTATAAAACAAGGAGGAAAAGATCTCCCTCTGCTAGGGGTGCACGACAGGATGTTGGAAATTTCTCAGCACTGAGGATGCGGTCACTGTGGTTCCTGTCACATCCCGCAGGCCATGATACCTGTCCTGACCCCTAAATCAAATGTAGTTCTGCTCTCCACAAAGCCCCCAGAGCATCCAGGGCCTCTTCCCTCCTTCTGCATGAGATCCTTTGTGCAGCCTCCTAGACTGACAGTAAGCTCCCTGAGGGCAGTGGGCGGGTGCACCCTTACCCTCTCCATTGCCCCAGCACCCAGCGCAGGCAATGGCGCATCCCAGCAGGGACCTGAGAGTCGGGAACAAGGAGGCAGGCCTACCTCACACTCAGCAAGACCATCATTCTCAGATGTGGGCCTGTAATTTGTTTAACTGTGAATGAGTTGGAAGTCTCAGAACTGTGACCAAGAAAACGAGTGTTGGAGGGAATGGCCAACAAGTTAGGCCTGCTCACATCTGCTCAGAGGAACAGTGACCATCTGGGCTGTTCAGTGGAGAAGGCAGGTGCGGGTCTGACTGCAGGCCTGAGGCGCGAAGCTGTATCTGTGATGAAATTTCCAAGAGGAGGTTTGCTGTTTCCCCATGGCAATGCCTATGCTTGGAATCGCAGTGTCGGGGAGACTGGGTTCCAGCGATCTGGCCCACTGTGGTGAACGGAAGTACCCAAAGCAGAGGTTTCCCAGGCCTGTTGCTGGGGCGAGCTCTAAATCCACAGAAACGGGCCCTCATAGACGGGCTCGAATTGGGACTTTAGGCCAGTACTGAATCTGGCTAACACCTGGATGCAAGTGTCATCACCTATTTGAAGAGGCCTATCTTAAGTATTCATTCTGCTGCCAGGGAATGGGCTTGGCATCCCAAGAAATGCCCCCTTGTTTCCTAACACCTCTCTCCTTTATCTATTTAGGTACTGGAAGTACTTTTCTTCTGCAAAAACAGAGAGCTTAAATGCTCTTGAAAGAGCCCATGTGTTCACCCAACTCACAGCGGATGATAATGTCATCTGTTTAGCTGCATGGGGCAGGTGAGGCCTGGAGATGGGTCCAGGTGTTGTGCAATTCTGCCCTGCGGTGCAGCGAAGAGGCCTCCCTCCCGAGTTTCCTCCTGCACAACGTCCACTCTTCTGCCACTTGGTCCTCTTTGTTCTTTCTCCAATACATTTACTTTCAGTTGAACATTGGTGAGTCTAGCCTCAGTCATCTGGTATTTAGATCTTATTCTCCCTTGGGTTGGGAGACAGCTGTTAATTGGAGGATCATACCATTAAGACACCCTTCCATTCACAGGTTCCTGAGATGTTAAAGTTACAGCTGCATTCTGGCTGAAGAAAACTCAATTTCACCCATCTTGAGAAAGTTAATTGTTAAAAAGCAACAAAAGTTTGTACATTAGTGCAATCATATATATCCAAAGTTTCTATCTCAGTTTCAGTGTTAGCCACAATGGACAGACAAAAGATAAAATATTTTTGTTTTTTAATCTTGTCTGTGCGTTTCCCTTGTAAGTTTTGTTTGTTTTTATCCACTCCTGACTTCCATCCACAAACTCCTTCCACGTGGAT
Organism: Homo sapiens; assembly: GCF_000001405.40. NCBI lineage: Eukaryota > Metazoa > Chordata > Mammalia > Primates > Hominidae > Homo > Homo sapiens. The sequence continues at coordinate 236,017,944 of NC_000002.12, read as the reverse complement.
CTGTGAGCAGGTCCCACAGTCAAGAGATCTGGGCACACGTCCTGCCTCTGGAACATGCTAGCTTGTTCTGCAGAAAATCACTTGAGTTATCAGAATCCCAATTTTCCATCCATAACATGATACCTACCTGGCAGGGGGAGTGTGAAGATTAAATGAGATAATGTGGTCCAGAGGCCGGAAGAGAGAGGACATAAAAGAAAAAGGGCTTCAGAGAGATCCTTAGACTCAAACCTTGGCTCTGTCTGTCTCTCCTAAACCAGGATCCTGAGGAAAGTCCCAGAACAGCTGAGTCCACTCCCAGCTCCTAGTGGGTGGTCTCCTCTTATTCCTGAAGCTCAAGTTCTCCCTCTAGACACAGGAAACTCCAGTGTCCACCTTACTTGGGTGGTGTTTTTTGGGTGCCTTTGAGTAAATCACTCAAGTGGACCACTTTAAAAGATACTCCACTTGGGGATGGATATATTTAGTGTAACACGACGTGAGGTTAAAACAAAAGTTAAAATGTTCAGGATACAAATTTTCATGAAGGGTCACTTTATAGACAGTGAATATGTGATAACTTCATACATCAAAAGGCTGTAAATCAGAAAGGAATTTGACAATTATTTTATATAATTTTATAAATTCTGTAATGTATTTTTTTTTTTTTTTTGAGATGGAGTCTCGCTCTGTCGTCCAGGCTGCAGTGCAGTGGAGTGATCTTGGCTCACTGCAACCTCCGCCTCCTGGGTTCAAGCGATTCTCCTGCCTCAGCCTCCTGAGTAGCTGGGATTACAGGTGCTCGCCACTATGCTCGGGTAATTTTTTTTTTTATTTTTAGTAGAGATGGGGTTTCACCGTGTTGGCCAGGCTGGTCTCAAACTCCTGACCTCAGGTGACCCACCCGTCTCAGCCTCTCAAAGTGCTGGGATTACAGGTATGAGCCACTGCGTCTGGCCTGAATTCTGTAATACATTATTAAAAACCGTATGAAATGAGATTGTATGTGTACACATGTTAATCTTAAAATAAACCCAAAGTAAATGAAGAATGCTGTCTTTTAATTGAAAATTCATACATGACCTTGAACACCAAACAGAAACTTACTATAACTGAGAAAAATGAAAGAAATTGTGAGGGACAATTGGATATGCAGTCACTATTTAGTATCCCCAGGAATGCCTTTCATAGCTACTGACAGAGGGACCCCATGTTTGCAGTGCTATCCAGTACTGACAGATTTCAGAGAGGAATTCACGCTCTCCACCCCTCCGAGGTGCTGGGCAGAGCAGATGCTGTGTATTACCTGAGAAGCTAAGGCTGAGAAGTTCGCACTGCTGCAAATCCTCACTCCTGGTTCTACTGGGTCCCGTGTCACCCACCAGTGTCTCCAGGAAGGCCCATCAGCAAGTCTCAGGGAACCATTTGCCCTCAAGGCTAAGGAGGTATGTCCCCTTGCTGTCCCCCAATTTTCTATACACTGCATTTGAAACCAGACCTCACAATTTTTTTTTAAAGGCTGGAAGTCAATAAACAAATTTGTTGCGACAAACCCACATGCATACAAAAAAAAAAAAAAAAAAAGCAAACCCAACATATTTGATAAGGACACAGGGAGGAGAAATGATATGCACGCTAAGTTGAAAAACATTTAAAAAACGGTGAAAAGAGTATACTAATACCCTTTAAAATGCAACAAAAATGATAATGAATGACCGTTTCTTAACTTCTATTCTTTTCCCTCTTTCATTTGGTTATTTCTTGAGTGCTTTGAAAGAAGATACCAATGAGGCCAAGCTCCACTGGTATCTTAACAGACAACAATTTTCCCTTGAGAAATGAAAAAAAAAATTATGATTAAAAAATGGCTCTTTAACAAGCCATAGTGAAAATGTAGATTTGTTTTCCAGATTTCTTTTTCTTTTTTTTCCTGGCTGAGAGCAGGGCGTTCAGCGGCAAGACAGGAGTAATTGTGAAAGAAAGAAAAAAAGAGGATGGTGATATAAATCGGCAAAGGTTAATGACCAGGATGTGAAGAGAGGGACTTGTTTACAGAAATAACGTGCAATTTAAAATTTACAAGAGATTTAATGCCATTGCTTGGCAATCGCTAAAATCAACAGCCCAGAAAACAGTGACATTAAGAAAAATATTACAGTTATAATAATCCCCAAATAAGTCAATTAGTGTTAGGGCACGAGCTTGCGATTACTTGACCCATTTGGCTTGCACTTAAGTGAAAAAAAATGTCCCCCTATTATACCAAGATCGCTGGATTGTGACCTGCTTTGCATCACACGCCCGATGCCCCCGCCTCCCTTATGTGCGCTTGGGCTGATGGTGGTGGTTTTCCCTTGCCTGGCATCAAAGTAATTCCGACCCTTGACATTTGTAATCATAAAAAAAAAGGCAATTTATAATTATGTTGTTCAAATGAAGGTGGGGGAAAAATTCAATCTGCTATTATACAAAAGCAATGACGGCTGTCTTCGGTGAAAAAAGCAACGCAAGTCAATTTGTGAACTTTGGCACCAGACGACCTTTAGAAACACAACAAAATACTGACTTTACAAGCAAATAGCAGCCCATGCAAATGGCCCGGGCCTGCCTGCCTGTGGATTAGAGCTGCAGAGAGCATTATGGAGAATGCTTCCACAAAACAAATTAAGACTGTTACTTAAATGTCACGGCACACTATTGTATTTGGCTACAGATCATTACACCTGATACTAACACTTTTAAAAACTGTAATAACTTGGGAAATATTACACTGAGTGCCCACATGTATAAAGGAAAAGAAAAAAGAGGAGAAAATAGGTTTCTGAAGTAATTTAAACATCACTACTCTACGACTGAAGGGAAAGGTCAAAATTTAAGTAAGCTGAAAGGAACACGAATGGTAAAATAAAACACACAAACAAAAAGATGAAAAGACCACAGGAATGACTCTGCAAACACAATAAGGGAGCATGCGGCTTTGGGCAAATTGCATTTCCATGCCTGTGTTGGAAAGGAAGGGGCGGGCAGGGGATGAGAGGGGAAGAGGCAGGTGGAGGTGTGGGCGGGTGGAGGTGCGGAGGCGTTACCTTCAGTGTTGGTGCTGCTGCTGTATATATTTCGCAGGCTACCAACACGGTTTAGTTTCCATGCTTTGCGTTTGGCTGCATCCCGAGAGCAGAAAGGGGAGAGGGGAAAAAGAGAGAAAACAAAAAGGAAAAGAAAACAAATGAAAAGGGGAGAAAAAAAAAGGTCAAAGTAGCACGTGACGTTGCCTCCGAGCTGTCTGCGCGAAGCGGGTGGGTGCCATGGAGCTCCCTGGGCTGAGCCCTCCAACTCCCCTGCGGTGAACAGAGGAACTCAGGAAGGGCAGAGGTGGAGCAGGGTCATCAGGATTGCATCTAACGTCAAAGAACTACCCACGCGCAGAAGTCTGCTTCGCCCTGCTGGGTTTCACACGTGGCTACTCAAAACAGCACAAAAACTGGCCTCTGCCTTGGGAAATGATGACACCCTTTGAAGGAGCTATGATGCCAGTCGCCACAAGCCCTTTGATTCGGCCAAATATTAGGAGCATGTCAAATCAAGAGACCCTGGTTATGAGCAGTTCATGCCTATGTGTTGGAGAAGGTAGGTTTTAAAACCAAGAGCTGTTAAAAGTGAAGTTGTCTTCCCGAGACAGATTTTGATTCAGGCAATACCTACAGCAGCAAAACCCCCTAGTGCCATTCTGCTGTCCTGGAGGGAGGAGTCTATTCTCTTTGACACTCGGGGGAGTTACGGCTCTAAATGGAGCTCCTAGGAACCAGAAGAGCAAATGCCACCTCAGGTTCTCAGGAGAAAGGACAAAACGCCAAGTCACCGACAGTGGGACGCTGGGTTCGGAAGAGAACCAATTTAACAAGGGCGCAGCAGGCCCACCACTCAGGCTGTGTGCAGTGCCTGGCTGGCTCACTGAGATGGGGCCCCCACCCTCCAGAGACACATTCTCCACCCCACCAGGCCCTTACCCTCCCAACTATCAACTCAGAAATGCTGACATCTGTGGCAGGGAAGACATCGACTTGAGGCATTCTCTCCGCCCTTCAGGAGACATTTTATAAAAACCCAAGAGTTAAACAGGGTGGCTCAACTCTTCAGGCAAATGCAAGCAAAGGCACAGCCCCAGGTCACAGGGCTAGAGGGCTTGGACTGCCGTGCAGGCAGGTGGAATGGAATGTTTAGTGGCGGTCACTGTCATTCACCTTCTGAAGAAGGGGTCTCACAGGACCGTCTGTCTCTCTCAACTGCCACAGGCAGGAAGAGAAACCAGTGCAGGCTCCCACTGGGCTCTGTGTGGCCGTTTGTTTAATGCAGGTGAGCAGCACTTATCTGGACGGGCAGGCCCTTACCCTTCCAGAGGCAGGTCTTAAGCCCGCAAAGCAGGCAGCCAGGCTGGCCCTCTGGTTCCCAAAGCATGAGCTGGCCAACGGTCAGCTCCCTAATCAACCCCAACGTGTTCCTGACTTACGACAGGTTAACTCTTCTTGCCTGCTGTAGTGTTTGAGCCAAAATTCTCCATTTCGAACACTACAGCTGAGGCTGTGGTTGTAGGTTCGGCGTGTGCACCAAGTTCTGGTGGCCAGAAAATGACCCAGGGTGATGACTAGGCGCCTGGGATGAGTTATGTTGCAGAAATGAATCTCAAGTGCTTCTAACTACACTGGATTTCTTTGTAGAGACAACACAAAACATACGCGAGAAACCTGAGCCTTTAAGGAAGCAAATACAATTCTGCGATAAAGCACTGTATATTTAGGATGCAAATTTTACATTATTCACAAGTAAAAACTAGCTGTGATTTAGTTGCTTCTTGATTTAAAGTGATATTAACTTGTTATAACTAAACACATCTAACAATTCCTTTGCAGTGTGAAAATCAACAAATAGGCCAGGTCCTCACGTCTGTAATCCCAGCACTTTGGGAGGCTGAGGTGGGCGGATCACTTGAGGACAGAAGTTCGAAACCAGCCTGGCCAACATGGCAAAACACCGTCTCTACTAAAAATACAAAAATTAGCTGTGCATGGTGGGGCACGCCTATAATCCCAGCTACTCTGGAGGCGGAGGTTGCAGTGAGCTGAGATCGTACCACTGCACTCCAGCCTGGGCGACAGTGAGAGATTCCATCTCAAGAGAATAATAATAATAATAATAATAATAATTTAGTAAGAAACAACCTCTAAACTAGCAGGCATCTGCGGTGTTAAAGGATACGGGTCTACATTTAATTTTTCACAAGTGAAGACTTCTTTATGTCTATACCTTCAGGTTTCTTCACTATCTATAAGGTCCTACCTAAGTATCTGTCTCAGGTAACTCCAAACCTGGGAAAAGGATCTTCAGGTACCCACCGGTACAAATACCATGCATGAGGAACGAAGGAAACCAAATCTGTCCCGGGTCTCAAATGTTTGCTTTAGAAATGCTTGATGGGTATGTACCAGGGGCCCCAGGCATGATGATGCAGAATTAGGCATGGGCTTAATTTTTAACTGCTGCAGCTCTGGTGTCTGGGACAGTATTTCGCAAGTTCCAGAAAGAGGTAGCCATGAGAAGGCTGCACTCCTCAAGAGTACAACTTACCTCTTGCAGCAATATTTACATATAAATAGGCAGAATGGAGGCTGGGCACCCCTCGGGAGGGGAGGGGTGCCCGAGTGCAGAAAGCCTCTTTCCTCGCCCGCTTTATGCCTTCCATTTTTCACACTCTGCTCTCCCATTACCACAGGATGTATAAGCAGGAAGTGAACTTGCAGCCCGGCTTTCTATTAACCTATTGATGAAATAATCCATTTTAATGTGCAAAATGTCGTGCCTGTTTCTTCCCCTTAAACAAATGGATGTTTTCTAGCTGATACCAAGGTCCTGATATGTGCATCGGTCTCCGGGGGCATTGATTGCTCTAAGTTCCCTTGTTTAGAAGCTTCTCAACAAGAAAATACAATCCTATTATCATCAATAACACCTTGGGTTATGTCGGATGCTGCTGCCTGGAATCACTTTGAGGGGCTACGGAGACACTGTGCCAAATGGAACCAGGAGGCTCCGAGCTGATGTTTGGTGCCACCCAGCCACTGCCCACCACTGGCAGCCTCCCTCTGGTCTCAGGCCTTTGGAATAAAAGGCGATTCTCGGGGACTTCAGGGGGACTAGCAATAGACTAAAACTTTCCGGGTCTTTATTTTAATTAAAATTTTTAGTAAAATTCCTGTTCTACTTTCAGGAATACAGTTTCTTCCTCTTAAACACAGGCTAACTTATTTTGATTTTGTTACTAATGTTATTTCTCACAAAATCTATTATTCTAGTATCAAAATTTCACCTGTTATTAAACAAAAAGGCAGCAGGGTGTGAGCATTCCGTTAGTGTTTTCCATTCTGCTATTTTGCTTGCTGCGTAAGCAAAAGTCTCTTTGGTAAACAGAGTTTCACAATGCCTCCCATAGCTATGTATGCGGCAGGATGTCTCAGCACTGTCTTACATGTTTAAAAACACATACGCGAATCTCAATGGACATGAAATCCCACAAGTATAATTTCAGATGTGGTACAAACTGACTGTCAGCTCCAGTGTAGACAACGAGACTGATCTCTTCTCACTTTAGTCTGCAAATTAAATGGAACTTTCTGAGCTCTAATCTGGGTAGGCAGAACAGTCAGTGGGCCTGGGAGAGAATGCCACTCGTGGGAGGACAGCACTGTCCCCACAATGGTGCCAAAACGTGAACCGTGAACTCAGGTGAAACACAAGGGTGCTACATGCGGGTATCACAGCAAGAGGTCAAACAAGGGAATCACCACCGACTGCTGGGAATTTAAAACACACATGGAAAACTCATCATCATGCTGGCTGGAATGTATTTTCTTTTTTCATTTTTTTGAGATGGAGTCTTGCACTGTTAGCCCAGGCTGGAGTGCAGTGGCGCCATCTCAGCTCACTGCAAGCTCCACCTCCCAGGTTCAAGCCATTCTCCTGCCTCAGCCGCCCGAGTAGCTGGGACCACGAGTGCCCGCCACCACGCCCGACTAATTTTTTGTACTTTTTTAGTGTATTTTCTAAGGATTAAAAGGATCAAAACTTTGAAAAACTCAGGTTAAGACAATGCAGAGAGACTCACTCCCAAACTCTAAGACAAAATGTTTATTTATCCTTGTGTAATATAACAATGGTATTAATTTTCCGGAAAACACACACAGAGCCCTCCTGTTGAGGAACACCGAAGGCGTTAGCAAACTGAATTCATGAGGCAGTCTTTGAATTACAAAGAGAGATCACTGTGGCACCTTCTGGTACCACGATCCTAACGTGGACAAAGTGTGCTGATGTCTACACTGGCTATGTATGGACTTTCTGCGTCTTCAGGTTGGCAGATGGGATGGGTGTCACTCCACTCATGAGGGTCTCATGTGGTGCACAAACAGTGATGCACTTAGAAAAGAAAGTGTGATAGAAACTTTAATTCACAGAACATTTCTTAAGGCATCTGATCGTTATAAACAGCAAATCTTGTGTCTGGATGACCAAACGAGGCCTGGCATAATATACTCAGCTCCTTGTAATTACTAACAGACAGTCACGATCTTTTCAAAGACAGACAGAAGGGGAAAGTGTGCAGCTTACTACGTCTTTCTACTAAGTTAGAGTAGCTGGAATCATTTAGCGTTAACAGCTCCCAATTATTACACCTCTCCCTATTTTTAGAAGCTACAGCTTTTCATCTGGGTTCCTGCGACATGAGGAACTTAAATTTTTATTTTGAAATAAAATTTGTTAATTTGTTTCTCTAAAAGTTTTTTGTTTTTTTTTTTTTTACTAACACATGTGAATGCCTGAAAACTTATCACTGAGACTTAAACTTAACTGAACACTTCAAACTGAGACTCTTTTGACTGGCTCTTTGTAAGCAGAATAAAAATATTCTTTAGTCTGCTGGCATGCTCAAACGAGCAGGGTTTTATTCCAAACTCTTCCTCCATCATTGTACCAGGAAACCACAGGCTTATTAATGTCACCTCTGGTCTCCTCCTGACAACACTCTTTGTTGATCAGATAAATATTCCTCAGATAGCTGATTAAAAAATGATGCAGCGCCGAGGCTGTGTGTCCAAGGCGCGTCAGCCATGTTGGACGTCCAAGTGTGCATGAATTACATCCTTGGCGTGAACCGAGCAGGGACGGCTAAATGAGGCACGCTGCAGCCCTCAGAATCAATTATGAGAACTAATAGGATCTTTTTACCTCCATGGAGGAAGGGGATGGGTTGAAGAGGTGTGCCACTCATTTCTAACAATGTCTTGTCTTTGAATGAAACAAATAGCCCTCTCTATTCATAGAAGGGAGCGTAAATTTGTACCTCTAAGAAAAGTCAAATGATCACCTTGTCAGACAGCACTACTCTGTCCACATCAGACATGTATTAATTTATTTAAAAAGACGCCATCAGTATAAATGTCACTGTTGCAGAGGGGAGCGTCTCTGCTCCTTGGAGTGTTTCAGGCTGACTGCGGCACCAGGATCCTTTACACAAAGATCATCCCCCAGGAACCTCGGCAGGTGTGAGCGGATTCTGCTGTGGTTTTGTGTCACTTCCAGTTTAGTGCTCCCGGTATCCCGTGATCTTTTGTCCGTGGCGATTTCATTGTGAGGTTAGAGATTGGGGATTTCTTTTGTGCTGGCCATTTGAACGTTCATTTGCTCAACAAGACGGTGTAAATGTTCTGTTCTCTTATAAAAAGGCAGTGGATTTCTTTTTTTCATAAGATGCAACCCAGAAGATTCTTCGACTATGTGAACTCACTACTTTAGCTGTGAAGGGGCTTGACATGATGGCCGCTTCCTAGCGGAGAGCTCACAGAGAAGGAGTCATGTTGAAACATCAGTTCAAAGGGCCTTTGAAGGGATTAAACAAAACCCGAGGCCAAGCAAATATATAGGACACGTGTTCAGTAAGGAAAATAACTTTGCCGTGATCAGTTTCTTGCAAGGCCAACAGTCTTCGTAATTTGGAGCCACAAAACACAGAAGATAAAACACCTAACTAAGTAAAACTCATGAAATAAAAGTCATCAATCTCCAATTATGGAATTTTAATCTGGTTTCCAACAACTCACAATGGTTCTTTCTTTACAGCAAATATGATTTTCACATTGGTGGCTTCCTTCAACCTCTTACTCTGTGAAAACTGCCAAGGCGTTCTACATAGTGGGCTAACGTAGGTGCACATGGGAAAGACCATCAACCCGGGAAAATAAAAACGAAGCAAGACCTCCAGGATATGCAATAAAACCAGAAGTTCCAATTAGGTAGAGAGTTGGTTTTCCCTTTGGCCTAGAAACACGCAGAAGTGGAGATCAAGGGTACAGGTGCACCCCAAATCCACTGGGTATTTCAGTACAACACCAAGAGTATTAAGTTTTCACAGGGACTGAAAAGAAGTGAGTTGAAGTAGAGTATAACTTCATGATAAATTTCTAATGTAGACTTTTTGTTTTGCACATTGTCAGATGAACGTGAGAAATGCATCGGTGAAAAACAGAAATTTCTCTCCCTGTTTTCACGGAGTACCTGTTCATTTTGCAAAGGAAAGGCTTTTTTGGAGGATGGCTTGTCAGGGAACTGACACTGAGGCTCCATGGCTCCTGGGCTTCCCCTACTTCTGGGTATATGACAACAGCATGAGAACAGAAACCGACGAGGCCTTGGGTGTGGTTGGGCCCCAGCCAGTATCATGAGGCATCCCCTGCCTGGAAAATAACTTTACCGTGATCAGTTTTATTTTCTAGGTCTAGTTATTCGGCTGCACAGTGTTATATGCACTCCAACCATAACATATGTTAGGACTGAATACTTGGCAATCCAAATTGAAAACACACACACAGCAAACCAAATTCTCACTTAGAAAAAAATGAGGTTCAAATTAGTTTTTCAAAACCAAATGACGTGTGGAGTAAAATGCACCTCTTTCTTGTGAGATTTGTTCAGTGGTGGTCACACAATTGTGTGTGTTGAGCAGCACTGGTGCCGGGGAGCAGCCTCAGGTCCCCTGACTTCTGCCCCTTCTCACGTCCCCTCTCCAAGGACTGGCTCGCTGCTCTGTGAAGCGGATAGCAGGCTGGGGGCTGGTGATGCCGAGAGGGGAAGGCTGGTGAGCAGGGGCCACCTTAGCCCTCCTGAGACAGAAATGAGTGATAATGGGAAACATTCATCTCTTTTTTTCCCTCATCCCTTTCTTCTTTTTAATCTCCTCTAACAGAATATATTGCAGGCCCTTTGGTTCTTTTTTCTTAAACACAAAATCTTTTTCAAAAATTCCAAAAAAATTGTTTTTTAATAAAACTCCAAATTGTGTTATCATATTTCAAAGGCAATGGCCAGTTCAACCAACTAATCAGAGGTATAATTATGTAATGACTGCTGCTTGTGCTCTCACGCAGGGCCGTAATTGAGGGGCTGTGATCGCTGGACCACCAGCCTCCACAATGGCAAACAACCACCCTTCTTGAAGTATTTGATCTGCCATCTTTGTAGTTGAGTTCTGACAACTACAGCGGGTGAAATGATACACTTCAGGGTTATCCAGTCAATCATGCTCCTCTTATATGTAAGCCATCTGAACTGAAGACTGGTGAAAATATCTACTAGAGATAATTTTAGCTTTTCCATTTAAGGACTTCTCTGGAAATTCCCAAAAGTATCCTGACGTGTGGCTTGAGAAATCATCATGAAAACCATAAGATACATGGCATTTATTCAGTCAATCAAGCATTAATACAAAGATCAGAGTGGAAAAGCAAAAGAAGAATTCCCAACTTTGGGCTCTTCTTGCTATTATGGAAATCCTTCCTTTAAACACTCACAGATTTCCTCCCATAAAACTGCTTTGACCTTAACTTCACAACTTTTTTAGCAGGCTCTTTGGTTACTGTCAATGAGTAAACAAGGTCATTATTAATCTGGGAGGGCCTGAAAAAGCACTGCAGGGCTAACACAACAACGGAATAAAAAGTGTCTCATTTCTTTCATTTAAAATTAAATACATCAACTTCATTCAGGTTTCAGCAAGAACTCACTGGAAGACTAACATTATGGCAGAAGCAAAGTTAATTTTATGTTAGTTTAATATGAATAAGCCATGGCTTATCTACCTTTTCCATTTTTCCTTTAAAGTTCATATCCGTACACACACACAACTATCACATTGTAAGCGTAACTCCAACAGAGACCTTTGTTGGAGACTCTACAATAAAAAATACTACTTTTTAATGTAAAGTATTATGTTTCCACAGTTTTCCAACCTGTCCCTTATAACAGTTGCATCATGGAGGTAGTATTAACATAGTTGTAGCCATTCCTCATGTTAAAACACTTAGTTATTTCCAATTTTATGCCAGTAAGAATATGAAATCTGTTAAATATAGATACAGATGGTTACATATAGAAATATTTGTAGATATATATGCATATGCAGGTTAGTATACACACATTTCGTTCTTTACTCTGTTGGCCAAGAGAACCAAGAAATGGCACCCCAGAAGCAACGAGCACGCCTAGCTCCAAGACACTGGTTTCTAATACCATTCTCCAGTAAAAGGAACCAGAGCTCTTTGGGAAACAGCCGATTCTAAGATTGTGGCAGGAAAGATACAAAATGCACCTTGTACTGACAGAAAGGAAGGAAAGTGCTCAAACAAAAGAAACCCCACAGAGATGGGGTGTAGGGCAAAGGGTGTGGGAGCAGCCAGAGGAGCCCCCAGGAGCCACGGGTGGAATAATCTGGGCCACAGCAGTATTGGATAGCAGCCTAGAATACAAAATAAATATTCACAAGTCCACATGAATACAAATAGACAACTGAATATAGTCATAAATGGGGGAGAGAAACAGATCTCCCCTGCAAAAGAATTCTAAAAAATTTACATAGACACCCCACCCTCAAGGACAGGGGGTCTAACGCCCAACTCCTTAAGTGCACAGTGACTTCCTTCCAAAAGTTCAGTATGGGCTGTGGAGGGGCACAATGACTTTACAGCAGAATAACTTGACAGACACTACCTCAAGTCAAAGGATCAAGGTCAACATCAGCAGCCATAAATAAAGTTGATGGTATATACCCTTGACAGGATAGGATGGAAATAGCACTTCACCCTGTGGTCCTTCTCCACAAAACTTGTAACTCAAGATGAAACCTGAGAAAAGCATTGCACAAATTCCAGTAGAGGGATTCCTATCATACACCTGGCCCAGCATGCCTCAAGACCTTCAAGGTCATCAAAGACAGGAAAAGTCTGAGAAAATGTCCCAGCCAAGAGAAGGCTAAGGAGGCATGACAATGGAATAGGATTTGGATCCTGGAACAGAGACACGGCATGAGGTTAAAGCTAAAGAGATGCAAATAAAGTGTGGACTTTAATAAAAACATATCAATATTGACTCATGAACTCTAAGAAATGTACCATACTAATGAAAGAGGTAAATTAACAGGGGAGAGGGTGGGCATGGTGGCTCACACCTGTAATCCCAGCACTTTGGGAGGCTGAGGTGGGTGGATCATTTGAGGTCAGGAGTTTGAGACCAGCCTGGGCAACATGGTGAAACAACGTTTCTACCAAAAATAAAAAAAATTAGCCGGTGGCACACTCCTGTAGTCCCAGCTATTTGGGAGGCTGAGGGGCAAGAATCGCTTGAGTCTGGGAGGCGGAGGTTGCAAGAGCCAAGATTGCACCATTGCACTCCAGCCTGGGTGACAGAGTGAGACCCTGTCACAAAAACAAACAAACAAAAACCAAAACACACACACACACAAAAAACATGGGAAACTTGTCAGGGGGAAGTGGTGGGAAGCCTATGGGAATAACCTATAATATCTCCTCAATTTTTCTAAAAGTCTAAAGCTTTCCTAGAAAACAAAGTCTATCAAATACACTCTAATAAGCATCTTGAACAGGAATATTATTTTTTCTTCCATTCATTTCAGTTGTTTCCATAGAATAAAATGCCAAGAGTAACACTGCCAAGTTAAAGGCTAGAAGTATTTGATAGCTTGGAGTACATACAGAGAAAACTATTATCTCGTCACAATATATCATTTCTTCTCCTAAATTTTACAAATTAATGACAATTTGAAATCTTACTGTGGCACACACACTATATGTCACATTTGCTACTAAACTGCTTAACAACTCGAAAGGCTGCCCCAACTGGCATTCAGTTGTGACTGAAAGAAGTACTATTGAATTTATGATTGTGAAGATGGCTTTCAAAGTATGTTTGCTAACTAATATTCTTTGGAGGCAATAATTTACCAATGCCAGTTCTTCCGGATGCTGTGCTGTCTCCATATATTTTATTTGGAATTGTGGGAGGAGGGTATAGCCTCCTGATGCTCTTTGGGGTAGACCAGCTGTTTCCACACAGACGCAGAACACTGCTTGAAATTATTATTTTTGCTTTTAACAGATTACAACGTATGCTTGAACCATGCTCCAGCTAATTTTCAGGATTAGCTTTTAATGATCAGAAATGAGCTTTGGCCCACTGGGAAAAAAAGTTTGTGCTTATGTTGAATGTGGATCCCAGTTTCTAATCAGCACACTAAAATCATCTTTTTAATAACAATGACAAAGTTCGGTAAAGCTGGAAACTTGGGTCACGCTAAGCTGGGTTTGTGAAATTCACCGAGGCACATCTGTGGTCACTGATCTCCCCTGGGAAGGTCTAAACTCAGGAATGGTCTCAAGACCCCCAACTGCCACAGTCAGGAGACAAAATGAGCATCTTTCCTGAGACAGGAAAAACAGTAACAAAGTTACACAGGAGGAGGGTTTGCAGTCACTCAGGCATCCAGAATACACTGTGCTAAATAGGAATATTTGGGGCACAAGATACGAGGTGCCCATTGGCTATTTTCACCAAAGCTCATTGCACCTGTAAAAGCCCTAAGTGAGTTGCCAGAAAAAGGAATACTAAACCGCCCATTCCACAGAGCCATGGAGTCCAGGGGCTGACTGTTTTATGCATCAATCTATACCATGTATGTATTATTTAGGGGTTTTCTCATATTCTTTCATTTTAAGTTCTTTGGAAAAAAAGTTACATATTTATAGATAGTGTAGGACATGCAAACTTCCAGAAAAAAAAAAAAGTGGTAGGACAGCAGTGACCCCTCCACAGTGAGCTGCACACAGGCCTTGTCAGGTTTCAGTGGGGTTAATGACTGAATTTGATCAGGGTGGAAGTGCCCACCAGGCTCTCCTCTCAGCACTGCCAGGTGCACAGCCAGAGAAAGAACAGGCGCAAATCCAAGGGAGAGTGTGGGGTGGAGGGAGCTTGGATGTGGGACTTAAGGGTACCCCATGCGGGCAGCAGCAGCGCAGGGGGGCTGCGGGTGACTCTGGGCTCTGGGCCATGGGTCCCTTGTCTGTGCTCAGAGTCCACCTCCATCCCAGCGTGGCCATGAGGAGGACGTGCGACCACACACAGAGGTGGGTAAAATCTTGGTGCCTTGGTGTGGGCCAGCATCCTCCCCTGCTGCGTGAGGTCAAGGCCCTCCAAAGGACAAAGACCCATGAAAAGAAAGCATCCTGGGCTGGGCGTGGTGGCTCACTCTTGTAATCCTGGCACTCTGGGAGGCTGAGGCAGGCAGATCACCTGAGGCCAGGAGTTCGAGACCAGCCTGGGCAACATGGCAAAACCCCGTCTCTACTAAAAATACAAAAATTAGCTGGGCGTGGCGGCATGTGCCTGTAGTCCCAGCTACTTGGGGGGTTGAGGCACAAGAACTGCTTGAACCTGGGAGGCAGAGGCTGCAGTAAGAGCTGAGACCGTGCCACTGCACTCCAGCCTGGGCAATAGATCAAGACTCTGTTGGCACACAGTGGGCGAATACGTGAGTAATTTTCTAACTTACTTCTGTGTTAGTTCTGTGGTTCCCGAGTCTTCTTTTTCTCGGTGAGCAAAACAAAAGAAGAGCTGGGTGCAGAGCAGGTGTCTCATGGCTGCGCCTGGAACCCAGCGACCCCGGCCCTCCTGTTCACACACAAACTTCACCTTAGGAGACTTGGTCATTTTTCAAATCACACTTAACTTGAGCACATACTGAATTCAACGCAAGAAATATCATATAAATATTTATATTTATAGAAATCTAATAATGAATTGGACTTCTGAAACTTTTGGTAAAATTCAATACTTCTATGAAATCTCGCTTTTCAGGGGGACTCTCACAGTCCTGCCCATCTCTGTGTCCCCCCTTTAAATGTTTAAGTGTCCTGTATTCATCCAGGAGGGACAAGAAGATGCAGAGTTCCACTCTCAAAGGCCAAAGACCGCCAATGAACAGGAATGCATGAAGTAATTCTTTCCAAGGCCTTCTATAAGGGCAGCCAGTGACCCCCTCATGAGAGGGAGCAACATTACTTGTTAACATATTTGTTTCATGTCTCTTTTGTCAGAAAATCAGGATTCGCTTATGAAAACACACAGCCTCTCCCCTACTCACACATGTGCACATGCGTGCAATCAGATACTTGGAAGAGAGTGAGGATGGGAAAGGGGATGAGGGAAGAAGGAAAGTCATTTGCAGACTGTCCAGGTGGGGATGATATTTGAGCTTTGAGTCACCGGCTGTTCCAGGACGGGACCAGGAGCCTCCTGGGCTCAGGCTGGGTGCGTGGGTCATGTTGTGTTTGTCTGTTTATTTTCAGTGCCCAGCACGTGCCTACCACACATGTTCTCAACGAGTCTGCTGAATGAATGACTCAGTAACAAATGGACCCTTGGTAGCACTGCTTGTGCGGGGAAGCCAGCTCTTCCTGGCATGTCGCTTGAGAAACTCTCTGTTCTCACCCATGGCCCTGTCAACACAGACATCCCAAGTCTAGCTGTTTCTCATGGTGTCCTCACCCAGTCCAGGACCAGCCATGGAGGCGTGGGCTGAATGTGCAACGCAAGCTTCCAATCAGGCAGAGATGTCCACAGGAACAAAGCGTGAGCGCTTCAGAATGTATGTGCAATGATGTTCAGGGAAGTATTACTGGTAATTGTTAAAAAAACTGCTGAGGCAATTTCAATGCCCAACGAGAGGGGCTGGCATAACCTATTAGAGACCACGCATTCCACGCAGTGCCCTGTGGCCTTTCAAACAGCTTGTGGAAGAACTGGAGACCCACGGGGTGTTAAATTAGAAAAGTAAAATTCCAGAATATACATGGTATGATCTTATACAGAAACAAAACAAAAGGGGAAATCCCCGCCCCTCCAGGATGTGACGTTCTACCGCTCTCGGCCTCCTGGTCTCCCGGCCCTGGCCTCTGTGTCCTCTCACTTCCCATATTAACTCTTTCAGCAAGTCCTGCCAGCTCTGCTTGCAAGCCACAGTCTGTGTCTCTCCTCCTGTGGCGCTGATGCCTGGGGAAGCCACTGTCACCACTGCCTACTTCAGCCCCTGCAGCCCACTCTGCCCAGCCGCCAGAGGGAAATTTTCAACGTTAACAGGCTCACGTTAGTAGCCACACACCTTCCCCAGCTCCCTACTGTGCAGAGGACACAGAGACTGGGTGGGGGGCACTAGCGGCCTGCACCTGCCACAATGCACCGCACGCTGGGTGGCGTGAAACCACAAAAATGCGTTTCCTCCTCTGGGTTCCTCGGAGGCCTGAAGGCCATGCCAGGGCTCCCCATGAAGGCTCCCCGGAGGACCTGTCCCTTTCCTTTCTCTTGGTTTCTGATGGTGGCGTTTATCTCAGCATTCTCTGCCCCACAGCCGCGCTGCCCCAGCCACCGCCAGAGTCTCCATGTGGTGTTTCCTGTACGTCCGTCTCGCCTCTGAGGGTCCATCCCCTCCCCTCCTGTATAGCTAATGACATCTGCCATGACCCTAGTTCCATATGAGGCCACATTCTGAGGTAGTGGGGGTTAGGACAACTCATCTCTTTCTGGAGGTCACAATTCAGCCAATGACAGATGGATGACAGTCCTTTATGGCATGGACTCTCACCCTCCTCACGCCACGCGGCATCTGCCTCCCTCGCTTGGCCCTGGTTCCTTCCACACAGGCCCTTTCTCATCAGCCACTCTCTGTGCCTGGAAGACCCTCCTTACAGAACAGCACAAGTGGGGCTCCTTCTTGCTGTCAGGGGTCTTCTCCGCCCCCCTTAGTGGCCCTCACTGCAAACACAATCTCTAGTACCTGCCCCGCCACACCATCGGGGCTGATTGCCTCAGGCATGTGCCACTATCTGAAATCACCTGTGTTTTATTCTTCACTGTGCACCTCCCTGCAGGGAAGTGAGTGCCAACGATGTCCATGCCCATCCTGCTTAAGTCAGGCTCGGGCTGGTGTTCGCCCAGCCTCTGCACAGAGCAGGTGCGCCATGGCCTTCTAGGAACAGGCTTGGGGGGTGGGGGATGCACACCCCACCATCAACGCTCAGGGTGGGGGACTGGACTGGAGGAGGGGGACGCAGTACCACTGTCTCTGAACAACTGTTTATTATTTGAGCTGTCACGCGTAGTGATTTTTGTACAGAAAGTCCTCAATGCCATTGACAGGTTCTTGGAAATGTGTGACTTTAAGCAAAACTGTGTACAGCAGGTCCTCAAATAACTTTGTTTCCTCCCACGTTGTTTCATTATGATGCTGATAAGGAAAAAAACTGGCTTCATTATAAGTCCTTTCGCTTCAAGTCGAAGTTTTAAGAACCTATTGATGAATGACATTGAGTGAGGAGTTAGTGTAATTGGAAAGACAAAAATAACAACGTAATATGCAGCTCTCCAGTGATGTTGAGACAAAAGCTGGCCTGCAGGGGTGTGTGTCCTCCCGATGGATGCTGCACGGTTATGGCTACTAACAAACAAACCTTCGAGGACGCCTGCACGTGAGGACACTGGTCTAGAAGCTGGCCTTCACGTATTCTTTCTGACAGTCATTAGAAGCAGGATCAATGGTCTATGAGACTATTCGGAACTCATGACTATAAAACTACGTTCTTGGTGTAGCAGGTTTGTTATGGGCACACATCAGGAGCACCCACAAATCGTGACTTACAAGTTTAATGAATGGAAGTCAGAACACTGCCCCGCTTGACACATCTCAGACCTGACCCCCAACATTCAGGGAAGCATCAAGATACAGGTTCCTCATCTCCTGCTCCCAACAACATCATAATCAGCATCATCACCACCATACCATATTGGTCATCAAACTGCCATCGTCGCCATTACCACTATCATCACCACCACGACCACCACCACCACCATCATCACCACCACCACCTCTCACCATCGTCACCACAATCACTACCACCATCATCACCACCACCACCACCTCTCACCATCATCACCACCATATCATATTGGTCATCATGCTACCAACATCACCATCACCACTATCATCATCATCACCACCACCACCACCATCACCACTACCACCACCACCTCTCACCATCGTCACCACAATCACTACTACCATTGTCACCACCACTATAACTACCACCACCTCTCACCATCATCACCACCACCACCACCTCTCACCATCATCACCACCATACCATATTGGTCATCATGCTACCATCATCACCATCACCACTATCATCATCACCACCACCACCACCACCACCATCACCATCACCACCACCACCTCTCAGCATCGTCACCACAATCACTACTATCATTGTCACCACCACTATAACCTCTCACCATCATCACCACCATACCATATTGGTCATCACACTGCCATCATCACCATCACCATTATCATCATCATCACCACCACCACCTCTCACCATCGTCACCACAATCACTATCATTGTCACCACCACCACCACCTCTCACCATCATCACCACCATACCATATTGGTCACCATACCATCATTATCATTCTTGCCATCACCAGTACCACCACCACCATTAACTCTCACCACTGTCACCACAATCACCACCACTACCCCGTCACCACCAGCCCTATAACCTCTCACCATCATCACCACCATACCATATTGATCATCATACTATCATCGTCATTGCCGTCACCACTACCACCACCACCACCACCACCACCAACTCTCACCATGGTCACCACACTCACAACCACCACCATCACCAACTCTCACCAAGGTCACAATCATTACCACCACTGTCACAACCCCCTTCATAACCTCTCACCATCATCACCACTGTACCATATTAATCATCATACCATCACCATCATCATCACCACTATCATCATCACTGCTACCACCACCACCATCGTCACCACCACCACCACCACCACCTCTCACCATCATCACCGTCACCATCCCTAACTTTTGCTGAGCCAGGTACCATGCTGAGCACTTACCATAGACTTATATTTAGAAAGTTGGCCTTAAAGTATTATCTCATTCCATTTTCCCAGCCTTTCCATGAGTGAAGTACTAATCTATCTCCATTCCAGAGGTGTAAGAACTAGGTTGAAGCCCCACAGCTTTCAGGGGTAAGATAGGGGCTCAGTTAGAGGGACCCTGGAGCCTGCTGGCTCACCTCCAAGGCATCCATCTTCTCACTCCTGTTCCTGGAGTCAAGGAAACCTGACATATGTCTCAGGTCATCTTTAGCCCTTTCTCCTAGATTTCTCCACTAGGTGGTAACTGAGCAGAGCTTCCTAAACACTAATACAAAATGTTTTTCTCCCATCTGCAATAAAATTAGAAAAAGAGGCTCTGAGCAGCATCAGGGTAAGTCAGTTAATTGTACCTCGGCCAGAGCTTAACGCTTGCTCTCTCCTGTGGGCACTTATGCAGTCTTCTTCTATGAAATGATGGTGGCAGTCCACGGTGGTTATTGTTTTAAATATCCTTGCTTGGCAAAACTCAAAGTTGGTCAATCCTTTGTTAGTCTCTCAGTTTACTGACATGATTTTGTTAATCACTGAAATTAAAAATGCCTGGGGTCCACTTTCAGAGTAAAACAGCAGATAACAGTGACCTAACTGCATCCAAACTGTGGGCCCTTCATGTGTAACACCAGCCTCCGAGACCCCGAAATGCTACGTGGAAGACGACTGTGGCTCGTGGTTTCAAAGAATACCCCATAAACAAATGTACTGGGAAGTCCTCTTAAAAATACAATCCCTACAGAAGGGACTGAGCTACTATACAATTAAGAGGGCAGACCAGAACCTTCCATTTGAATGGTCTTCAGATTTTTTAGTTAGGAAAAAAAAAAGTTTTTATTGGTGATTCTGGAGACGGACTGCGCTGGGGAGCTGGAGTGGCTGAGAAGCTCTCAAAACCGCTTCTTCTTAAACAATAAACCAAAAGCTTTCACAAGGATCAACATATGCAGTCCCCACATACAGTGGGCAGTTACCACACAGTCAGTGTAGATGCTGCGGGCGTGGAAGGCACAAGACAGGGCTCCAGGCCTCACAAAAATGTATGGCCGCGCTACAAAAATACCAAACACTAACCTTAAGGTAGTAGAGAAAGGTGCTGGAAAGCATTAGAAATGCAATTTAGAATGACGTCTTAAATTATGAGTTATATTTTAAAAGATCTTCATTAGGCTGGGCACGGTGGCTCATGCCTGTAATCCCCACTTTGGGAGGCCGAGGTGGGCGGATCACCTGAGGTCAGGAGTTCGAGACCAGCCTGACCAACATGGAGAAACCCCATCTCTACTAAAAATACAAAATTAGCTAGGCGTGGTGGTGCACGCCTGTAATCCCAGTTGCTCGGGAGGCTGAGTCAGGAGAATCACTTGAACCTGGGAGGCAGAAGTTGCAGTGAGCCGAGATTGCGCCGTGGCACTACAGTCTGGGCAACAAGAGTGAAACTCCGTAACAACAACAACAAAAAAGATCTTCATTAAAGGCAATATGCATGTATCTATGTACCTATGCATGCACACACACTCCTGTCTTCATTATGGGTAAAGCCAGAACACTGGTAGAATAATTAAATAGGTCTCAATGATACATACATTCAGTGATTTTTTTCTTCTCCTACACTTAGCTAGTGGTGGAATTATTTTTTCTGATAAATTAGACTTGAGTGAAAAAGTGAAAAAATTGGCAAGGATTAATCTCTTTCAGTGGTTCCCAATTTTTAAAAAGTATGCAGGCGTCTTTTGATGAGCACAATTTGGCAACATTCTAAAACGACTTTGCTTTCCATTAACCACAATTTCAATATATGGTTACTTCTGTCTACATAAACCTACACACAGATTTCAGGCCCTTGGCATCTCCAGAGGTCTGTTCCTGCAGGCTGGGAGCTGTGCTCCAGCCTCTCTCCTTACTCCAGATGAACTGCCGCTTGATGGTGAACAGAAGGTCCCCGGGGGCAGCCAGCTGGCAGGGGCTGGCTCTACCGCCAGGTCATGCTGACGTCAGGGCTTGGGTGCAGGAAGGAATAACACTATTTCTCTAATCAAGATGGTTGGCATTTAAATTAAAAGGCAAGAATATTTTCATAAAAGGATCAGTAGGTGGTAATAGAATAATGCTCACCTGTTTACTATTCTCTTAACTACAGCACAACTTAACTATGTGTCAGAGCGTAAGTTAAAAAAATTAGAAGACACCTGTCAGATACGAATCTCCAATCGGCCAAGGGGCAGTAGGAGGCGAGTTTGGCCTAATTTCTGCTGGAGAGGTGGGCAGTGGACGGGTTTCCACCTGGGTGCAGGTGTCAAGCGGGTGCCCTGCTGGCAGCAGCTTTGAGTTGTTAACTACAGATAACTAAATGACAATGGCTGCTACTAATTGCTTATCGAATAATGAAACTGACACAACTGATAAAAGGTTTCAATCTTGAGAAAAATGATTTATCGTATCTCAGTTAACTGGCACTGCTATTTGTGTGACAAACGGTTGGCAAGCCTCCAGTTAATCTCTGTACCCCTCCGAGCCCACGTGGCGGCTTGGGCTTACACATCCAAATCAGGAACAGCTAATAACACTGCAGGGAGGCTGTGAGGGCTGAAAACTGGTCTTTTATTGAGGCTGACCTCCAGACCTACTGCACAGTGACCTCCAAACCCACTGCACAATGACCTCCAAACCCATTTTTGGCAATGGGTGAGGGAAAGTGAGGGAGAGAAGAGCCAGAGGCAAGAAAGAAAGGAATACCACCACAGGGTCATCCTCACCATCACCACACTCAGGCCACAGCTTGCAGTGATGCATCTAGAGTATGGCTCCGAGACAGAGAGATGGAATCCTCAATAGGACCAAAGCATCAGTGGCTTCTGATGAGGTCTGTGCAGCTTTCTTGATGGCAGAATCGGACCCGCAGTGTCAAGCTGCCCTGCTAAGGTTGTCTGCCACACATTGTTGTGGGGCTGCCGTGCACGGTGAATGTGCCTGCCATCTATGATGCACAGAGGGTCTTTCTTCTTTAAGTAGAATTTTTTCTTTCTTTTGTTTGTTTTTTTGAGTCACAGTCTTGCCCTGTCACCAAGGCTTAAGTGCAGTGGCACTATCTCGGCTCACTGCAAACTCTGCCTCTCAGGTTCAAGCAATCCTCCTGCTTCAGCCTCCCGAGGAGCTAGGATTATAGGTGCGCACCACCAAGCTTAGCTAATTTTTGTATTTTTAGTAGAAACAGGTTTCACCATGTTGGCCAGGCTGGTCTCAAACTCCTGATCTCAAGTGATCTGCCCACCTCGGCTCCCCAAAGTGTTGGGATTACAGGCATGAGCCACTGGGCCTAGCCTTTTCTTTGGTTTTTCACTATGGGAGGGTGGTGGGCATGACAGCTTTAAGTAAATTAAATATTTTATTTATAAGCTATATTCCAAATAACATATTTACTACTGTGGTACAGAATAAGATACTGTTGTATCTTATTCTGTTTTTTTTTTTTTTTTTTTTTTTTTTTTTGAGACAGAGTCTTGTACTGTCTCCCTGGTTGGAGTGCAAGGCGCGATCTCGGCTCACTGCAACCTCTGCCTCCCGGGTTCAAGCAATTCTCTTGCCTCAGCCTCCCAAGTAGCTGCGATTACAGGCGCCTACCACCACGCTTGGCTAATGTTTTTGTATTTTTAGTACAGATGGGGTTTCACTATTTTGTCCAGGCTGGTCTCAAACTCCTGACCTCGTGATCCGCCCGCCTCGGCCTCCCAAAGTGCTAGGATTACAGGTGTGAGCCATTGGGCCCGGCCTATTCTAATTTTAGTTTAAAAAAAAAAAAAGAAAGAAATTCATCATGCTCTTCCCCTGAGAAGCTTGTGTGTTTGTGTAACGTGGAAATCTAAACAACTTCGCACTTTGAGCCGAGCTCTCCACTGCTGCCCCGTCTCTGTATCATCGGGCTGCGAGGCGTTGGGAAAGTCGGGACTGAATAAGACAATGCAGGGAGTGCAATTAGGAAACAGTTTGGTAGAAAGTAACCTCTCAGTGTGTCCCCACTATGACGATGACAGTGATGACCTACTTCTCAACTTTCAAACCAGAAAGAAACGACCCCCTTAACGCTGTCCTATCAACAAGTAACTCCAAGAGGCACACAAGTACAAGCACTAAGAAAGTTGTTACGTGAGAAGAAATGAATTTTGAGGTGTGCGTTATAAACTATGTTATCTTCATCAACTATTGCACAGCACGAAAATGACAGGGAACACCCCTAAATGGAACCAGCTTTCAGGAGGGCATAAAAGCACAGACATGGAGAAATGCTAACTATGACCAGTTTCAACAGAAATGGATGTAGGCACTCTAAGACGAAGGTGTCTTGCCAAAATGAGAGTATGAAACGACAAGACTCTTAAAAAGGACACATATGGAACCATGTTATGAAGCTTTGGGGAATACAGAAAGAGTGCCTAACCTGGGCATGATATTCTAGAGGAATTAGAAGCTGGGGGACACACAGCCAATGGGGGTCCCAGGGGAAGGTGTCTGTGCTACAGCCATCCTGTGGAGCAGGCTTATGGGTCATCGTAACTTTCCCAAGCTAAAAAAAAACACCTAGGACCTGTGTTCCTAGGACATCTGGAATGTTCTGGGTTTTCATATTAGTAAAATCCCATTTGCTCACAGACTTTTCCCAAATCAGAAGTGACGAGGTCTCAGGACGTCCTGAATGTTGCTGGGTAAGTAATTAAAACTCCACTTTCTCCAAGCGCACGTGAGGACACACCTGTGCTCCCCAGGACTGGAACAGCATCTACACAGCCAAAGCAGAAGGGCGTGGCATAGCTGGTTTGGTAAGAAAGAGTTTAAGTTAAACTAGGGTATTTTCAAAGGAAGCGTTCCTCAGAGCCCTTAATTTGGTATTGGGCAGCAAAAACTCCAACAGGGACACAGGCTGCAACATTCTCCAAGCATTTTCCTTCACAGTATCTTGCTGGCTTCAGTTTCCACAATGTGAACTTTGGGAAGCATTGGTTTCTATCACACAAAACCATACTTGCAGAAAAGAAATACATCGCAAATCCAATTACTACCTCCCTATAGGCCTGCAGAGGTGCTCCCTGTCTTCCACTTTGAGAAGCAGTTTCCATCAGGGACATACCACGTGCACACACTGTGCTGGACTTTCAGGGACACCAGGAAATATCTGAGACGAGTCTCCTGCCTTCTTGGGCTTCCAGCCTAGTCGAAGGGACAAGGCTAACCCAAGTGAAATGTTTAAACCACTGACAGCAGCTCAGAATACAAGGCTGCCAAGGCTGCTCCAAGGCAGTAAATATCAATAGTATTGTATAGACTGGCCTGAGTTGAGGAAAAGATCACTGCAAATCACCCTCCTCCCCACAAACAGTTTGGTGTTTGAACTGTACAACTGCAAATTGTGGGAATCCTATATATACGCCGCTATCAATACTTAGGAAGCACAACTCCATGTATTAGCTAGAATCTCTGCTAAAGTCATTTTCAGATGTACATATGAAAAAAGTCCATGTCTTAAACTGGTTTTTTGTAACGTATAACAATAACTTTTGCTACTATCTTTCATGAAAGGCAGACACGTCAGCATGGAGGCATTTCCAGTTCCACTATGTGGCCAGCCAGGTTCTCCCAGGTAGGGAGGAGGTCAAGGAGAGACGTCCATGGTTCACGACGGAAAGAGGCCAACACAAGCTCAACTGCAAAGGCCATGAAACAATGTGCAGCCTGTGCGTGGAAACGGCTGGTCTACCCCAAAGAGCAGCAGGAGGCTACGTTAACAGGAGGCTACGCTCTCCTCGGCGCCCACGACGCATCCCCAGGTGTGCAGGACCTCAGCGGCCACGATATTCTTGGTGAGTTGAAGAGTCACCTTAAAAATGTGGTTCAATGCTACTTAATGCATACTCTGATGAGTATTGCCTTCAACATTTAAAAAGCATAATATAACAAGTGATCTCTTACATCAGAACACAACAGTGTCCCCGAGCCTTTCTTAGGTGAGTCAATAAAATCTGAAAATACACTGCACATAATTTGGCTCCCACGAGTAATACTGTAGTCTATAAGAACTGAATCCTCAGAAAGGAATGGGTGGCAGTCTCTGTCCCCACATGGAGGGTCCCCTGCCACTGAACGCCAGACACTCAAAGCACAGGAGTTCATTGAGTGAATCCTGACAACAGTCTTGGAGGTAGACAACCTGATCGTTCCCATTTTACAGCTGAGAGCACTGACGGGAGCGTGAGGCACTCGCCCAGGCCACCCGCCAGGAAGAGGTGGAGCTGCAACTCAAACCCAGGAAGACCGGCTCCTCCGCTGCGCTCCTAACCACGCAACATGGACCCAGGAAGACCGGCTCCTCCGCTGCGCTCCTAACCACGCAACTCGGACCCAGGAAGACAGGCTCCTCCGCTGCGCTTCTAACCACTCCTGTTATCTGGGTCTCGTGATGGCCACCATCACAACCCTTCTCCACACACGGCTACGGCCATGTCCTGTGGACAGAGGAGACACCAACTGAGCAGTCTCAACGGGCCTTCACAGATGAGAGAGAAATGTGGACATTTGTGAGGCTGGATGTTTCAGTTTTACGGACAGCAAGATTCTAAGCGTTTTTTTGCAAGTCTGAATCTGTAGCGAATCTTTTACTTTTTTCCCCGACTCACAATTCAAGAAGACATTACAAGAGAAAATCAGAGGTAAAAAGAACATTTTTCCAAAGTCGGAGCAATGAGAAGAAATGAAAACCTTACAAGAAATATTTCAGCAAAAGAGAAATTCCTTCTTCTTCATTAGATTTGGGAACTGCAGAAGGAAATGCCTTAATTACCCATGAAGCAAGATAGCCTTATGTGATTGCCTTCACTTTAAGAGCCTTAGAAAGAACGCCCAGTATTAAACGCTCATGTCTTTTTCCAATTGCTGGGCAACTCCAATGTCATGCACCAACCTCGCAAAATAATCTTATACGAAATGAAATGATTTAAAAAACCATTTTCTTTCCTTTTTTAAGAGGTGGGGTCTCACTGGGATGCCCAGGCAGGACTTGAACTCCTGGGCTCAAGCGACCTTCCCACCTCAGTCTCCCGAGGAAACTGCCTTGAAACTGTTAGAGTGATATGCATTTTTATTAGCCTGCCTTCATATTTGCTGGTTCTCTGGACCACTTTTTAAAACTGTCCAATTTTCTGATTGATCATGCTGCTTGGAGAGAATAAACCCTACAAATATTGGAATATAATTGTATGTGGAGAATGAGCTAGAATATACTGAATAAAGTATTTTTATACTGACCCTTCAAAATTAAAGGACAGAGAAATAAGAAATGCATAATAATTCTTGAGACATAAAATACTTCTCCAGTCATATTACCAGAGAATAAGTACAACACAAAAATCTAGGTAAAATTCAGCTTGTTTTACACAATACAGTAGAACATAAGCATATAGCACGTGATGTTAACTACAAACAAGTACTCAGTTTAAGGTGGCCACCACAACAGTGCAAACACAATTCCCTGGCCAGGAAGATGCCGACCACAGAGGGCCACCTGGCGACAGCCTCACCTTTGCTGGGCTGTGCTATGTGGTCTCCTCGGTGAGCCCTGCTTGGCTGCCTTTGCAGAAAAGAACCTTGCCCCACCCCTGGTGGTCCCAATTCCTCTTACTCTATCTTGTTCCATTGTGTTGATCACAATCTGACATAATACACATTCACTTATTTACTGTTGCAAATTACATTTTCCAAAAATGGCCATGGTCATATTTTAGTCCACATGCTCTTCTAGAACCTTGCCACTCTCTATCCAGAGGCAGAGTCTATTTCTGCTACCCTAGACCCTAAGTGGGACTCTGACTGTGTTGACTACAGATGGAGTAAAATTGACACTCTGTGTCCTCTGAGGCAAGGTCACAGAGGAAACAAGACTTCTGCCCAGCCATGTACCTCTCTCATGTGATGCCTGCCCTTGGAACCCAGCCACCATGTTGGAAGGAAGCCCAGGCCACTTGCAGAGGTCATGTGTAGGTGTTCTGGCTGACAGCCCCAGCTTAGGTCCCACCCAACAGGCAGCATCAACCATCAAACACACGAGTGACTGGGATTCGGGATGTTGCCAGTCCTGGCTTCTGAGTCTTCCAGGTGAGGCCCCAAACATCACGAGGCAGACACAGGCCTTCCTAGCTGCACCCATTCTAATTCCTGACCCACAGAGGCTGCAGGGAAGCGTCTTTGCAGGGAACTCTGCTGGAAGGTGCGGCTGGACACAGGGGCACATGTCAGTGGAGAGAGATGGGTGCTTTAAGGAGGATGATCTGTTTTGAAAACAGCATCTACAGCTCAAATAGTAACTTTGACATAACAGATAATATTTGAGCTTTTATTTTTCTGCAATTTGATTTAAACCAATAAGACAGGGTAGGAAAAACATTAAAAAAGGTTTTAACAGGAATCCTAACGGTAGAGCACTTGGGACAACATAAGAACGGCTTGTGTGGCTGTGGGTCCTGGGGTGTGGCCCACATTTTTATGAGTCTGAATCTCCGTGAGACACTGGTCCTTCACACAGATCTAGCTGATCTTAACCTAAACCACTGGTTCCCAACCCCGGCTACGCATTTGAATGATCTAAACTGTCCAGATTGCTGACTGGCCAGCCCCTCCCCTCTCTTTCATCTCTTCTCCTGTGGGCAAAAGGAAGACGCATGGATTTCCTCTTCCGAGGCTGTCCCTCCCTGTGAGCTGCTGCTGTGACCGTTCCACTCCATGCACGTCTCCCGCACGGACTGATGCTTGCCAATGTCTTCAGTCCTCCTCCCACTGACCCACCTCCTCCAGGGATTCCCCGTCCTCCTGGGCTCCTTGATTCATGACTCTTTCTCCAACCAACACCCAGGAGCTGGTGCAGCCCGAACTCTCCTAATCCCCTCTAGTTTCTCCCACATCTTCCTGGGTGGCCCTAAGCTTTGTATGTGGCCTCATGTCCTCCTTGCACGCAGGCAGCCCCTCAGCTACGCCACCAGTGTGCCCAGGCCCTGCCTGGGGCTGCCTCCCTAGGGCAAACCCTCCTCCAGCCCAGCTCATCCTGTCCCAGCACCCACCTCTCCCCTACACTCATCACCATCGAGCTGCGGACCCTCCTCCTGATGTTTTCACCTGGTCTGTTCTTCCTCCCTCCATGGTTCCAGTTGGGGGAAGGGCTTAGGAACTAGGTTTTCATTCAGGACATTGTGAGCTTGCAAAGTCACCAGATGGGCAGAGGAGCTGGGTGAAGCCACACGCAGCAGCGACCTCTACACAGTACCTGGTCAATAAATACCTGTCAGCAGCTTGAACGAAAAATATCTAATTCCAGGGAAGAAGGAAGACACCACAGACAACAAGCTGTTAAGACCTGGTATTGCCTACGTCTTGCAGTTTTAAATAACAACAACCATCATCATCATCTTCATCTCACATTATTATTTGAAGGACACAGGAGAGGAATTCTCAGGGGATGCAAACTCTGAAGAACAGAAAAACCAAAAGACTCCACATTATTGGCCAAGGGAAGCCTGACAACGTGTGGTCTGTGCATTCCTCGGAAGACCTAAACTAAAACTCAACGACCCCAAGGTGCAGGTGTGTGAGAACTGGAGGATCACCAGCACCCAGGCAAAGTGGCGCTGAAGCAAGTTACCTGCTGGGGGACCATGTGAGTGATGAGAGTCAAGGAGGCGACAGTGACGCCCAGTCTGGGAAACACATGCTGACCACAGAAAAAAGGGTGGGTGCAGGGGAATGAGTGCGCATCACCGATTCTGAAGTGCAATCTGAGAGCTCGTCTTGGCCAGAGTGGAGTCGGCGGGAAAAAAATAATCATTTCTCGTCTTTAAGATTCCATTTACCCACTGGGCCCCCTCATTACTGGAAAGTTACAGGAAAAATGCAAGTGTTTCAGAGACAATGGAAAAAGCTGACCTCTGCAGATGAACTAAAACAAGGAGAAACGCCTGCATGCCTTGACTAAGTACCTACTGCTCAGAAAAACAGCCATACCTGCCAGAGAACACTTACGCTAAAGTTCAGAAATCACTTCCTGACTTCGGGGCGGGGGTTGGGGGTGGCATTTAAGGACAAGAAATTCTGAGTAGTATCTGAAGCAGGTGCGACTGATTCATGGCAGCAGGGACAGGGAATCCATTGTCACCCACGCACCAATCAAAAGGAGTTTTAGGCCAGGCACGGTGGCTCACGCCTGTAATCCTACCACTTTGGGAGGCCGAGGCAGGTGGATCACCTGAAGTCAGGAGTTCAAGACCAGCCTGGCCAACAGGGTGAAGCCCTGTCTCTACTAAAAACACAAAAATTAGCTGGGCGTGGTGGTGGGCACCTTTAACCCCATCTACTCGGGAGGCTGAAGCAGGAGAATCACTTGAACTTTGGAGGTGGAGGCTTCAGTGAGCCGAGATCATGCCACCACACTCCAGCCTGGGCAACAGAGTGAGACTCTTGTTTCAAAAAACAAAACAGAACAAACGAACAAACACAAAATAACAAAAGGAGTTTTAACTACCAACATTCTGCATACTTTCGGTTTGATTTTCTGGAAAAAGCAACAATATTTTTAACATGTTTATATCACCTATTTTTGTAATTAGGAGGGAGCCTAATTACAGGAGCTTCTTTAATTCCGTATTACGCATGAACGGATGAGGACAAGGTGAAGTCACAGAATGATGTAAGAGAAGAATTTGGCGGTTCTCACACAGTTACATGGAAATTGAACAACCTGCTCCTAAATGACTCTTGGGTAAATACTGAAATTAAGACAGAAATCAAGAAGTTATTTGAAACCAATGAGAACAAAGAGATAACTTACCAGAATCTCTGGGATACCGCTAAAACAGTGTTCAGAGGGAAATTTATAGCACTAAATGCCCACATTGGAAAGAGCTAGAGAGGCAACAACGAACTAATCCAAAAGCTAGCAGAAGACAAGAAATAACTAAGATCAGAGAAGAATTGATAGAGTAGAGACAGGAAAACCCTCCAAAAAAAAAAAAAAAAAATCAATGAATCCAGTAGCTGGTTTTTTGGGGGGGAAAAAAATCAATGAATCCAGTAGCTGTTTTTTTGAAAAAAATTAACAAAATAGATAGACCATTAGCTAAACTAATAAAGAAGAAGAGAGAAAAATCAAACAGACATAATAAAAAATGATAAAAGGGATATCACCACTGACCCCACAGAAATACAAACTACCATCAGAGAATACTATAAATACCTCTATGCAAATAAACTAGAAAATCTAGAAGAAATGGATAAATTTCTAGACACATACATCCTACCAAGACTAAACCAGGAAGAAGTCAAATCCCTGAATAGACAAATAACAAATTCTGAAACTGAGGCAGTAATTAATAGCCTACCAACCAATAAATAAATAAATAAATAAATAAATAAATAACAATAAAAAGCCCAGGACCAGATTCACAGCTGAATTCTACCAGAAATACAAAGGGCTGGTATCATTCCTTTTGAAACTATTCCAAACAATTGAAAAGGAGACATTCCTCCCTAACTCATTTTATGAAGCCAGTATCATCCTGATACCAAAACCAGGAAGAGACACAACAAAAAAAGAAAACTTCAGGCAAATATCCCTGATGAACATCAATGCAAAAATCCTCAACAAAATACTGGCAAAAAGAGTCCAGCAGCACATCAAAACACTTATCCACCATGATCAAGTCGGCTTCATCCCTGGGATGCAAGGCTGGTTCAACATACACAAATCAATAAACATAAATCATCACATAAACAGAACCAAAGATAAAAACCACATCATTATATCAATAGATGCAGAAAAGGCCTTCAATAAAATTCAACATCTCTTCATATTAAAAACTTTCAATAAACTAGGTATTCATGGAATGTATCTCAAAACAGTAAGAGCTATTTATGACAAACCCACAGGCAATATCATATTTAATGTGCAAAAGCTGGAAGCATTCCTTCTGAAAACTGGTACAAGACAAGGATGCTCTCTCTCACCACTCCCATTCAACATAGTAATGGAATTTCTGGTCAGGACGATCAGGCAAGAGAAGAAAATAAAGGGTATGCAGATAGGAAGAGAGGAAATCAAATTGTCTCTGTTTGCAGACAACATGATTTTATATTGAGAAAACCCCATCATCTCAGCCTAAAAACTCCTTGAACTGATAAGCAACTTCAGCAAAGTCTCAGGATATACAAAATAAATGTGCAAAAATCACAAGCATTCCTTTACACCAACAATAAGCAAGCAGAGAGCCAAATCATGAATCAACTCTCATTCACAATCTCTACAAAGACAATAAAATACCTGGGAATACAACTAACAAGGGATGTGAAGGACGTGTGCAAGGAGAACGACAAACCACTGCTCAAGGAAATAAGAGAGGACACAAAAATATGGAAAAAAACTCCATCCTCATGGATAGGAAGAATCAATATCATGAAAATGGCCATACTGCCCAAAGTAATTTATAGATTCAATGCTATTCCTATGAAACTACCATTGACAGTCATCACAGAATTGGAAAAAACTATTTTAAATTTCATATGGAATCAAAGAAGACCCTGTATAGCCAAAACAATCCTAAGCAAAAAGAACAAATCTGGAGGCATCACACTACATGACTTCAAACTATATACAAGGCTACAGTAACCAAAACAGCATGGTACTGGTACCAAAACAGGCATATAGACCAATGGAGCAGAACAGAGACCTCAGAAATACCACCACACATATATAACCAACTGATCTTTGACAAACCTGACAAAAACAAGCAATGGGGAAAGGATTTCCTATTCAGTAAATGGTGCTGGGAAAACTGGCTAGTCATATGCGGAAAACTGGCTAGCCATATGCAGAAAACTGAAACTGGACCCCTTCCTTACACCTTTTACAAAAATTAACCCAAGATTAATTAAAGAGTTAAATGAAAACCCAAACCATAAAAACTCTAGAAGAAAACCTAGCCAATACCATTCAGGACATAGACATGGGCAAAGACTTCATGACAAAAATGCCAAAAGCAATTGCAACAAAAGCCAAAATTGACAAATGGGATCTAATTAAACTAAAGAGCTTCTGCAAAGCAAAAGAAACTATCATCAGAGTGAACAGGCAACCTACAGAATGGGAGAAAAATTTTGCAGTCTATCCATCTGACAAAGGGCTAATACCCAGAATCCACAAAGAACTTAAACAAATTTACAAGAAACAAACAACCCCATCAAAAAGTGGGCAAAGGATATGAACAGACATTTCTCAAAAGAAGACATTTATGCAGCCAATAAACATATGAAAAAGAAGCTCAACTCACTGATCATCAGAGAAATGCAAATCAAAACCACAGTGAGATACCATCTCATGCCAGTTAGAATGGTGATTATTAAAAAGTCAGGAAACAAAAGATGCTGGTGAGGCTACGGAGAAATAGGAATGCTTTTACACTGTTGGTGGGAATGTAAATTAGTTCAACCATTGCGGAAGACAGTATGGCGATTCCTCAAGGATCTAGAGCCAGAAATACCATTTGACCCAGCAATCCTATTACTAGGTATATACCCAAAGGAATATAAATCATTCTGCTATAAAAACACATTCACACATATGTTTATTGCAGCACTATTTACAATAGCAAAGACATGGAACAAACCCAAATGTCCAACAATGACAGACTAGATAAATAAAATGTGCTAAATATACACCATGGAATACTATGCAGCCATAAAAAGGAATGAGATCATGTCCTTTGCAAGGACATGGATGAAGCTGGAAGCCATCTTCCTCGGCGAACTAACACAGGAACAGAAAGTCAAACACCATAGGTTCTCACTCATAAGTGGGAATTGAACATCGAGAACACATGGACACAGAGCGGGGAACAATACACACCAGGGCCTGTTTGGGGGTCGGGGGTGAGGGGAAGGAACTTAGAAATGGGTCAATAGGTGCCGCAAACCACCATGGCATATGTATACCTATGTAACAAACCTGCACAATCTGCGCATCTATTTTTTTTTTTTTTTAAGAAATAAAGGAAAAAAAAAAAGAATTTGGTGGTTCCTTGAAAAGTTGAACAGAGTTACCATATGACCCAGCAATTCCACTCCTAGGTTTATACCCTAGGAAAAACTGAAAACAGGGACTCAAACAGATACTTGTGTGACAATGTTCACGCAGCATCCTTCATAACAGCCAAAAGGCGGAAACAATCCAAGTGTCTGTCAACAAACAAAATGTTGTAAATCCACACTATGGAATATTATCCATCCTTTAAAAAGAATGGTGTACAGACACATGCTACAACATGGAACATTATGCCAAATATAAGATGCCAGACACAAAAGGATCCATATTCAACTATCATATGATTCTTTTGATATGAAATATCCAGATGAGGCAAATTCACAGACAGAAAGCAGGCTGGAGGTCACAGGGGCTGGGAGAAGTAGGGGCTGGGGAGTTGTTGCTTAATGGTTAGCAGATTTCTGTTTGGAGTGAAGAAAATGTTTTGGGAATGGCGGTCATGGTTGTCCAGCACTGTGAATGTGAAAATATAATTCAACGGCACTGAATTGAACACTTAAAAACAATTAAAATGGCAAATTTTATGTTACATACAGCCATGTATCCCCATCGTTAAGTGATGCATTCTGAGAAATGTGTCGTTAGGCGATTTTGTCATTGTGTGACCATCACAGAGTCCATACATAAGCCTAGATGGTGTGGCTACCACACACTCAGGCTATGTGCAGAGCCTATTGCTCCCAGGGCATAAACCCATACAGTATGTGACTGTATCAAAAACTGTAGGCAGTGGCAACACAATGGGAAGTGTGTATTTAAACATCTAACCATAGAAAAGGCACAGTAAGGACACGGTATTATAATCTCATGGGACCACCATCACATTACTTGGTCCATCATTGAACAAAATGTTGTAATGTGATGCATGACTGTATTTTGCCACAATAAAAAAAAGTTCAAAGAAAAAAGAGAATAAGAAAGGGAGAAAAAGACAATGATGAGGTTATGGATGGGAAAAGAAGAAAAAAGAAATTAAACAAGAGAAGCAAGGACAGTCTTACAGGAAAAAGGAGAATGGAAGAGAAAGAAGGAAAGGAGAAAAAGGGGCCAGAATGTAGAAAGTGATGGGAGGTTGGTGCTGGAGAGGAGGAGCTGAACAAAAGGAGGGGGCCTAGCAAGGGGAGAAGCCCCTTGCCCAGACCCCTGCCCCGGTGGATGCCCTCCCAGCCATGTTCCCTGCAGCAGCGCTGGTCCTTTGCACACCTGTAAAGAGACCCTCCTGCAGCTCCCCTTGCTGGGCACTTCCATAACCCCCCATCCTGTCCCTTCTCTGGGGTCGTCCACCAGCCCCAGCATCCTGGGAGACCCCTGAGGCCAGCTTCCTGCTCAGCAAATGGCCCTGCAGCAGTGAGCACACCTCCACAGACCAGGCTGGCTTAAGGAATGTCTCCTCATGCTCACACATCGCTCATCTGAACAGTGTGGAGGAGTGTTTGCAAATGCTTTTTAGGGGTTGGGAAAAAAAATTAAAATAAGAACTGGATTTGGCCTATAAATGAATGGGTATCAAATCTTGTCTCAGAACTCAAGTAAAAGAACGTGGGAAAAAGTGGCTCTCCTGGGCAAACTAAGCTGATGAGCTGGCAATCAGAAACAGAAGGTAACAAGTCACTGATGACAGTAACATATTAATCTTTGAATGTCCAGAAGGAAAGAAAACCAATTTCCCATCAATGACATTCTGGAACCACTCAGGGCACAATGGTGGAAGTCTGGAAAGAATGGCAGCCAAGGGCTGGCTTCGGTTCTTTCCTTCCACGAACGGACTGGGCAAGTATTTCTGTGCTGCTCGAAAAGAAACAGGGCCTAAACCTTCTCTATGTTCCTTCAATGAGCCTGGGAGAGCAGACAACGAAGAGGAAGGTTGAAAATTCTTATCTTCAGTAGTCCCCTAGAACCAATGATAATACAGGTTACTTTTACCATTTATGAGTTCTTCAAACCAACACCCCACAACAGCAGTGCCTCATTGCATGAATCGTCCCCCCTTCCTTCTGACCTCCTAGCTATGACCCTCCCAGCTGATGTCCCCACGGTGTGCAGAATAAAGTAATATTTTGGGGGAAAATCATGAAAATAGTTATAGATCTTAAATTGCTTAATTAATTGGCCCGTTGAGGTAATTATATGTTAATTGTAAGAGTTACTCTGCATTCACAGCTAAAAGTGTTTCTGCATGTTTACTGACTCTTTGATTCTCTTTAAATGTGAGAAATGGATTTACTTGTCCAGGTAAAATTACCAGGCTGCGAAGAGATCATCATTATATATGCCAGCTTTCCAAAATTACAGCCTTTGAAACTTTGATCATTTGTTCTTCGTGGATCTGGTATTTTCTAAGTGCTGTAAAAATGCATTCTGTCAATCTGCTGAAGCACAGCCTCGGGTAAAATGTCAGAAGTTTTTATGGTTGGAATATTAACTTATTAAAATTAAGAAACACTCTTCAGATAACCCATAATAAAACCCCTTATTTTATATGAACTTCTTCTGTAGGAAGAATCCTAGACAAGCCAAGATTCGGAGGCAAGACCGCTGAAAAGACAAGCGCCCCCTTCCAAGGGAAGGGAAGGTCACCGTGGAGATGTGTTAGAGGCGGCGAGCACTGCTGCCCTCGCCTGGATCGGTGGCCCTATCGCTGCTTTCTACGTCTATGGCCTTGAGCAAGTTACTTAAACTTTATGACCCTCGGTTTCCTCAGTTATAAAAATGCGGATAACGGCACCCACCTCCCAGGTTCTTGTGAGGGTTATGAGACGCTGCGTGTAAAGCACTTAAGCCCAGTGCCTGACACATGGCAGTGGTCAATAATTGATAGTGATATTATTGCTAATAGATTGTCAACTCTGAGTTTCTGTTTCGTGATTGATTTCCTCTTTGAAAGAGGCATCACTAAATGTGTATTCTGGTAGAAAATATTTTATTTTCATGAAATTCAGAAAGAAAAAAAATAACACCGTGTGTGTGTGTGTGTGTGTGTGTACGCATGGAACATGAACTTAGAAATTCTGGTCAGCTCTCTTAGGGGTGTTCTGGTAACCATGCCTACAGTATATCATGGCTTCTGCAGAAAACCAACTGAAGGGGAAAATCATTCCTACCTGAAGAAAGCAAGAAAGACCCAAATGAATAATCAAGCCAAAGAACAAAGCTACCTATTTATTTAATTAAGAAGAGTCAAATCAAGTTATTGAAATACCTGCTGGAGCAATGCTACGGCTCTCGTCCCTCATATAAGCTTAGTGACCACAGGCCCCGAGGCAGCATGTGTTGGCAAGTTCAAGACAGACTTTGAGAAACATCTCACAGTGATCACATACTCTGGGGTGTCTAATTCCTTAGCCTTGCACAAAATGTTAAAACAAAAAAATAAAACACCTTAGAAGTTTTCCTAATCATTCTAAGACAATCCGTAAGACAAGAATCAGAATTAAGAGCATAACAGGAGGAGGCAAAAAATCTTGGTTTATACCAGTTTTCACTTCTACATAGTAACATTGGTTTAATTGTCTGATTTTCTTAAGAGGCAACATCATGCCTCATTTTGGTAAGAAACAATCCCATCCTTTCAAATGTCCCCAGACTTCAAGCTCAATAGCGAGGGGAGGGAGGAAACAATGGGAGAAAGTCTTTTGGGCACAGGGTAGCAGGCTGAGCCCAAACCTAGCAATGCTGACATGAGCTCCACGGTCACACGGAGCGACCACTCAACAGTAGGAAGAATTCTCTGCCTATTTTCCTGCAGATGAAAAGATCTTTAGATAATTAATGCTTTTATGCCAAGATGGAAACTAACCGCCAGATCTCCTCAAAGCTTAGAGCCTCCCCCGGATCAATCCGGGAACCTGAACACAGTGGCCACATAATTGAACCTGTCCTCGACGCTCAACATGTGTGCTCAGCGGCAAATGCGGTGAGATATCTTAAATATTATCAAACACTGTATCATTAAACAGAAATTAGACGGAAACAAGGGAAGCCTAAAAATTGACTAGGAGTTCGGATGCTCTCAATGGCTAATATGTCCATTTTTCACCTGAAGCCCTCTCCAAATGCAGTTTTGCTATTAAGCAAAACCCAAAGAAAGGTAATCAATTCCAACTAAAAAGCACTTATCCTGGGATGACGATGTACAAGGCACTTCAAACCCCTGGCTGCCTGCCAAAACCCAGACAACAGCCATCAATGTTTCCGACTATTCGAGGAGCACAGGGGCCATGCATAATTGACTAGAAGATGGGCTAAAACTGTGCCCAATCAGTGTGTGATCAAAAACGCGTGGAATATTCAGCGCCACTTGATTACACGGAGGGTCGTCCTTTCACTCTCCTCATGAAATCTCTTCAAGGTCCACAGTACTGTAATAAGATCATTACTGTCAAGCGGTACGAATCGCAGGCAATGAGTCTTGGGATAGGGAGTCATACTTCACAAGCTCCCCTGCTTTCTCTATCTCTCTTTTTTTTGTATTTTACTGCATGCAGAGGCAGCAAGGCGACGAGGTGGCAGATAATGATCACATCACTGTGTGGCAACTAGAAAGGCACTTTTAAGAAAAAGCAGAGCGAAATCAGCTTAAGAGAAAACTAAAACATTTTTCCTTTGCTTTTTTCCACTTAAAAAAATTAAATAGAATTAAACTGTGTGCAGTAGGCACTTTTCATGAACTCTGATACAATGTCATTGATTTTACCCATTTGATAGATTTTCATATTGCAGCAAAGCCCATTACCCCACAGACAAATGGCCAATTTTCTCCATGTCCCACGTGCACAAGAGGCCCTTGTGAAGTTGTGTGTCCGTGCACGGCAATGCCTGCCGGAACGTTCGCTGCGCCTGTTCTTTCACTGGCTCCACACCTTGGTGCCTATGGTATGTCTGAGATGAGAAAGGGGTGGAGTGGAAAGCCAGGAGGGTATTAGCAAAGATTACTAAATAAACACACAAAGTTTATCTCAACTACACCTTCTCCAAAGCATTAATACATCTTGATAAAATGAGCGCGAGTCAGTAACTATGATCGGACCCCGCAGCCAGGCGAGACAGGCATTTGATTAACACTTAAATCAGCGATGCAGGATTCAAATGAACGACAGGGGGGCTTAATCAATCACCACCCTCCTCCCTCCAACCTCAAACTGCCCTTAAAAATGTGCACTCTAGCTGGCTGTGGTGATACATGCTTGTAAATCCCAGCAACTCAGGAAGCTGACATGGGAGGATCTCTTGAGACCAGGGATTTGAGACTAGCCCGGACAACACAGTGAGATCATATCCCAAAAAAAAAAAAACAAAAACAACAACAAAAAAACCCCACAAATACACTTCTGTCATCCAAAAAAAGAAAAAGCATATCAATCTTAAAATGAACAGAAAAACTGGGTTCACTGCATCTGAATTAAATGTCCGTAAGTCCAAAAAAATTTCAAGAGAGATGTCCCCTTATAACAGAGCCCATCTAATCCTGTAGGTTCTAACTGTCTGCAAAGCAGCTGAAGCAGTGATTTGCATCTTTTTTTTTTAAAAACGTATCAGAGTGTGCATGCACTTGTTTGCAAGGAAGCCATACCACAACACAACAGGCCTCCTGAGAAAACCAGCAAAGGAATGACTGCTTCCCAGTTCTCAAGGGCAGTGGTGGGGAGCCGTGGGCATGGCCCTGCTGTGCTGCAGAAATGGACATGCACAGAGGGAGAAGCAACTCTGAGAGCCACAGGATTGAGAGTAAGAGGCCTGCAGAAGGCTCTCCTCCCACTCCAACCCCCTGAAGCCTTTTCCAGGTTAACAGATGAAATGCAAAGCAAAATACAGACTTCCAAGTCCCAGAGGCCACTCATCTACTGGCCTTGGGCAAATTACTCAACTTTATTCAACCCTCTTCCTCATTTGTGACAACAGAAATGCCACCACCCACCTGCCAACACCACACAGGGTTGTTTTAAGGATGCAATGAGGTAGCGCACAAGCAGGCAGTAAATCCATGGTGTTCTTCCTTTGCACTGGATGATGTCTCCTGACAACAAATCCAAGACTTGGGAGGGAAGAGTGAAGGGGAAAGGACAGCTGTGATCTGTCCAAGCAGTTTCTGACCTGAGACAGTCCATGAAATCCTTAAATGGCATATGGTGCGTGGGTGAGTGGGTGGGTGGGGGCCACAGGGACATTAATCCCACAGCCAGGAATAGAAAGTAGAATGGTCCTACAGACTGAATGTTTGTCTCCCTCCAAAATTCACATGTTGTAGCTCTAATTCCTCACCCCACCAATGTGCTGGTATTTGGAGACTGGGCCTTTGGGAGGTGATGAGGGTTAGATGAGGCCATGAGGGCTGGGCCTTCATGATGGGAGGGGTGTTCTTATAAGAAAAAGAAGAGCTTCTCTCTCTGTGTGTGTGTGCACACCACAGAAGGGCCACATGAGGACACAGCAAGAAAAGGGCCACCTGCAAGCCAGGAAGAGAGCTCTCCCTAGGAAGAGAATCAGCTGGTGCCGTGATCTTGGACTTTGCAGCCTTCAGAACCATGATAAATGAGTTTCTGCTGGTTAAGCCCCCAGTCTGTGGCATTTTGATATGGCAGGCTGAGCTAAGACAAACGGTAGGTGCAATTTTATTTCATCCTCCCCATTTGCCAAGTTGCTTCCACACAGACTAAGTTTTGCATTAGTCAATATCCCCTTTTGTTTTACATCTTTAGAAAGAGGAATGAAGTCGCCACTGCCTGTGAGATAAAACACTGCCTAGTTTCATTATTGCCAGGCCTGGGAGGAAAGACAAAGCGAGCTCAGCTAGAACATCTGAAAATATAACCCCCGGGCATCTCTACTTCCTGAAGCCCAGGCCGCATGTGTCTAACAGAGCGTGGGAACATCTGAGGGCTGCAGAGGCCGAGAAAAACACCCTCGTGCATGAGATGCGGACCTCTCATACCTTGCTGCTGAACATTTCAATCTGTATCCCTGTACTTTGTGTGTAAAATACATGCAGCTGAGGAAAGTAGAAAGAGTAGATGAGGATTTAGAATAGTAAGGAAGACACAAGTTGAACAGCACTGGCCGCTAGAACCAGCCCCTCTTCTGGCTTCAGGACCTTGGTCCAAGTGGACCATAATTTCACCGAGACTTAAATGACATCCGAAAAGCCTCAGAGCTCAAACATTTTGAGACCATCAAGAAAATGACTTCAAGACAGATCCTAGATTCTAATGAAAGTCGACCAATGCAGGGTCTCCCAAGCTAGCCCGAATTCCAATCCCAGGGTGCACACAGGAAAACACGGTGCCCCGAGTTCTCTGCTGATGGACGCCGGAGCCTGTGAGCAGCTTGTGCTAACCGAGCCCCACTCGCAGAAGAGAATCTCTAAGTCTAGCTAAAAAAAAGGAGTTGAGGTCCGTCACATTTCTGTATCTTAGAAAGGGACCTTGTGAGTAGTCAGCATTTTTCAAAGGTGAGTTTATGCTTCTGTGTAGCAGGCTAAGGAGCTCAAATGCTTGTCTGTGGCGTCAGGAGTTGCCTAGGTACCCCCAGGAGCTCCAAGCCACCTCTTTACAAGATTTAGTTTGTTTTGACTTTTCAGATTTTTTCCTTTTTTCCTCCTTGGAATAGCAGATATTTCGTTGTCTATACAACGTGTGTGAGTGTCTACTCCCCTTTGGGGAACCTCCCTGAGGTCCTCCAGGCAGCTGGGGGTGCCCTGTGCTCCTGCATAACCAAGTTCCCCGGCGTGTTTCTGCTTTCTCCACTGGTCTATGTGTGTCCTGATGGCTGGGCCGCTTCAGTTGATGTCCCATCCAGCATCAGACAAAACTCTTGCGTGCAGTAGGTGCTCAATGAACATTTTTGGACCTGAATCTAACCCCTTTAAGTTTGTGTGTGGTTAAAAAAATTAAAACAAACAAACAAACAAAAACCACACTACAAACATCCTTCTGTGCGTCGGTTCATCACGATGGGAATCTTCCGTTCTGGCTGCCCCTGCTGTGATCGACTCATCTTTGTTTATTTCCGACCTGCTGGCTTCCACAAAGGATCTGAGAGCGCTTACTGCTTGTGTGTGTTTGTGGCGGCCGGACTGTACCCTGCAGGATGGCTTTTGAGTCAACTGTGCCCAATCTACAATGTCAATGTCTAGAGTAAACCCAGATGATCTACTCAATTTCAGCAAGTTCATTCTCTTGGAAGCTGGAGTTACAACCTGAGAGCAAACTGTCTTTGGAAAAGTCATCTAGTTTGTGGGGAGGAGGCAAGTCCGTCGGGATGCATGGTGGCTCCCATCACTGACAGCCCAAGGGTGATGAAACCCAGCCAGTCTCCTGATATCCTTAGCAGAGTGAAGTGACTGCATTTCCAGCGTATCTCCCAGGAAGATGTTCTGATTCTTGGTTTTCCACATTCGCTACTGCATTTCCAGTGTATCTCCCAGGAAGATGTTCTCATTCTTGGTTTTCCACATTTGCTATAATGAACTGTTCAACTCAACTGTTCAGATGCACTAACCAGTGGTTTGCTAATAAGGAAGTTTAATTAATAAGTCCTTATTGTATCAAAAATTACTGTTGATTATGCAGTTTTTAGGGAGCTGATTGTGGAGACTTCTCGTTCCCTTTCCTGGGTAGCTGCCAATGTTAAACAAGGAGCAGACACGGGAGGTGCCGGTGGAATGTTCATGGAGAAGAAAAGGAGAAAACCTGAGGGAAGAATGACAGTAACACTTGTGCAACTGGATCTCCCCTCCAGCCACCTCCAAATAACACAGAATTCAATGTGAAAGCCCCTGTAGACTGGATATAAACCTGGAAGGTAACAGTTTCTGGGCCCTGACTCCTTGCCAGTCATGTGCTCACCGTCATGTGCACACTAATTGCACCCCAGGAGTGAGAAAAGATGAGAGCCTTGTGCTAATAAGACTCTTACAACCTTGTTATATTCTAAATAACAAAACAAGCACACTGCCCTCCCAATCACGGCATGCAAAATCCCCAAACTACCCAGCAATGGCTCAAGCTGCATGATAGTCCATCTAACCGGATGGTTACAGATTAACTGAGAGCTTCCACGCACCCACGTATTGCTTTCCTGCAAGAAAAAAAACAACACTGTACGATATGCATGCACGATTCTTTAATTTCTCTCCAAAGTGCCTTCCAAGACATCAACTAATTAATAATAATAAAAAAAAGTCCTCAGGTAAAAGGTAACTGATCAATAGCAACATCTGTTTCTTAGCATCTAAGTAAAAACAAAACTCCATTTTGTGACTAATTAAATCACCACCACTGGTGTTTAAAGTTGTAAGTAGGCAACATTTAATGAAAAAGTAATGATTTCTGCAGTTTTATTAAATAAGATAACCATTATGTGCTAAATCTGCACAATAAAAATTAAGCTCTACAACAGGTTAGCCTTCCCTAACTTTTACAACTCAGTGTGTATTTGTGCTTCTTCTGAATTCCCATGCCTTTCTCGAATATTCTGCCTGACATCCTCGTTACAGTTTCTTGCATGTCTTATCTCCATAATCAGGCTCTAAACTCCTTGGAGAGAGAGAGGAACCGAGTTTTATTTCTCAACGTCTCCCATGGAGGCAAGCACACAGTGCTTTCCCTGTGGTGGTTGCTTCATATTTGATGAAAGAATAAAATGATCTACAATTTCAGGTTCTCCTTTGAAAGAGTGAAGGGAAACTAAGTCCTGGGTGACCTCTGCAACTCTGGAGTTAATGAAATTTGTCAACATTTCATTGCTCAGTGAGTGCAGCTGTGATGAGCAATTCATTTTCTACCATAACAGTGAGAGGCCCGTTTGTGACTTACCCTCTACAGGAGAATCTTTCAATATCCATCCAGGATCAACCACACAATGGTGCGATAAAGACCAGAATGAACAACCAAAGGAACAAGATGAGAAGGATAAAATAAATTCCCTTCTGAGACCTTCAGAACAAAGCGCTGTGAACCCAAGGGGGGGATA